>NC_000003.12:41828181-42131212 GCF_000001405.40 Homo sapiens | reverse complement strand
AGGGGAGACAGGAGCCTCCAGGTACAGTGGTGGAGGTAGAGGGATTCCAGTTAAACTCCATGCCAGATACTCCGGGTCCTCATGCCTTATCTTGAGCAAATTCCCACTCTCCTGGGATGAGCCCTGCATGAGTAAAAAACATGAGGTTCGTTGCCCCATAAAACCAACCGTATAAACGCTTGCTATGTCTGTGACCGTGTGGACACAAGTGAATGAGCAAAGGTGAAAATGGGGGTATAATAATATTACTGTAGGTTCTACTTTATGGACACAACTCTAGAGTGGTGAGGAGACCTGCACACAATTCCTGGCCCCACATACCCTGGCTGTGCAAGGCTTAGCAAGTCAATGCACCCCGCACCTCAGGGGCCCCATGTGAACAATGATGGTTGGACTAGATTAAAGGTCTTTGTTGTTGTTGTTTACTTTTAAGTTCAATTTTTAAAAGTTAAAATGGCAAGGGGAGCTGGTTTAATATGCAGGTTCCCAGACCCCCCTCCCTCCTCCCACATAAGCAAAGTAAGCAACTCAGGGTAGGATGGCACCGAAGGCCTCAAGAGCTGCCTGCATTGGTCCAACCCAGTGCAAAGTCCTTGGGTTAGGTCACGGAAAAAAATAAATAGTCCAGGAGATGTTTTTATCTCCTTAGTCAGAAAACCTGAGCTGAAATGCAAACAAGTCCTCAAAGGATCAGAGGTAAATACCAGTCACTCAGTAAATACTGTTGGCTAATTCCTTAATATTACTTTACAGTAAAAGCAAACGATGGAACAATATTTTGAAACTCTTATTTGCTTCATAACCTTCTCTTCTTAGGAAAAAGCTGCTCCAGGTAAACTCAGGGAGGGTGGTCTGCAGATCATATGCAGGTGAGATATGGATTTTTTTTTTTTTCCCTCAATCAATGCTCCTTAACCAAAAAGTTACATAGAACAGCCCCTGGAAGAAGGGACCAAAAAGAGTTGCATAGCCACCTAAAGACCAATGCAGCAGCTTTCATGTCTGCTGTCTGCTGCGTGTTATGTGACTACAAAAGTCTATAGCACACACTGTCATTTCCACCAGGGATTAGGGAAGTGTGACCTACAAGCCACAGGATGGAGGTGAAAATCACAGGGAAAAAAGAAACCTCATCTTCAAATTAAGCTGTATCAAGCTAAGTGTCACTTGGGACAATGCCCTGAGCCATGAAAAAAAATGAATTTTGAATATGTTAGACATATATTTTATTTATTTATAAATAAATAAGCTACTGACAGATTTTGAAACTAAGGTTTTGATGGGGTTTTTGCTTTTTTTGTATTTCACCAGATGAATTTCATTCTTAAACAAGAAGTTTTCTTGTCCCCTTTGTAGCTAATCTGAGATACTGGGTAAGAGATGGAGTCAGACCAGACAAACTAGGTCTGACTCACCTTGCTAGGTATGTGACTTTTCCCTAACTTCCCTGAGCCTCGCCATCCTCATGTGCAGAATGCAAGAGTATTAAATTCAGGCCACTCTGAGGATTACCCAGCACACTGCAAGTACCGTACGTTGACTATGCTTTCTCCCAAATGTCCCATCGTTGTGGGTATATTTGTTTTGTGGGTCATTTTAATTTTCTGTGTTTCTCAGACTCAGGAGTTACAAGTCCACCTGACTGGGAGAAGCACTAAAACTTCTCTGAAAAGGTCATTGTACCACCTGGCAAAGGTGGATGCCCAAAGCTTTCTCGCCTCTTCTTAGGAAGTCAAGTGAGGGCCAAATTTAAAAGGTAAAGCCGCGTTTCTCCACTCAGGGGGAGGATGTGCAGGAAGGGGCTGTGTCTGCTCTGATCTGCATAGCAATGTGTAGCTGGCCCTCTTCTCTAGGATTTCTCACGTAGGGGAGCGTATCAGAACCCCAGCGCTCCTTATCCCCATGCCCGCCCACAACCGAGAACCTCTGCCCTAATCGATGCAGGCTACCTTGTCTTCTCACACGCCTCAAAACTGATACAACATACTGGTGAGTCACAGCATCTCCAGGGTTACACACGTGTAAACAAACACACGAAACCCAAAAAGGATACCATGCACACAGCAGGACTCTGAACCTGTGCCTTCTGGTGACGCTCTGCCAGTTTGGCAAGGCTCACAGACCCTTTCCTCAGGAGAAAGCTTTGAAGACGTAAAATACAAAGGACTGAAAAGGAAAACAATTCCATCTAAAACTTGAAAAACTCTGGGATATTAACAACGACAAAAAAAGGCTGTGATATCTGATAAGTGCTTCTTTATTAAAGAATAAAAGAAATAAAAGATCTAAATAAATAAGACAGAATTCCAGTGTATTCCACAACACTCAGCCTTCCACACGTCCATTTCACCTATAACAAAACAGCTCTACCCAACTGTGACATGAAATAAAAGATCTATCAGCACATTTAACAACAAATGTAACTTCATGGCAGTGATGAACAAAGGCAGTTATTCAAAGTAACTGCTTCCACTGAAGCATGACATGAAAATATCTGTGATTTCTACTGGTGACAATATCACAGGTCCTGCTAATACCACTGTGCCTATGTGTGTCTATGTTCATAACTAAAGGAAATGCTGCATTTCAGTTAGAAGTTAATAAAAATAAAAGTAATTTTTTTGCTCCTTTTTAAGTGCATGGAACCCCTAAATTCTCTCTACAGACCCTTTAGGGGTAGCAGGACCTTAGTGAGAGAGCTCTGCTCTACAGGGTCCTGTATTTAAGAGTTAACACCTGATCGTTCAATTAACAGATATTTAGGAAATAGCTATGTTGCTCTAACTACAGGAACCACAGAAGATACAGAATTAAGTTAAGGCTTGGAGGCAAGCAGGCTCTAAGAACTTTCAGAATCTCTGCTCAATGTTTATTTTGGTTCTTCCAGTTTTATCATAAGTTGTGTTATCTACTACCAGGATTTCTCCTTTTTTCTTAACTGTATAACTAAAAACAAAGCAAACAAACAAAAAAGACACTCACTCTCTGTTCAAGTCTACTGTTTGTTTTTTCGTTTGTTTGTTTGTTTGTTTTGAGATGGAGTTTCGCTCTTGTTGCCCAGGCTGGAGTACAATGGCACGATCTCAGCTCACCACAATCTCCGCCTCCCAGGTTCAAGTGATTCTCCTGCCTCAGCCTCCCAAGTAGCTGGGATTACAGGCATCTGCCACCATGCCTGGCTAATTTTTATATTTTTAGTAGAGATGGGGTTTCTCCACGTTGGTCAGGCTGGTCTCAAACTCCCAACCTCAGGTGATTCACCCGCCTCGGCCTCCCAAAGAGCTGGGATTACAGGTGTGAGCCACCACGCCCGGCCTCAAGTCTACTGTTAAACAGATTTTAGAAACTGTGGCTCAGTGTCATGGAGTAAACACTGAGCCTTTCACACATCCATTTCACCTATGATAAAACCAGCCCTACCCAACTGTAGGCATTTTACAGGAATGAAATGAGGCAATTTGTGTGAATGTTCTCTGAAAATTGTGTGGTGTTGCCCATGGATGGTCTTCCAATTACACTGTAAATGTCAGTGATTAATCAAAGTGTGAATGGTGCCAAGTGCAGTGGCTCACACCTGATTTCCTAGCACTTTGGGAGGCTGAAGCAGGAGGATTGTTTGAGGCCTGGAGTTTGACACCAGCCTGGGCAACATAGGGAGACCCCATCTCTCCAAAAAAAATTAAAAATTAGCTGAGCGTGGTGGTACGTGGTACATACATGTAGTCCTAGCTACTCAGGAAGCTAAGGTGGGAGGGTTGCTTGAGACCAGGAAGTCAAAGCTGCAGTAAGCCATATGTGCACCACTGCACCCCAGCCTGGGCAACAGAGCAAAACCCTGTCTCAACCAAAAAAAAAAAAAAAAAAAGTGTATGAATGGGACCCAGGAGCCTCCTGTGAGAGAAATGGCCATGATAGGTACTGCAGAATCACAAGAGGGTCTCCTAAGGAAAGGTAAGTAACGCAGAGAGATTTCCCAAAAAATAATTCTGTTACAAACTCTACTATTCTCTTGTGAATTTTTTTGCAGACGTCTACAGTCTGAAAAAAGCAAATACAAAATCTACCAAGGAGGTTACTGTAGACTCAGTTTTCCATATGATACCACATATCTCCTTGGTGGTACAGACGTTGTGAATCAACAAAATGACTTGCTAAGAGCCTCCTATATGCTACAAGACACATTAGAAATTCTAAAGCTTTAACTTCAATATGAGTACAATTCTAACATGCTTCATATCTACCCTGGTGTGGATTATTCTGTTATTATCCATATTGAAACTGATTATCTGCAGTATTCACAAAGACTCTGTAGGGTTTATGGGTCAATGTAAGCAAAACCTTTTTCTTATTAATATCTAATAAAGAGAACTGAAAACATCCCTAGATACACCCTAAAGGAGAAACTTGCAGTACCAATTTGTTTATTACAAATAATCTCACAAATTCAAGAAAATTGGAGAGATCAGCCTGTATTAGTAAAAATAATTACAAGAAATCTTTAAAGATGCAACATAAGCTGGTTTTGAACCAAGTTATCTGCAGGTAGGAGGATTGCTATACTTTTTTTTAAGTGACACAGTGATACACAGATATGTAAATTGTTGGCTGCCATAAGTTTTTAAAGAGTGAAATTACTTCTAAAAAGGCACATTTTGAATAAATACCAGAATCATAAAGTATTCATTTTTTAAATTATCCTTTTTTTCAAGTCTGCAATATCAAGTTTCACACCCTGGCCATCATGACCACACTGAAAACACTCACCTAGTTTACTGCTTATCCTACCAGGTATCAGCTCTGCAGCCCATCAGAATGACTGGTTTGCTGCTGCAGTGATATTTGGACTCTCCAAACATCCAGCTTAGTGAGCTTTCACACAACAGTTATCAGCCTTGGTACACATATTTTGCTATGTCACATAAATGAGAAGCCTGGATATTCCCAATATCTTTGGTTTTAAATTTAGACAAACACCTTCCCAGTGAGTTTCTAAGGATTTGTATTTTTGGTAAGAAATAGAAATAGGAACATTTTCAAATTCTTCTGTACAGTCAAAAAAAAAAAAAAGTTGGCTCCCACCTATAATCCCAGCACTTTCGGAGGCCAAGGTGGGTGGGTGGCTTAAGGTCAGGAGTGCTCAGGTTGGTCAGCCTGGCCAACATGGTGAAACCCTGTCTCTACTAAAAATACAAAAATTAGCCGGGCATGGTGGTGCGCGCCTGTAGCCCCAGCTACTCGGGAGGCTGAAGCAGGAGAATCGTTTGAACCCAGGAGGCAGAGGTTGTAGTGAGCCGAGATCACACCATTGCACTCCAGCCTGGGCAAGAGAGCTAGACTCCATCTCAAAAAAATAAATACATAAAAAGTTGGTTCAAATGAAAATCTTACTTGGTCCTCACTCCTCTAAAATTTCTATTCAGAACATTTAAAATTGGGACCTTTTGTGCGGTTAACCCCTACAGCCGCATTTCTTTGACTACCTTTCCAGAGGTGGCAAGCCACATCACAGGGTAGCCAGTACAAGATCTTATTTGGGGCCATGGCTAAGAAGACCTGATCATGATACTGCCATCACAACACACATGGACAACTACTTACGGAAGTATTTTAACGTCTCTTCAATTTGCTCGGTTGTGAGGTCAATGTTGGCATCTGGAGAAATGAGAGGTGTATGGAGCCAGTCGTCGTGGTCATAACCGTAGATGGTGTCGGCTCTTAACTTATAATGGGGCAGCTGCTCCTCCAGCAGGCTAATGATCTCGACTTCCGGAAGATCGGTGCTGTTGCACACATCTAAAGACAAGACAACCAAGAAATGAGAGCCCAGAAATGGCTATGGCCTTGCTGCTAGTTAACTAAACTTGTAGCCTGCGGCAGGTATCTTCGGTTATTTATCTACAGCACAAAGAAGCTAGACAAGGCTATATCAGGAGTCTTTTTCCAATTTAAATTCTAGTCTCAAAACTTTGAATTGTGCATGCTTACGGCCAAGACCTACCCAAATGTTTCCTGCTGTTTAGTGTCCACTATTTAGGAAGAAAAGCCAAAATTTTTGAGCTTTTATCATCTGAGTTAAGTCTTTCCTCCAACCCTTTCTCTGGCCATTCTCCTTCAAGCGTTCTACATGTCAGCCAAACCAGTATTAATTTCACCAGTATGCCTAACTTCTTCATGCCACTCTTTTACCATTGAAGCTATCCTCCTATCTAGAATTTTGCCTTCATTTAATTTATTCATTCATCTGTTCATTCATCCACACTTCCTTCCTTCCATCGATCCATCCATTTGAATCCTGAGTACCACGGGCAAAGGAGACACAGTGGTGAACACAAGAGTCATGGTCCTGCCCTTGAAACACTTATATCCTTATGGGGCATCCAGCAATCACACCAATAGGTGCCCATCCTTTAAGGAATAGCTTGGTGTTTTGAGCACACCAAGCAGAATTAATCTCTCTTACCCTTTCTATACTGACATGCCATTTTGTCAGAACTTCAGTTACTACACTTATTAAGTGTCTTGTGGGTATTTCAGTGTCTGATTCATCTTGTTGGGAGAGGGCAAACTTCCATACACAGCTACCCTTGATCCACCACCTGTACCCCATAGCTCTTGGCCCAGGCTGTGCTCAGGGGGTGCATACTAATGCCTGTGACGGAGAACCAATTCACACAAAGCACATTAATGCAGGCCTTTAAAATGCAAACATGACAACATGGCAAACATAACCAGGATATGTACCCTACTTCTCTATCCCAGTGCTTACTCATCAAAGCAGAACACAGAGACTGAATTAAATAAGTGCTAATGGGTGAGTGGTAATTATCTATCAACTAATTCTGGCATCATCCACTGTATCAGCCTATTTGCATAAGGCATTCCCTATGATGGGAAACAGCCCATGGGAACAGCAGTGGTTTTGTCAACCCATAAATAAACCAAGTGCCTGTGGTGCACACAACTAGACAGGAGAGGAGAGTTAACTTGGTATTTTGTTCTAGGAATGACTCTTCAACAAAGAAAAATTATTCAAAAGATAAGAATATTACTGAGGTTGATTCTTTTTTTTTTTTTTAAGACAGTGTCTCACTCTGTTGCCCAGGCTGGAATGCAGTGGCACAATATTGGCTCACTGCAGCCTTGACCTCCGATCCTCAAGCATTCCTCCCACCTTGGCCTCCCGAGTAGCCAGGACCACTGATGTGCACCATCAAACCCAGCTAATTTTATTTTTTGTAGAGACAAGGTCCCTATGTTGCCCAGGTGGGTCTCGAACTCCTGGGCTCACGCAATCCTCCTGCCTTGGCCCCCCAAAGTGCTGGGATTACAGGCATGAGAAATCTTGCTGGGCCTGAAGTCAATTCTTATCAAAGTCACAGTACCAAGTTCTCGCTTTGAAGTAGAAAACAAAAATAAGAACCTGGATCAAGTGGAGGACCAAACTCACTCTTCAGTCTCCATCCCTCTCCAAGATATTAGAAGGGGCAGAGGAGAGAAAAAAAAAAAATACTTGTGACAAATAAAACCACACAATAGCAGGGAAAATAAAGAGGAGATGCTGAGGACGAACCAAAAGTATGAGGTATTCCTAAACACGGTAAGATAAAATTAAAGGAGAAAGGCCCAGTCTTACATATGAGCATTCACTCGCACATGCGTGCATGTCTGCACACACACAGGAAATGACTGGTGCAGTCAGTGGGAGTAGATCCTGGGGTGCTCCACACGGGAGGCTACTGTCACAGGAAGCAGGAAGGGCCAGGGCCAGGGATTCACTGCAGGGCCAGGGCCAGGGATTCACTGCAGAACCAAAGCAGGAACAGCAGGGAGAACCAGTCCCTTCCCTGTTCCCCCTGCTTGAGCCAAGGCCAGGAAGGCAGGAAGGCAGAAAGGCAGTAACTGTGGGGCCTGTACACACTCAGGTAGAACATGGAACACCTCTGCCTGGAAGAAGAGCAATGCCAGAGACTTTGTGTCAAATAAGAAGGCCATTCAACAGGTGAAAAAAATACGGATTCGTGAGAAAAGAGAACGTAGAGTTATGACTCATCACCCTTTGGGCAGGAGCCCACTGAGAACACCTGTCAGCACCCACCCCTCCCGCAGCTTCCTACCATTCCGTACTAACTGCTCTCCCTCAATTCAATATGCAAAGCTTTGCCATAGAGCATTTCCACTCAGGAAGTCAGCATGGTTTTCCAAAATGTCAAGGAAAGGGTTAAAAATGAGAAAGTGAGGACATTCAGAATTTTAGTTGGAGCTTTAGTCCTGGAGGGGGGACTCTATCTCACTGCTGGGACTTCTCTGCCTCATGGGGGAAATGTCACAGCAAGCATACTTGGTATTTCAGCCAGCCAAAAACAAGACCAGACCTGCTCCGTCACTTTGCAAAGCTCTGCTGGGAACAGAAGCTATGTCCTCCCCCAGGCAGAGCAATAGCCCAACCTCAAGGCAGAAGATTTTTCACATTTCTTCCCATCTCCCACTAGCAATAAACCACCATCCAAAGGCTCAAGATGGGCCCACAATAAGCAACATTTCCTCTTCTCACTATCAAGCAAAGAGTGAGTTCCCATGAAGTTCATCTCTAGGAAAGACCTCACAGCCACAAAATGCCACCATGTAACTGAGGGAACATGGGGTTAAACAGGGCTGACACCTAGTCGGTAGCATCTCTTGGCTAAACATGGATCTGGTCAAACTGTCTCCACAGCAGCTCCACAGAAGGCAGTGCCAGCCTATCCCTAGTAGAACAGGCAGGGAACCAACACATTCCCGCATGACACACCCACACAACAGGCTGGAATCATCTGGTGTCAATGCTGTTTGGTGGTGGGGAAGGCAACAGACTCCAGAAAAAAAAAAAAAAGTCCCTTCTAAGAAATCTCAGAATAATGTCTCACTTATGAGCATGCTTCCAGTTGCCCAAAAGTTGAGACTTGACCCGTCCTTCCATGTTTCCAGGGCTGAAGGTCAACCTATTTACAGTGTGGGTCCTTGTGCCCATGTGATATCTTTTTCCTTAAAGCATATGACCAGTGAGATAAAGTATCAAAAGGTAAGGCTATGAAAAAATGCCTTTTTAAAAAACTCTGGCCCAGGCGCAGTGGCTCACACCTGTAATCCCAGCACTTTGGGAGGCTGAGGCTGGTGGATCACTTGAGGTCAGGAATTCGAGACCTGACTGGCCAACACGGTGAAACCCTGTCTCCACTAAAAGTATAAAAATTAGCCAGGCATAGCGGCGCACGCTGGTAATCCCAGCTACTCAGGAGGCTGAGGCAAGAGAATCACTTGAACCCGGGAGGCAGAAGTTACAGTAAGCCAAGATCACGCCACTGCACTCCAGCCTGGGCGACAGAGCGAGACTCTGTTTTTAAAAAAAAAACAACTGTATATTTGATTTTTCTGTGACATGACCAGCCTTATAAACATTAGCAGCAAATTTTCAGATGCTTTAAAGGCCCAAAGAATTAGGACATGGGATAGGATTATGGAGATGGCCCGTGCAGCTCTCCTTAACCTTGGCCACAAGGCCAAAAGCCCCACAGACCCCCTATGGAAGGAGACACCATGTTTGCCTCAAGGGGAGGACACATCCAAGGCCTGACATCAGGTAAACGTAACAGAAGAGTCTTCAAGAATTCCCCAGGAGGCCAGGCGCAGTGGCTCACGCCTGTAATCCCAGCACTTTGGGAGGCCAAGGCGGGCGGATCACGAGGTCAGGAGATCGAGACCATCCTGGCTAACATGGTGAAACCCTGTTTCTACTAAAAATACAAAAAATTAGCCAGGCGCAGTGGTGGGCGCCTGTAGTCCCAGCTACTAGGGAGGCTGAGGCAGGAGAATGGTGTGAACCCCGGAGGCGGAGCTTGCAGTGAGCCGAGACTGCGCCACTGCACTCCAGCCTGGGGGACACAGCAAGACTCCGTCTCAAAAAAAAAAAAAAAAAAGAATTCCCCAGGAATGCTTTCACCATGCCAAACATCAAGCCAGACCATTGTCTCACCGTCCCAGCAATGTGGCACACAGAGATTTGCCTGTTATTACAGATCAGTAAGCTGGGATGCACGAGGGCTGCGGCACATCTTGTTGGTCAAGTTGATTCAGCTAACTAAGCAGCAGATCAGGTAGGAGCAGCCTCAGCTGTTCCACTAAAAGCTGTGATCTCCCCTCCAACACCTGCTACCCAGCTCCTAGGAGGGTGCACTTGAAATGCTGGGGAATTCCCAGGATGTCATCATCAGGAAGTTTTTGTTCTAAACAGGTGGAAGACTTCATACTTGTGGTAGGCATGTAAAATGAAACATAATCACAAATTAGGGAGGTGTTGGAATAATTTTCCCCTTTAAAGCACAGGAAGCAGTAGCCGGGCGCGGTGGCTCACGCCTATAATCCCAGCACTTTGGGAGGCTGAGGTGGGCGGAACACGAGGTCAAGAGATCGAGACCACCCTGGCCAACTTGTTGAAACCCCGTCTGTACTAAAAATACAAAAATTAGGTGGGTGTGGTGGCATGCGCCTGTAAACCCAGCTACTTGGGAGGCTAAGGCAGGAGAATCACTTGAACCTGGGAGGCGGAGGTCAGGTTGCAGTGAGCTGAGATCACACCACTGCACTCCAGCCTGGTGACAGAGCGAGACTCCATCTCAAACAAAACAAAACAAAAAAAAGCACAGGAAGCAGAGGCAAGAATTTACTAACTTGTCTGCAGAACCACGGAGGGTCAGGAACCTGCACAGGACAGGAGCTTATTCAAGCTCCTGCTGTGAATGGACACTGCCGGCCCACCATGGAGGAAAGGAACCCTTTATGCTCTCTGTGGTCACCATTTCCCCACAGTTACAATTCACATTAGTAACAAGCTAATGTAAACAAGTCAAAATGTGTTCTCAAATAAGTCACAAATGAAGGGCATCAATTTCCTGACCAATCCCAAAGCCCAAAGGTCCATGGCTTCAGGTAGATATGCAATAACAACAGCCCAAAATCCCACCAACCCCCAGCCTGTCAAACCATCAAAAGGCCAGGCTCAACCATAAGGAGAGGCTTACCCCTCGGCATCGCCTCCTTGCCCAGTTACTGTAATGCCCCATGGTGGCCGGCCACATTGTGGCTGGTGCCATTTCTGGAAAAGAGCTTTTTATTTATTTATTTTTTTATTTTTTGTTTTAAATAGAGATGGAATCTCACTGTGGTGACCAGGCTAGTCTCGAACTCCTGACCTCAAATGACCCTCCCATCTCATTCTCTCAAAGAGCTTTTTAAATCATACTATTGCTCTTTAAAAACCTCCCAGCTCCCTATAAAGTGCTTCATCATTCTGCCTCTACGTTTCTACAGGAGAGGCTACTGAGTGTTTCCCAGTATGCAATTGCCACTTCTTCCTTTTGGTCATGCAACCCCCAAGATGTGGCTGGGCCCACGGCCAACCAGCTAAAAACTGTGTTTCCCAGCTTTCCCTGCAGTAAGGTGTATCCACATGCCTGGTTAACAGGATGTAACAGAACTTCCAAGTCATGCCCTTTCCGTCTGTCCAGTTGCAGAGTTGGCCTGGTGCTGGAGCCATGCTTAGCTAAATTAGTAAAGGCAATGCCCAGGAAATGACCAGAGCTACCTCAGCTGCCTGAAACACCCTGGACCTCCTTCCACTTGAACTTTTAAAAGTAAAAGAAATAAACAACTACCTTATTGAGGCTACAGTTCCAATTACTTTGGTCTCTGTTAAAGCAGCTAACTCAACACCCTAACAGCCTTTCTTATCAAGCCCAGCCTCTGCTATTTTCTCCAATTTCCCTTCACTTAAGGCATACCAACTTCTCACCATTTTCCAAACACATTTTTTTCACAAATCTGAGTTTTTAGACCAGCTGTTTTAGCTCCCTAGAATGCCCTTCACTGCCTAGCAAACTCCATCTTAAAATATCATTCAAATGTCACTCTCTATTGCAAAGCCTCCCTTAACCTCTCTTCTCTGGCTTCCACAGTTCTCAGTACATAAATGACTTCACTACGATGTTAGAAGTGTATTCTCTGTGGCTCTTCCCTACTAATTGTGAGCCCCTCAAGAGAAAAGGCTTTGAATTATCCACCTTACCTTCAGCCCAGCCCTTACTACTTTGCCAGGCAACAGTAAGTGTGAGAAGAGTGATGGAACAAGGGAAGGAGAGAGCAGCAGCCGGTGGCAGGACTAGTCTGTGAATCCCCTGCCTGTCCAGGACAGACACATGCCCAGCCTGCAACATGAGGCAGGTGGAGCCATCTAGTGTCAAGGTCTTTTCAAACCCACCTCAGTATCACCCTAGGTCTTTATCCAGCATAGAGGAAAGTCCCATGGGATGGTAAATGTCCCCTCAATTGCTCAGCAGATGTCAATCCAATACCTACCATTCTTATGACATCACTTTGAAAGTAAAATAACCTAAAAGGACTCTTTACCTCTTCAGAGGTATAACCCTTCCTAGGTTTTTCCCAAGGCGTAAGATTTGGAATGGACCCTCCTACCCAGGATGTGGGCTTCAGTTAGGGCCACCAGGGAGTGAAGAAAGTGTGCTGGAGCCTGCTTGGCACCTGGAAGGTGCAGAGCTGCAGAAGCAGCTGTGTCCATTCTCCACCTGACTGGGGCTAGATCCTCACCTGCAGAGAGCGGCTAGGAGGAGACTCCTCCGTCTAGGGATTTGCACTGATTCTCAGGTGACATGCCAGCTTCACAAAACCTGCCAGGTGCCTGAGGCAATGCTTACATTTTACAGCAAAGGCAATAGCTCTAAATTAGTGTCCAACATTTAACACTCAGAGAACCTCATGTAAATACAGATCTCAGCGGGGCGCAGTGGCTCACACCTATAATCCCAGCACTTTGGGAGGCCGAGGCGGGCAGATCACTTGAGGTCAGGAGTTCAAAACCAGCCTGGCCAACATGGTGAAACTCCGTTTCTACTAAAAATACAAAAAAAAAAAATTAGATGGGCGTGATGGTGGACGCCTATAATCCCAGCTACTTGGGAGGCTGAAGCAGGAAGAACTGCTTGAACCCGGGAGGTGGAGGTTGCAGTGAGCCAAGATCGCAGCACTGCACTCCAGCCTGGGCGACAGAGTGAAACTCCCTCTAAAAACAATAAAAATACAGCACTTTGGGAGGCCAAGGTGGGCGGATCACAAGGTCAGGACATCGAGACCATCTTGGCCAACATGGTGAAACCCCGTCTCTACTAAAAATACAAAAATTATCTGGGCGTGGCAGCACGTGCCTGTAATCCCAGCTACTCGGGAGGCTGAGGCGGGAGAATCGCTTAAACCCAGGAGGCAGAGGTTGGGCAGTGAGCCGAGATCAGGCCACTGCATTCCAGCCTGATGACAGAGCTAGACTCAGTCTCAAAAAAAAAAAAGAAAAGAAGAAATACAGATATGTGGACTCTCAGAAGAAGTCAGCCTATCTAGGATCAAGGGACCTCCTCCTCCACAGAGGAGTTAAATGCTCTGAGTGGTGGCCACCTCCAGAGAGGGAGTGCGATCATTCCAACAGGGTTTCTGGGCCTCGTGCCTGCACGCTGGAGCTTGAGGGCTCTAAGCCCAGGAGAACAGGGACCTGAGTAGCTGCAAGGTGAGCAGAGTGTGCAGAAGAGCTGTCTAGAAGGAAAGTAGCCCTAGACACTCACCCAGTTGGCAGGAGATCTGAGAAAACAGCAAGGGGAGAGGGAAGAATAAAAGACAGGAGAGAGAAAGAGGAAAAACCTAGTGAGAGAAAGCTCAAGCAAAAGCAAAGGAGGAGAGAAGAACAGGAGAGGGAGGAAAGGAATGCCAGAAAGAGGCAATGGCAGGAAACCAGCACCACAACTGCCACCTGCTGGAAGCCGAGAGGCCCTGGGTGCCGGCCAGGAGCACAGTTTCAAGAGTTTGGAGAAAGGACGCCCAGCCTCGGTTCTGCCCCCTCAACTTCGTCCTATCACTCTGGCAAATCACATGTTCATATGCCTGGGACTCAGTTTCTTCCTCTGTAGAACAAAGGTAAGTGGCTGCAGAAAAGCTTTCTTCATACCCTAAATTTCTCTGAGCGGTGAGAGCAAGAGTTGCACATTCTGAGGGCTGTGTCTGGGGGGCAGCCGCCACTCACAGCACTTCCCGGTGACGCCCCCAGTCCTTGACATGCTGACTCCACCCAAGAGACCAGGGATCTGTATTTTTATGAGAGTCCCTGATTTCTAAATGTTGAATACTGAGGGCCAGATTAAACATGCATGCCTCCAGTCTGCACACTGGGACTTCCATCCTGGCGCCACACTCTGGGACTTCAGAGAATGCTACAGACCACATTAAAGGTGACAAAGAACAAGAAAAGGGACCTTCGCTCATCAAATAGTGGCCACCATACAGAGGTCCATCTTTTTTATTTTTTTCCTCCCTGTCCCTCTCCCACTCCATTTCTTTACCCACCAACTTTCCACTTGGCCATCAGAGAGGTGGGTGCAGAGCATGACCCCTGGCTATGCTTGGGGAGGCAGGCGCTCTGGCTAGAGGCAATAACCCTCTCTCATGACACATTACCCATGGCAGTGACTGCAAACCCACAGCAATGTTTTAATGACTTCACAAGACAACACTCCTCACCTACTCAGCCACTTGGAAACCATTCTGTACAGACTTGGAAACAATTCCATTTTCTTAAAATTATAAGGATTAAAGGGCAGGAATAAAGACTCATACATAGGCCACACTGGTGCTGGAGATGTATGTGATACTTTGTAAGTGGTATCTGACAGACAACCTTCTAGAAAATTCCTCTCTATCAAGGGACTATGCAGTTTACAGCTTTAGCTGAACATCTTCAGAGATTCAGTCTTAGTAATTACTTTCCATACCACAAAAGTTGTGATTCCACAAATTACAAAGAGGACATTAGAGCTAAAAACTACTGGCGCAACCTCCTCATTGAATGGAAAAGGACACTGTGTTCAAGCTGAGGAGGTGGCCAAATGTCACAGAGCAAACCAGCAGCAGACTCGAGATGGGTGCTTGGCCTGCGGCAGGTCCCACCATGCAAGAGGCCTCGGGATGTAGCGACAGCACCTCCAGATGCTGATTCGCTTTCCGCTGTTTGCCCAGCACCCGGAACCCTGCCTGGTAACTAGTAAGTGTTCAATAAATGTTTGCTGAACAACGCAAAGCACTTGTATCTATTACTGCCTTTCATTTACTCTCACAAGCCAGCAGGCAGTGCAGGATGAGGATTGGGAACACATTTCATAAATGAGGAGACCCAGATCTAAAAGACAGAAGGGGAAACTGTGGCCCTGCAAGGTTCAGAGACATGGGGGAAGTCTCAAGGCTAAGCAGTGGCAGAAATGGAAGCAAGACCTCCGACTCCACCCTGGCTCACACCCCAGCCACAAAGGGACAAGGGATAGGTCCAAGTCTTCCTTTTCTGCCTCTCTCCCCACTGAGGGACAGCTCACTTGCTGTGAACAGCAAAGGGGATCTCCAGAAGAGAGAAGGACAAGCAGAGAAACCCTCATAGGATGGGAAAGGAAAGACTAACTATGCTTCAGAGACAGGAACGAAAACCAACACTGGGGAGTTCTCTAGAATTCCATGGCCTTAATTACCAACAGAAGAAACGCTTTCTAAGAAAACGGACACAAAATTACACAGTTGAGTTCCACATAGCCTGGTGTCACGTACCGAGTTACCATCTACTCACACATACATGCACCAGCCCCGGTGACACATACCCCCAAAGAAGCAGTCGCACAGAGACAGCCAATCCAGCCGACTCAGCCGTGTTTGGAAACAGGGTGTCCGACGTGAGGCTAAAGGGCAACTGAATGTGGCGCATTCCACTTGGGCATGCCAGTTTGTTGCTCAACAAGAAAGGACAAGAAGGGCAGGGCAAAGGAAAGGGAGGAAGGATCCTGTTACGGAGGCCCCAAAATGTCACAACTAAAAAAAAACAGGCGATAATTACAGTACAGGTTATTAGTGTTAGATTGATTCTAATATTAAAACACAAAGCAAAAATTGTACACAAATTTATTTTAAACGTGAAAGTTAACGTGTATAAGTTCAGCCCAGAGTTAAATCTCCAGGAGAATACTCAAAAAATAGACTATTACTGTCGATTTGAATTTGTTTTGCTAGGAAATAAAAAGATAAAATACTTTTGATTTCCAATAGTCTTGGTAACTTCTCTTAAAAGCATATGTTGGCTGGGCACAGTGGCTCACGCCTGTAATCCTAGCACTTTGGTAAGCGGAGGCGGGCAGATCACTAGAGGCTAGGAGTTCGAGATCAGCCTGGCCAACACAGCAAAACCCCATCTTTACAAAAAATACAAAAATTAGCCAGACGTGGTGGTGCACGCCAGTAATCCCAGCTACTTGGGAGGCTGAGGTATGAAAATCGCTTGAACCCAGGAGGCAGAGGTTGCAGTGAGCTGAGATCGCACGATTGCACTCCAGCCTGGGCAACAGAGGGAGACTCTGTCTCAAAAAAAAAGAAAAAAAAATTAAGTATGTTACATGCTACAATTATCAAATAACCAAGGGAAGATTATTTTACATGAAAATATCCAGTGCTGTATGAATGTAATTAAAGTGCTCACAACTGAACTAGTGTTTAGACAGATGGAGCTGGTGTAAATTGGAACAACACTTGCAGTAAACAGTTTGACAGTATGTTTAGAGAACCAAAAATGTGTCCATGATCCTTAAACCAGTAATTGCACCTGGGATTAAATCTAAGAAAGGAATAAAAACAATCTGAAGTGTAAAATTCATAAGCATGTTTACGGTACACGTGACAAAGTTAAAAACATGCATAACCAGGTTCCTCAAAAAGTCAAACACAATTGCCATATGTTGCAGCAATTTCACTTCAGCAAATTCCTGCCACTGCTTATATTTCAAAAGAAGTGAAAGTGGGAACTCAAACAGATATTTATACACCCGTGTTCTTAGTAGCACAGATAAAAACAATCCTAACACCCATCAGCAGATGAATGGATAAACAAAATGTGTAGATATACTGAAGTATTATTCAGCCACAGTAAGCAATGAAGTACTGATATACGCTGCAACATGGTGAACCTTGAAAATATTATGCTAAGTGAAAGAAGCCGGCCTCAAAAGACCACATATTGAATGATTCCATTCATATGAAATGTCCAGAACAGGTAAGTCCACAGAGACAGAAAGCAGATTAGCGGCTGGCAGAGGCTAAGGGAAAGGGACAATGTGGAGCGACTGCTAATGGGGAGGTGGTTTCCTTTTGGGGTGATGAAAATGTTCTGGAACTAAACGGTTATGGGTGCACATTTTGAATGTACTAAACGCCACTGAACTATACCCGTTAAAATGTTTAAATGGGCCCAGCCCAGTGGCTCACGTATGTAATCCCAACACTGTGGGAGGCTGAGGCAGGACGATCACTTGAGCCCTGGAGTTTGAGACCAGCCTGGGCAACATAGTGAGATCCCGTCTCTATAAAAGAAAAACGGTGCTTTTGGCCAGGTGCAGTGGCTCATGCCTGTAATCCCAGAACTTTGGGAGGCTGAGGTCGGTGGATCACCTGAGGTCAGGAGTTCAAGACCAGCCTAGCCAACATAGTGAAACCCCGTCTCTACTAAAAAATACAAAAATCAGCCGAGTGTGATGGCACACACCTGTAGTTCCAGCTACTTGGGAGGCTGAGGCAGGAGGATCACTTGAACCCAGGAGGCAGAGACCAAGATCATGCCACTGCGCTCCAGCCTGGGCAACAAGAGTGAAACTCTGCCTCTCTGCCTCAAAAAAGAAGGGTAGGGGTAGGGGTAGGGGTAGAGGTAGGGGTAGGGGTAGGGGTAGGGGTAGGCGTAGGCGTAGGCGTAGGAGTAGGAGTAGAGTAGAGAGTAGAGAGTAGAGTAGAATAACAATGCTTTTGAGAAAATTAATTTTTTTAATGGTTAAATGGCAAATATTATGTTTGTTTTGTTTTGAAGAGATAGGGTCTCATTCTGTCACCTAGGCTGAAGTGCAGTGATGCAATTATGGCTCACTACATCCTTGAACTGGGCTTAACTGATCCGCCCACCTCAGCCTCCCAAAGTGCTGGGATCACAGGCATAAGCACAGCGCCCTGGCCTATAATACTTTTTAAAATGACATTGTTAGGCCAAGTGCGCTGGCCCATGCCTGTAATCCCAGCACTTTGGGAGGTCAAGGCAGGAGGATCACTTGAGCCTAGGAGTTCAAGATCAGCTTGGGCAAGATGGGAAGACCTCATCTCTACAAAAAAAAAATTAAAAATCCAAGTGTGGTGGCACACACCTGTAGCCCCAGCTACTGGGGAGGCTGAGACAAGAGGATCCCTTGAGCACAGCAGTTAGAGGATGCAGTGAGCTGTGACCATGCCACTACACTCCAGCCTAGGAGATAGCAAGACCCCATCTCTTTAAAACAAACAAACAAACAAAAAATTAGTTGGTTTTTTTTTTTTTTTTTTTTTGAGACAGAGTCTCACTCTGTCACCCAGGCTAGAGTGCAGTGGCATAATCTTGGCCTAACTGCAACCTCCATCTCCCAGGCTCAAGAGATTCTCGTGCCTCAGCTTCCCAAGTAGCTGGGATTACAGGTACGTGTGAACAAGCCCGGCTAACTTTCGTATTTTTAGTAGAGACACAGTTTTGCCATGTTGTCCAGGCTGGTCTCGAACTCCTGAGCTCCAGTGATCTACTCGCCTTTGCCTCCCAAAGTGATGGGATTACAGGCATGAGCCACTGCTCCTGACCTTTTTAATTGTTTCCTTTTTTTTTTGAGATGGAGTCTCGCTCTGTCGCCCAGGCTGGAGTGCAGTGGTGCAATCTCGGCTCACTGCAACCTCCACCTCCCAGGTTCAAGTGATTCTTGTGCCTCAGCCTCCCAAGTAGCTGACCCAGCTAATTTTTGTATTTATAGTAGAGACGGGGTTTTGCCATGTTGGCCAGGCTAGTATCGAACTCTTGAACCCAGGAGGCGGAGGTTGCAATGAGCCGAGATCGCGCCATTGCACTCCAGCCTGGGCGACAGAGTAAGACTACGTCTCAAAAAAAAAAAAAAAAAAAAAAAAGTAAGAGCTGAGGAAAGGGATTAGATTACCATTAGGTTCATGGAATTCCTCTTCCCAAACTTTCCTTGGAGTCTTAGTACACTCTGGAGTAGGGGCTACTTTTTGACCAGAGAAGACACACACCTGGTACAGAAAAGTGCTTTGAAAACCAGTCTCCTGAAAAAGGGAGAAGCTCGGGAAGTGTGAAAACTCTTTTCTAGATTTGAAAAAAAAAAAAAAGAAGATGTCAGCCCACAGCATCTTTCAAAACAAGTGTTGGCAAATTTCATACTTATCCCTGTAAAATACTATATAAGGCATCAAATTTTGTCATAGGGGTTACAAAACTATAAACCCAGCCCAAAACAGAATGATCTTCGTGTAATTTTTAATAAATAAGAAAATAATATGGGTTTAATCAAAATAGATGCATTTTGAATTTAGTAAGATTACCATAACTAGGGCTGGGCGCAGTGGCTCACACCTGTTATCCCAGCACTTTGGGAGGCCTAGGTGGGAGGATCACGAGGTCAGGATATCGAGACCACCCTGGCTAACACAGTGAAACCCCGTCTCCACTAAACATACAAAAAATTAGCCGGGCATGGTAGTGGGCGCCTGTAGTCCCAGCTACTCGGGAGGCTGAGACAGGGTAATGTTGTGAACCCGGGAGGCGGAGCTTGCAGTAAGCCAAGATCGCGCCACCGCACTCCAGCCTGGGCGACAGAGTGAGACTCCGTCTCAAAAAAAAAAAAAAGGATTATCATAACTTCTAATCCTGTGGCTTTAGGCAGCCTAGTCCACGGACAATAAGGAGGTTTGTTTTGGGAAAAGGACTGGTATCCTCTTTGTTTCAAAGCTAAACTATGAGTTCCTCCCAAAGTTGGTTCTACCTGTGTCCAGGAATGAATAAGGACAGCTTGGAGGTTAAGAGCAAGATGGAGTCAGTTAGGTCAAATCTTTTTTCACCGTCTCAGATTTTCTGGGTTCACAACTCCTTCTGGACCTTCTGTCTGGAACACTTTTCCCTTCTCTGCCAACCACCCCTTTGCCCTCTGATCCCAGATGGACTGACTTCTTCAGGGCCACCTCCCTAGATAGGTGGGCTAAGTTACCCCCTTGGCCCCTGGCATTTTCCACCCATCACAATTTGTAGTCACTGATTTAGTGATTGATTACCAGCAGTCTCTGTCATTGGACTACACAGCTCCAAGAGGGCAAAGACAGGGTCTGCTCAGGGCCAGAGCAGACACTGAATAAATGCTGCAGGATGGAATGAGCAGCCATCTGGTTCTTCACAAGCACCTGCAGTGCCCTGCGCTGGGAAAATCGACCCTCACAAACACTGAGCAGAGCGGCCAGGACCTTCACTGAACACCTGTGGGAGACCTGGGGCTTTTGCCAAAATGATGCCTTTCTCCTGGTCACAAAAATACACAAGGCAAGACTTGCTTTTCTGTCTTCTACTCCTCTACTCCCTCCTGGGCCACAAAAAGCTTGGTTGTCAAATGGCAAAGCTCACACCCCACCTATAAAAGGCAAGGGGCTCAGCCAGGACAACAAAATTCAACACATGAAGCTGAATTGGGCAAGGGAAGTCAGAATAGTGTGAATGTTTACAACCCTCAATGGGAAAAAAGCCCTTCAGCTCTTATGCTGCAAAGGCAGGAGGAACCCTTTCAGGACTACTTCATAGGAACTTAAAAAGCTCTGTGTGTAGGACTCCATCCCCAGAGAGGAGCACCTCAGCCTTGCATGGCTCTCAGCTTACAGGGGGCTGTATTTTCTCCTGTGCTCACCTTAGCAGAAGCCCCAGATCCATCAACCCCCACCCCTCAACACACACACATACACACCCCACAGCCTTTCCCTCTATTGTTTGTGTGGCTCCAGCCACAGCCGGGAACTGCCCGTCTGGGCTATTCAAGTTATCCCCACATGGACAGTTTTTATAAGTGTTCTGGTTACAAAGTTGCATTACTCCTGGTATTTTTAGTGTCCAATTTTGCAACACACACAAAGTTTATATATATATATATATATATATATATATATATATATACTTTAAGTTCTAGGGTACATGTGCACAACGTGCAGGTTTGCTACATATGTATACATGTGCCATGTTGGTGTGCTGCACCCATTAACTCATCATTTATATTAGGTATATCTCCTAATGCCATCCCCCCCGCCACCCCTACCCCATGACAGGCCCCGGTGTGTGATGTTCCCCATCCTGTGTCCAAGTGTTCTCACAGTTCAATTCCCGCCTGTAAGTGAGAAAATGCGGTGTTTGGTTTTCTGTCCTTGGGACAGTTTGCTGAGAATGATGGTTTCCAGCTTCATCCATGTCCCTACAAAGGACATGAACTCATCCTTTTCTATGGTGGCATAGTATTGCATGGTGTATATGTGCCACATTTTCTTAATCCAGTCTATCATTGATGGGCATTTGGGTTGGTTCCAAGTCTTTGCTATTGTGAATAGTGCCACAATAAACATACGTGTGCATGAACACACACAATGTTTTCAGGAACAAATACACAGTTAAAGAATGCCTGTGTAAAGTTTAATTTTGCACACTCAAAGCGATCAGTCATTTTCCTTATAGTTCTAGCCTTTATACCATGTTTAGGATGGACTTTCCCATCTCAAGATTAGTAAAATATCCAGCAATATTTTCCTCTAGCACTTTCACAGTTGAATTTTTAACATTATATCTTTTCTTTCTATTTTATTTTAACTGCTGTTTGCTGAGCAGGGCTAATTCACAGGCAGTGTGCCTAGGGTAGCAGCCAACATTACATCTTTGAATCACCTTTTGAACCATCTGGATTTTATTGGGTTTGATGGAGTTATGCAGGGATCCAGTTGCACTTTCTTATAATGATAACAAACACATCAGTAATAATGGTAAACACTTATGGAGTGGTACCATAAGCACTTATAAGCATTTACATCCATTAACTCATTTAATCCTCCTAAGAGTCCTAACATTTATCCCCGTTTGACATAAGAATGAATACACTACAGCACAGAGAAGTTGAATACCTAGACCCACATCACATAGCCTGTAAATAGTGAACCGGTTTTCTAACAGAGCCTGAACTCGGAGGTCAAAATCCTAACCACCACTCACGCCTGCCCCTGGCCCCAAAGATCCTGACCTCACTGATTAAATAATCCCTCCTTATAACTCTTCTTTCTCTAAATTTTCTCCTAGCCCAACTTCCAGTCTTTTGCATACTTTGAGAATTTCTTAAGCAAAGCACATAGATAAAGCTTCACTTTTTGACCCATTCTGAGACTTTGCCTTCAAACAGGAGCATTATGGTCAAATTGGGCAAGACTCATCTTACTATTGTCATGCCTCTTGGTGGTTCAACTTCTGGAGGTTTCATCACTTTGCTGTCTTTTGCATTGTAGAGTATGTGCCACCAGATTCTTTTTTCTCCTAGTGATTTAGAACAGAGCTTCCACAAGCAGTGCTGGGAATGGAGGGTGCCAGGTAGTGTCCGGGGTGACCATCAGCTAAGAACTACTTCCATCATTTACCCATCATGCTATGCAAATACCATTGTTTTCTTGTCAGGGTCATGATGTGGGTTAGGTTAGGGAATGCTAATGTTGAATGTTTGAATCTTTTTTTTTTTTTTTTTTTTTTAAAGGCAGGGTCTCACTCCTGTCACCCACGCTGGAGTGCAGTGGTACGATCACAGCTCACTGCAGCCTCAACTTCCTGGGCTCAGATGATTTTCCCACCTCAGCTTCCCAAGTAGCTAGGACTACAGGCAGGCAGCACCACACTTGGCTAATTTTTTGTATTTTTAGTAAAGATGGGGTTTCCCCATGTTGCCCAGGCTGGTCTTGAACTCCTAGCTCAAGGGATTCACTTCACTTGGCCTCCCAAAGTGCTGGGATTACAGGCTTGAGCCACTGCCCCCAGCCTGCATCATATTTTTAATTATAGTCAAGGAGACATGGTAGACACATGGTGGCCATCCGCTATCCATACTCTTCTTAGTATCAAAGCTCTGAGCCCCATGGAAAAACTACATTTCTTAGCCTCCCCTGCTGCAAAATGAGACTACAAGGCTAAGTGTTGGCCAATGAGATAAAAGCACTGGTGTGAGAGCCTTTCTCAAAGGCTGCCTTCCCTACATCCTGGAATTCAGACATGATGGCTGGAGCTTCCGCAGCCTTCTTAGATGTGACATGACCTTAAGGATGGAAACGACATCTAGTATGGTAGAACTGAAGGACAGGAAGAGCATGGAACCCTGGGGACAGCAGGGCTGCACCAGTACTGCACAGTCTCCCTCTGAACTTCTTATACTTTAGAGAAAAATAAATTCTATAATGTGAAGCCACTGTTCTATACAGCCAAACTTAATCCTTACTGATACAGATAGTTACCTTTAAAGGTACTATCTGTACAGGCAAAGAGGTTAACAGACCAAGAGGTTACAGGCTAAGAGGTTAACCTGTATTTTCCTAATTATCCACAGCAAAAATAGAATAATCTTTTTGCACTTAATCTCACCCATCTCCCTCCAACCTCTTGGGTTTTACTGTTCTAATCTGGGAGTTCAGATGAAGTTTCTTGTTTATAAATAATTAATTTCTTTTTTTTTTTTTTCTTTTTTGAAACGGAGTCTTGCTCTGTCACCAGGCTGGAGTGCAGTGGCACAATCTTGGCTCACTGCAACCTCCGCCTCCTGGGTTCAAGCAATTCCCCTGCCTCAGCCTCCCAAGTAACTGGGACTACAGGCACGCACCACCACGCCAGGCTAATTTTCGTATTTTAGTAGAGACGGGTTTCCTCATGTTGGCCACGATGATCTCAATCTCCTGACCTCATGATCCGCCCGCCTTGGCCTCCCAAAGTGCTGGGATTACAGGCATAAGGCACTGCGCCCAGCCCAAATAATTGATTTCTTAGACTTGCTTTCTGTTGTCCAAAAACATTTCTACCCAATGTTTATGATTAGACTCTGTAAGGCTTTCAAGGTAGCCTGAGCAGCTGCCAGAGTTCAAGGCCCACATCCCTCCCCCTGTCCTGACTGTCCTGTCTTCCCCTTCAAAGGTGGCTCTAACTAGGGGACAAGCAAAGTTAGCTGGCAATCAAGGGGTAAATTCTGGAAAAGTTAAGTGCCACATTAGGAAAACTTATTTTATTAATAGTACAAAATCTCATGAAATCACAATGCCAACTGTGCCTCTACCATTCAATGCATTCATCTGTTTTATTGTTAATCTAAATTATTTCCTGAACAGGAAATTCTGTTTAAAAATGAACAATGGTTACTTTTTCAAAACATCAAATGAGATCATCTGGATATTAAAAGATTTCAAACTCATCCAAAAAATATTAGTCTGACAATATGCAGTTAAGAAAAACAAATATACCCTGACAGTAAAATGATTCCACATTCACTTGAACCAATTTTCCAATAAACACAAACATAAATTCAAAATGTGGAAAATTCCAAAGGACAACCTACAAAGCAGAATACAAATAAATAAATACAACATTATAATTTTAAAAAGTAATTATTCAGGTGATAGAGTCACTATACACAAGACTCCAGTGCACATAAAGTGTCTATTTTGTTATTATTATATTTTTATTTTTTATCTTAAATAAAGAAGAGGTCTCACTATGTTGCCCAGGCTGGTCTCAAACTCTTCTTGTTGAATTGATCCCTTTACCATTATGTAATGGCCTTCTTTGTCTCTTTTGATCTTTTTTGGTTTAAAGTCTGTTTTATCAGAGACTAGGATTGCAACCCCTGCTTTTTTTTTGTTTTGTTTTCCATTTGCTTGGTAGATCTTCCTCCATCCTTTTATTTTGAGCCTATGTGTGTCTCTGCACGTGAGATGGGTCTCCTGAATACAGCACACTGATGGGTCTTGACTCTTTATCCAATTTGCCAGTCTGTGTCTTTTAATTGGGGCATTTAGGCCATTTACATTTAAGGTTAATATTGTTATGTGTGAATTTGATCCTGTCATTATGATGTTAGCTGGTTATTTTGCTCGTTAGTTGATGCAGTTTCTTCCTAGCATTGATGGTCTTTACAATTTGGCATGTTTTTGCAGTGGCTGGTACTGGTTGTTCCTTTCCATGTTTAGTGCTTCCTTCAGGAGCTCTTGTAAGGCAGGCCTGGTGGTGACAAAATCTCTCAGCATTTGTTTGTCTGTAGAGGATTTTATTTCTCCTTCACTTATGAAGCTTAGTTTGGCTGGATATGAAATTCTGGGTTGAAAATTCTTTTCTTTAAGAATGTTGGATATTGGCCCCCACTTTCTTCTGGCTTGTAGAGTTTCTGCTGAGAGATCTGCTGTTAGTCTAATGGGCTTCCCTTTGTGGGTAACCCGACCTTTCTCTCTGGCTTCCCTTAATATTTTTTCCTTCATTTCAACTTTGGTGAATCTGACAATTATGTGTCTTGGGGTTGTTCTTCTTGAGGAGTATCTTTGTGCCGTTCTCTGTATTTCCTGAATTTGAATGTTGGCCTGCCTCGCTAGGTTGGGGAAGTTCTCCTGGATAATATCCTGAAGAGTGTTTCCCAACTTGGTTCCATTCTCCCCATCACTTTCAGGTACACCAATCAGACGTAGATTTGGTCTTTTCACATAGTCCCATATTTCTTGGAGGCTTTGTTCGTTTCTTTTTACTCTTTTTTCCCTAAACTTCTCTTCTTGCTTCATTTCATTCACTTAATCTTCAATTACTGATATCCTTTCTTCCAGTTGATCAAATCGGCTACTGAAGCTTGTGCATGCGTCACATAGTTCTCGTGCCATGGTTTTCAGCTCCATCAAGTCATTTAAGGTCTTCTCTACACTATTTATTCTAGTTAGCCATTTGTCTAATCTTTTTTTAAGACTTTTAGCTTCTGCTGGGCGTGGTGGCTCATGCCTGTAATCCCAGCACTTTGGGAGGCCGAGGCGGGTGGATCACCTGAGGTCAGGAGTTCGAGACCAGCCTGACCAACATGGAGAAACCCCGTCTCTAATAAAAATACAAAAAAATTAGCTGGGTGTGGTGGCACATGCCTGTAATCCCAGCTACTTGGGAGGCTGAGGCAGGAGACTCACTTGAAGCCAGGAGGCAGAGGTTGCGGTGAGCCAAGACCGAGCCATTGCACTCCAGCCTGGGCAACAAAAGCGAAACTCTGTCTCAAAAAAAAAAAAAAAAAAAGATTTTTAGCTTCTTTGCAATGGGTTTGAACATCCTCCTTTAGCTTGGAGAAGTTTGTTATTACCGATCGTCTGAAGCCCTCTTCTCTCAACTCGTCAAAGTCATTCTCTGTCCAGCTTTGTTCCGTTGCTGGCGAGGAGCTGCATTCCTTTGGAGGAGAAGAGGTGCTCTGATTTTTAGAATTTTCAGCTTTTCTGCTCTGGTTTCTCCCCATCTTTGTGGTTTTATCTACCTTTGGTCTTTGATGATGGTGACGTACAGATGGGGTTTTGGTGTGGATTCCTTTCTGTTTGTTAGTTTTCCTTCTAACAGTCAGGACCCTCAGCTGCAGGTCTGTTGGAGTTTGCTGGAGGTCCACTCCAGACCCTGTTTGCCCGGGTATCACCAGCGGAGGCTGCAGAATAGCAAATATTGCAGGATGGCAGACGTTGCTGCCTGATCCTTCCTCTGGATGCTTCATCTCCGAGGGGCACCCAGCTGTATGAGGTGTCAGTCGGCCCCTACTGGGAGCTGCCTCTCAGTTAGGCTACTCGGTGGTCAGGGACCCACTTGAGGAAGCAGTCTGTCCATTCTCAGATTTCAAACTCCATGCCGGGAGAACCGCTATTCTCTTCAAAGCTGTCAGACAGGGACATTTAAGTCTGCAGAAGTTTCTGCTGCCTTTTGTTCAGCTATGCCCTGCCCCCAGAAGTGCCCCCAGAAGTTCAGCTATGCCCTGCCTCCCTACAGAGGCAGGCAGGCCTCCTTGAGCTGCAGTGGGCTCCACCCAGTTCGAGCTTCCCGGCTGTTTTGTCTACCTACTCAAGCTTCAGCAATGGTGGACGCCCCTCTCCCAGCCTCCCTGCTGCCTTGCAGTTTGATCTCAGACTGCTGTGCTAGCAGTGAGTGAGGTTCCGTGGGCGTGGGACCCTCCAAGCCAGGCGCAGGATATAATCTCTTGGTGTGCTATTTGCTAAGACCATTGGAAAAGCGCAGTATTAGGGTGGGAGTGTCCCAATTTTCCAGGTACCATCTGTCATGGCTTCCCTTTGCTAGGAAAGGGAATTCCCCGACCCCTTGCACTTACTGGGTGAGGTGATGACCCGTCCTGCTCCATGGGCTGCACCCACTGTCTGACAAGCCGCAGTGAGATGAACCCAGTACCTCAGTTGGAAATGAAGAAATCATCCATCTTCTGCATCACTCACGCTGGGAGCTGCAGACTGGAGCTGTTCCTTTTCGGCCATGTTGGAACCACTCCTCCTGGATCTGGTCTCAAACTCTTGAGCTCAAGTGATCCTCCCACTTCAGCCTCCCAAAGTGCTGGGATCACAGACACGAGCCCAGCCATAAAATGTCTGTTAAGTGTACCCTCGAATAGCATCGATGACCACTCAAGAACGATCCCCCACCACTGCTCTCCAAGGTTAGGGGCAAGCCTGTCGGAATCAAGAACAATGACAGTAGAAATCTTTGAAAGCGTATTAAGAACGCATGGCCAGGCATAGTGGCTCATGCCTGTAATCCCAGCACTTTGGGAGACTGAGGCAAGCAGATCACTTGAGGTCAGCAGTTTGAGACCAGCCTGGCCAACCCAGCAAAACCCTGTCTCTACTAAGAAAAAAAAATACAAAAATTAGCTGAGTGTGGTGGCACACGCCTGTAATCCCAGCTACTCAGGAGGCTGAGGCAGGAGAATCTCTTGAACCTGGGAGGCAGAGATTGCAGTGAGCCAAGATCACGCCACCGCACTTCAGCCTGGGGGACAGAGGGAGACTTCATCTCAAAAGAAAAAAAAGAATGCAGCCACACTGTGGGAGATGCGAGGAGACTGAGGGATGATTGCTAAAGGGAAAGGAGCTTTTCGGGGGGTGAATGAAAATGTTCTGAAATTGAACAGATTCACCAACTGAACTGGTGATAATTGCACAACCCCACGAACATACTAAAAACCACTAAATTATACACTTTATATGGATGAACTGTATGAAGCATGAATTATATCTCAATGAAGCTGTTACAAGAAAAAACGTAACCACAAGAAATGTGAAAGTAAGTCCTGCTGAGCACACGTACTGATAGAGGCAGGAAGCAGAGAACTCTTCCTAGGCAGACAGGGGAGGGTCCCTGGAGAACTTTCGAGCTGCCAAGGTCATTGTGCACAGGAGGCTTGCCTAAACATGCCAGCAGTGAAAAATTCAGTCCCTTAACACATGCGCAGTAAGGGAAATAAATCAATGTGGAATGGCTCAGACTAGGGGCCCGCATGCACACTGGAAGGTCAGGGTAGAGCCGCCAGAAACTCACACCTTATACAAATAGGGAACACAGCCCCATCAGCAGACAGAGAAGCCCTTGTATTCAACTGTGAAGGGAGAACCAGCAACCTGCTTTCAGGACGCCTCTCTCTGAGTGTCCGTGTGCCTACTTCTCCCTGGTCATGAGACAAGAACCTTGACCTTGCTGGGCTAATGAGCAAAACATCCAGCATCAGTACCATACCCTTAACACATCAGCAAATCTCTGGAAAACAGAAGATATCACAAAAGATAACTCTGAATCCATGAGAAAGATTAAATTGCCTTCCACATCAACTGTTTGGAAAACCCAAGGTAAAAGAAGCTTCTAATACCTTTAACAGACATTTCTTCTGAAGATAGGGTAAGGTAGGTAAAATGAGATTTTGGCTGGGCGCGGTGGCTTACGCCTATAATCCCAGCACCCTGGGAGGCCAAGGCAGGCGGATCACTGGAGGTCAGGAGTTCGAGACCAGCCTGGCCAACATGGCAAAACCCCGTCTCTACTAAAAATACAAAAATTAGCCAGGCATGGTGGTGTGCGCCTGTAATCCCAGCTACTCGGGAGGGTGAGGCAGGAGAATCGCTTGAACCTGGGAGGCGGAAGTTGCAGTGAGCTGAGATGGCATCACTACACTCCAGCCTAGGTGATAGAGTGAGACTCCATCTCAAAAAATAAATAAATAAGTACGTGATATTTCATACTTAAGAACAATAAGCTTTGGTTGCCGGGATTTTCAATGACCTGAAACGACTGTTTACAGCTTAATAACGCGGAGTAAATAGGTGGAGGATTGCTGGACTCACCAACAGCTCTTTGAATACTATTTGGCTTCCCAACTAAAAAGAGGTGGTTCTCTCTTAAGTTGGTGTCATGACAGAGGTCATTCCTTGAAGGTCTAGGCCAGGAGTCTGCAAACTATGGCTTAAGGGGAAACCCAGCCCTCTGTTATTTTCATAAAGAAAAGTGTTTCCCAAACACAGCCACACCCATTCCTCTAGGGAATGTCTATGGCTGCTTCATGTGCTGCAACAGCAGAGACAAGCAGTTGAGACAGAGACCTTCTGACCTGCAAACCTAAAAGATTTACTCTCTGGCCCTTTACAGGAGTTTGCCAACTCCTGCTCTAGGCCGTAAGAGTCATGTCCTTCCCCTCCTCAAGCAGGGCTAATAGAAGAAGCCAATAATTCAGAGGTGACTGGCACCACGAGGCTTTCCTGAAAGCAACTAATGTACCTCGGCCATTCAGTGCCACTCCTGTCACCTAAGAATATTCTAAACTCTAAGCTGTTCACTTTGTCCACAATTCTTCCTGCATCCTTCCTGAATCACTCTTGCTATGGTTCACTATTTGCCCAATATGGGCAAAATATTTCACAACTCTGTGACTTCAGGCTGGGCCACATGATTCGCTGTGGCCGGCATAACTCCATGTCCAGTGGGAGGCTCTAAGCATGCCTGTGTGGCGTGGTTGGGTCTGTCCTCTTGAGCTCTTGTCCTCTGCCCAGAGGAGAACATGTCCTTAGGTAGGTCCCAACTTTGTGGCCCAAATCCCCAAATAAGAGACAAACAAAGCCAATCCTCAGATGACCCATGTCTGTGAGCAAGAAATAAATGTTGTAGGAACCACTAGGATTTGGAGGCTGTTAGCACTCCTACAGCAACACTTGACTAACACACAGCTAATTTAAAGTCCTGTAAAGTTGGCCAGGCGTGGTGGCTCACGCCTGTAATCCCAGCACTTTGGGAGGCTGAGGCGGGTGGATCACCTGAGGTCAGGAGTTCGAGACAGCCTGGCCAATATGGTGAAACCCTGTCTCTACTAAATATACAAAAAAATTAGCCAGGTGTGGTGGCAGGTGCCTGTAATCCCAGCTACTGGGGAGGCTGAGGCAGGAGAATCACTTGAACCCAGTAGACAGAGGTTGCAGTGAACCGAGACTGTGCCATTGCACTCCAGCCTGGGCAACAAGAACAAAACTCTGTCTCAAAATAAATAAATAAAGTCTTGTAAAGTACAATCACTGACAGCTCGAATAAAGTTCACTACATGGGAATGAAATTACACCCCCATCAGAATCTCCTTACATGAGTCTACACAAGAAAAACATGGCCACACTTGGCTATAATGACACCGTCCCTTACAAAAACTACTTCTGGAATTAGTTCCAGTAAACAGAGTGGATGGGAAGAGAATAAAGGTAGATGGAACAAGGCAGGAGAAAAGATGAGATGGGAGAAGATTTCTTTTCTTCTACACAACTAAGTTACCTGCCTCACCTGTCACCATTTTTTTATTTAAGAAAGACAAGGTCTCTTGCTCTGTCATCCAGGCTGGAGTGCAGTGGCACAATCATGGCGCACTGTGGCCTCTACACCCTGGGCTCAAGTGATCCTCCCACCTCAGCCTCCCAAGTAGCTGGGACTACAGGGCATGCACCACCACACTGGCTAAGCTTTGTATTTTTTGTAGAGATGGGAGTCTCACTATGTTGCCTTCATAGTGGCTGGCTTCAAATTCCTTGGCTGAAGCGATTCTCCTGCCTCGGCCTCCCAAAGTGCTGGAATTACAGGTGTGAGCCACTGGTCCTAACCCTGGCAGTCTCTGCCTACGATTAACTCCCCTTTCCTTCAATCCATTCCAAAAGTTGCAAAAACCTGTCTCCTGTTGCTAGTGCATCTCTGGCCCACTAGATGGTGCTGCATCCTCACCTGGACAGGCCCATTCTTTACCACACATCCCAGGCAGCCTGAATTCAAATTAAAGGCAAAGGAAGAGACACTGGGCACAGAAAACTTCCAGGCCCTGTCACAAAGTCAGCTTTGCCCCTTCTCATTTCTACTCACATAAATAGGGAGAAACAACAGTTAAAATAGCACTGGGCAATGAGTTCAAACCTGAAGGTATGACAACCTGAATGGTCTACGGTCAGGATTTTTCAAAGCTGAACAAAAGAGCATAATTATATTTATGAGATAAGCTGAAACCGAACATGTTGGTTTGGGAAAGTGAACAGAATTCCTACTAAGAGAAGAACGTCAGAGCCCCTCAGCATGACTCTCCCTCTCTGCGTGGCTGGGGTTTGAAGGAGGGGCCCCTGCCCACAGGCTTAGCTCACCATCGTCTTTCCAACCATTTCCATCTCTCCCACTAAGAAGGTTCAGTTCGTACCACGCAAACGTTCCATCATCTAGGTCAAAATCAAACTAGGGTTTAAACCTCCTGGAAGGTCAAGATTAGGGTCTTGCTCTGAGCTGCCGCACTCAGGTCTGGAGTTGGTGCCAGCATCCTCTGGCTCCTTGGGCCACCTCCCCCTCTCATTTCCTCCCATTTGCCTTTAAAAATCCTTGCTCGCTTGAGACTCAGGCCATCCAGCTGGGTTACCCCCGCCTATGCCCACTCGTCCACCCATCAGCAACTCCGCCCCGGTAGAGGTTGGCGGCCGTCCTCTCCACCGAGTGCAGCCACTCATCCAGGCTGCCACTGCCACCCCTACACCTGACACCACCTGACTCCCCAGCTCTCAAGTCTGGGACCTCCACGGCCCTCCTATCACATGCCACTTCTGCCAGCCACACCCGGGCCACCTCTGAAATCTGGAATTTAGATACCCCCTCCCTGACTGCAACCCCCTTCCCCCACAGCTCTCCCTCAGTTATCCCCGCTATTCCATGGAGACCCCCAGCCCCTCAATTCCTCTGCATGGCCTCTACCGCCCACTTCCTGTCCAGCTGGAATCCCCCAGCCCTTTGGCTCCAGCAACGCTGGTGCCTAAGGCTCGGCCTCCCTCACTCTCGTGGGACTTTCACGGCACCCATACAGCAAAACCCAATTCTGGATGAAACCACCTGTCCATCTTGCTCTCCCTGCAACTGGGCTCCAAGGGGTACACTGTGGACTCCCATGCTCAAAAGGCCCACCCTGCTAGGCGCTCCTTCTTTTCCAACACCATGATAGAAGGTAGCAGAGTAGGAAGTGAGCCTGGACCAGATAAGGCCTCAAAAGGGCAGTAAATTTGTAAATTAGGGCAAAACCACCTTCTAGGCAGCTTCCAGTCACCCCAAAGGGTGAGCTGGCTGGAGCTCTCTGTTCTCTTTCTCCCTCCCTCTCTCCCGCAGGTCAGGTTCCCTCCACAGAACTCACGGTCTTCAGCCTTCCTGCTTCACGTTATTGATATCCTCACCTCTTCCTTCCCATTTAACTCCAGCTAATAATTCAAAAGACTTACTGCACACTCACAACCTGCAGACTCAACTGGGAAAGGGTCAGTTGACCACAGGCCCAACCTCCCTTCCTCCATGTGCTGGAAAAGCACAAAAGAACATTAACCCAGTACGACCCGTGAAGTGCCTGCTGCCTGTACTTAAGAAGCTCTACTGAATGCTGCAAAGCTTCTAAAGGCGTCACCAACCTAGATCCACCTCAGCTGTATAATTATTAAAAAGAAAAAAAAAGAAAGCCATTGTTTCTTCAAGGAAGAGGAGGTGGAGAGAAGCAGAGAAAGGAGGGGAGTGGGGATGGAGGAAGAGAAGAAAGGAGACAGCAAGGGGAAGGACAGATATCAGGGTGAGGAGGAGGGGAGGGGAGAGGAAACAGACAGAAAGTGGGTAAGGAGAGATGGAGGAGAGAAGAGGGTGAGAAGAAAAAAAATGAAACGAAGGGAGGAAAGGAAAACTTAAAGGTCCTCCAAGATACTCCTCCGGAAATAGAAACATCACTGGACCCTGGTGTTCACATAGTTGTCAGTATCACAGCAGTTTACAAGGTGAGACCTCCACAACCCTTCCCAGAGCACACTCTGATGGACCAACCTATCAGTATGTGTTTGGTCTGTTTTCTAAGGCAGATGTCTGGGAAATTTAAAAACTCAAATCATAAACTGTGTGGTGAGTCCTTGATATAAAGTTCAGGTACGCCCAGCAGGTGCCGCATGGTATTCAAAATCCAGAATTCGAAATCCAAGCCTACCAGGCAGTGATGTGCTACATGAGGGATGGAAAGGAAAGTATAAAAATAGGATATAAATAGTAATTAGAATTTTGGAGGCAATCACTCCATGAGCTAAAAGTAGAAACTGTTAAGCATTTATCTCAGATCACAGAAAAGACAATAAAAATTCCTCCAGGAAATACCGAAAATGCTCAGCCTCTACACACTGAGGAACGTAAATCAAGATCAGGGGCTGCTGCCGTTTATACACCTCAGCTGGCAAAGAGCAAATGTGCTCATACCAGGGGTGCAGACAGTGAGCGCCCACACACTTCTCCCACATCGTCTGAACACACACCATATACAACCTCTATGACTCACTCCATCAAATTACAGTCCCCAGCCTAGGAATTCACACAAGTACATTCATTACTTATTTGTTTAAATATGTGGGAACATGGCTATCCCCAACCCAGTGGTATTTGCAGAATACTGGAAACAATCTACTTGTCTTACAATAGGGAATTAATTAAATCAATCGTGGGATTTATAGACAATGAAAAATAGGCAGCCAGCAAAAAGAATATGATGGATGTATGCTAAGTGGAAAGGTCTCCAATATAGATTACTGAGGAGAAAAGGCAACAATATGTTTAGTATATGTTCCCGTGTGTAGAAAGCTTTCAAAGCAGGGGAGGGGACATACATACCATACAAACGCATGCACAGAACATTTTTGGAAAGATAAGCAACAGTCATTCCCTTGGGAGGAAAGGCAGAGGTCTGGGAATAAGATGAAGGTGGAAAACCTCAAAGTGTATTCTTTAAACTGTATGCATTTTTCTTGTTGCACACTGTTTAAGCCAATGCTTCTAAGAGTGAGTAGGAATGGTGCTTGAGGCACCATTTAAAATGCAAGAACTGAAAACAACTTACAGCACCCATCAATGGGGGCTGCTGCAGTGGTTCTGTCTTGGACCCTTGAGTAGCCAGCATGCTTCACTGCCTTTGTGGCTGCCCCCTTCACAGCAATTCTACCTGCAGGGGCAGGGCCTAATTGCTCATTATGTGTTCTAATGAGGCCACGTCCCCTCAGCGACATTTGAAATACAAGCTATGTCATTTTTCTTTAGTTTCTCCTTTATAGTACGGTAAGGCATTATACTGATTCTTTTAAAATTATGTGTTTGGCCATGCGCGGTGGCTCACGCCTGTAATCCCAGCACTTTGGGAGGTCGAGGCGGGCAGATCACTTGAGGACACGAGTTCGAGACCAGCCTGGCCAACATGGCGAATCCCCATCTCTACTAAAAACACAAAAAACTAGCCGAGTGTAGTGGCACACATCTATAGTCCCAGCTACTCAGGAGGCTGAGGCAGGAGAATCACTTGAACCCGGGAGGCAGAGGTTGCAGTGAGCTGAGATCACACTACTACACTCCAGCCTGAGCAACAGAGCAAGACTCCATCTCAAAAAAAGATAGAAATAAAATAAATAAAATTATGTTTTTAAGAGGATTCGTTATCTATGAATTTCATTTAAGGGTAACAAAAAAATGAATTACAAAATGCTTCTTCTAAAAAGAAATATTAGGTATTCCAGGACTGAGAGCTGCTGAGTTTTCCTAGCCTGTTCAGGCTGCTAGAGCAAAATACCATAAACTGGTGGCTTGTCAACAACAAACATTTATTTCTCCCAGCTTTGGGGACTGACAAGTCCAAGATAAAGGCACCACCAAATGTCTGGTAAGGGCTTGGTTCCTGGTTCACGGATGGCACCTTCTCACTCTGTCCTCACAGGGTAGAACAGGCTAGCTAGCTCTCCAAAACCTCTTTTATAAGGCCACTAATCCACTCATCAGGGCTCTGCCCCTGTGACCTAACCACCTCCCAGAGGCTCCACCACCTGATACCATTGCACTGCTGATTAGGTTTCAACATACTCATTTTGGGGAGACAAATATTCAGACCACAGCCTGGTTTAATTAAATGACTGATGATGATGATGATGATGATGATGATGACGATGATAAAGCCAAACAATGGGATATCATGTCGCTATTTTAAAGAATAAGGTAATAGTATGTGAATTCATTTTAAGTAATATGGTTAATCATCTTACAATGCAGATCAAGGAATAGGATATGGTCCCATCTGTGTTTTTTAGAAAATGAATATGTGCATAAAAACTTCTTGGAATGATTTTTTTACCCATTAAACTGCACTGATGGTAGAGTGAGAGCTGCTCTGCACTGACTATATTTTGGTACACTTTCAAGTTTTACCACGTGCATGTGTTATTTTCATAATTTAAAACCCCATTTAACAGTAAATGAAATTAGTAAAACAGAAAAAAAATGAAGAACAGTAACTTAAAGAGGGTCAGAAAACAATGCTGCCGGGTCTAAACCTCAAGGATCCCTATTTTATACAAGAGGTTAAGCTGCCTACTCTGTGCCTCCTCAAACGTGAAGGTGGTAACAGTACCCACCTCAGAGCTGTGCTGAGGACAACATGAGTTCCAGGAGCCACACTTGGAAACCTGCCAGGCACAGAGCTACTCCTCAGTAAATGGCAGCACCATTAGGATCTGTGAAGGCTAACTGTATAATATGTGTCTCCTTGACTGGGCCATGGGGTGGCCAGAAATTTGGTCAAGAATGATTCTGAATGTGTCTGTGGTAGTGTTTCTGGGTGAGATGAACATGAATAAGCAGGCTGAGTAAAACAGATGCCTCCTTACTGTGAGTGAAGTGGACCTCATCCAGTCAGCTGGGGTCTGAATAGAGCAAACAGGCTGACCCACCCCCAGGGTCTTCAGGACTGGAACACCAGTTCCCGGGCCTCAATCCTGTCAAGCCTTTGGACTGCAACTATACCATTGGGTCTCCCAGGCCTCCAGCTTGCCAACTGCACATCTTGGACTTGTCAGCCTCCACCATCAAGTAACACAATTCCTTGTAATACATTTCGATATATGTTTCTCCTATTGGCTCTGTTTCTCTAGAGAAACCTAGAACAGGATTTATAACATTATATTTCTTCCAGATCTAGTTATAAAGTTACACCTTTGCCGGGCACTGGGGCTCATACCTATAATTCCAACACTTTGGAAAGCTAAGGTGGTAGGATCACTTGAGGCCAGAAGTTCAAGACCAGCCTGGTCAACACAGCAAGATCCCACTGCTACCAAAAAAAAATAGCCAGGCACGGTGGCTCCAGCCCATAGTCGCAGCTACTTGGGAGGTGGACGTGGGAGAGTCACTTGAGCCCAGGAGTTCAAGATTGCAATACACCATGACTGCACTGCACCACTGCACTCCAGCCTATGTGACAGAGTGAGACTCTGACTCTAAAAGTAAAATAAAGTTTCAGCTCCTGATAGTTTCAGCCTGACTTGCTCAAGTTTTTCAGTGTTTATGAGAGATCAGGGCTCAGTGAAAACAGAGAAGTTTCTGACTCCAAAGTTCCCCCTGGGGCCATGAGTCCCAGACTCACACACCAACCCAGCTGCTCAGCCTGAGCCTGGCATTGGTGCACCCTGAATCCTCTCAGTCACTCCCAGTCAACGTTCCTACAACAGACCTTGGCTGAGCAGGAAGGTGCCGAGGCCCATACCTGGCCACTCTGCCAAAAACTGCCATTTTTTTTTCCTATTATAATTTATTATTTGCCAGCTTCCAAAAATAGTTTGGGGTGAACAAAGATTGATACATTATATACATGAAAAGCTTGTTTCGGCCAGGCACGGCGGCTCACGCCTGTAATCCTAGTACTCTGGGAGGCCTAGGCAGGCGGACTGCCTGAGCTCAGGAGTTTGGGATCAGCCTGGGCAACATGGCAAAACCCTGTCTCTACTAAAAATACAAAAAAATAGCTGGGCGTGGTGGCGCATGCCTGTAATCCCAGCTATTCAGGAGGTTGAGGGATGAGAACTGCTTGAACCTGGGAGGTGGAGGTTGTAGTGAGCCAAGATCATGCCACTGCACTCCAGCCTGGGTGATAGAAGTGAGACTCTGTAAAAAAAAAAAGGAAGGGGAGGGGAGGGGAGGGGAGGGGAGGGGAGGGGAGGGGAGGGAAGGGAAGGGAAGGGGAGAAAAAAGAGAAGAGAGAAGAGAGGGGAGAGAAAAGAGGACAGGAGAGAAAAAAATTTGTTTCAAGTGCAGAACTAAAACCAGTTAGGAGAAGATAAAAATATATCAAATACTTGAGAACTATGGCCCCAAAATCACATGGAAAAAAACTTACAAATGACATTTTAAATAAATTTCACAATTTATGTCAAAAACCTTGTGATAAATATTCTACCTACTCACCTAGTCATAAGGGAACTGAAGGGTAGGAAGATTAGCTGGTGGCCCCCAAATCATTTATAGCATATTTAAAAGGCAGAGGTGAATGTTTCTGTGGTTTTGCAAAGATCAAATGCTCTCTCTAGAAATTAGCATAACAGGGCCCCTTTCTGCATTCCATCTGCAAAAACAAATCAACTGTGAAATAAAGGAGATTCCACTAAGAGAAGGAGAAAAAAAAAAACTTCTAAATTACACATTTAGAAAATATGTGTTATTCCCTACATTGTAATTTACATTTTCTCACTCTGTTGTAAAAGGGATATATATTTCACTGTCCATTCTTTTCTGTTTCATTAATATAGCCAAATAAAAGACCCATTTAGATTATAAATTTTCAATAGAAAACACAAATAAAAATTATACTAGAGAGAAATTGACAAGGCCTTAAATTTAATTAATAAGATGTGTAAGAATTCCATAATGTTTTATTTGAGCATGTTTTCAGAGGATAAGACATCAAGTTTTATGGCTTAAATCAGTGATAGAAAAGGAAAAGATCCTGGGTCAGGCATGGTGGCTCACGCCTGTAATCCCAGCACTTTGGGAGGCCGAGGCAGGGGGATCACTTGAGCCCAGGAATTCAAAACCAGCCTGGGCAATACAGTGAGTCACGAAATAACATAACATAACATAACATAACATAACATAACATAACATAACATAACATAACATAACACAACACAACACAACACAACACAACACAACAAAATAAAAGGAACAAATTCTAAGCCATGGCCCTTTGATGAAGAGTCCTCCCAGGCAGGGCTACTCCTGTTAGCAGATTTTTCCTAGGCAATTCTCACTCGGTTTACAGCTTCTCCTTTACACCCTGGCCCACCTCTGTGCTCTGAGGGCAGGACCAGTCCTCTCTCTGACCCCAGGAATTAACATAAACCCCAGTAAAAACCTGGCCCTGGGTGCACGCTGCTTCAACACACAAAAATAAGTACGATTGCCTCAGTAAGATGCATGTTTGAAGTGTCTTTAGGCTTATTCAATAAGATTTACATGTTTTAAAGCCTAAAACTGACTGGAATGGAACAGGAGCTCACTTCTCTCAGGAATTAACTGTTTTCTGGCCCAGACAGCTCTCAGGAAGCAGCGTGTAGACAGGACAGAAACCAGATGGGTCATCAACCACTGGACTCTGACCAGCTTAGAGGAAGTGAGAGGTGTCAGCCCCACAGCAAGAGACACAAGCCACAGCAGATCTGATTAGCAAGCCCTCCATCACTGGGGTGTGGATCCGAGTCCCAGGCCCAAGCATTTAGTAAAGGACAAAAAAGAAAGGGAGGGTGGAAGAGAGGGAAACGGGAGAGAGGGAGGGAGACAGTCTAACTCTGTCCTTCACCTTCTGAAAAACTCCTTGCTGACCCAAGATACCAGGTTAGCATCTAAGAAATCAGGATAAAGACAAGACATAGGATTAGAGAAATCAGAGCTGGAGAGGCGGAGGAGGCCTTAGAAACCCTGTCCACCCACTGCAGAGAACTGTGAAGGGAAAGGGAGTGGCAGTGCAGGGGGTCTGGGCTCAACTCAGCCCTGTGCTCATGCCCTGCAAGTGTCACTTGCACCTACTGAGCCTGGGCAAGGGGACAAGGGGACCTGGGAACGGGAGATGGGGGGGTGGTGAGGGCAGTAGTTGTGTCTCTGAAGTCCCTTTGCTCTGCCTATCATTCAACATGGCAATTTCTCTACCACATGACCATGAACAACCTCCCAAGCAGCACGGAGCAAGAGAGAGACAGCTTCTCCTGTGGTCTTTTCTCCTTTCCGACCACACCACAAAGAAAACAGACAGCAGACAGACCTGGCAAACAAACTTACCACAGGCGTTTGTCCGAATGAGCTTGCCGTGGCAGAGTCCTGGCAGAGGCTGAGCCCTGACGGGCTGCCCGAATTGAAAAACCAATGCCATGTGCAGACATAAACTCCAAAGGCACTTCAGAGAACAGAGAGAGCCTCCATGAGAGCTCAGCCCCGGCAGTACCTCGCACAGCCACCCTCCCGTGCCTTCCTCAGCAGTTTTCTGAGTTTGCTTGTTAGGGCAAATCCTAAGATTGTGAGCTGTCCTGGAAGCACAATGGGTTATGTAACTCCAGGCAGCCTGGGAACCCTATCAGCTCATCTTGTTAAGCCACCCCAAACAGAAAATGACGCACCCAAAAATGTGATACCTCTAGGTTGGGGGAAGGGGAGTAGCAAGGAGAACGGGGCTTTGTGATGGGCATTCGGTTTTGCCTAAAAATTAAAGTGGAACAAAAAGTCTGCTGTTCATCTCAGGGCTTGCTGGGAACTGGGGGAGGAGTGAATTTATCAAGGGCTGAATGCCAAGCAGTGTCCTGAGACTGCACTTGGCAAAGCCCTGGGAGGCCACAGATGCATTCTTGGGGATAGTCTAGGTCTCTCGGAGAACTTTTTTCCATTTAATGTCTTCCTTTCAATGACTGCCTAATAAAACTTTAATCCGAGCATGTTCTCCATCACCTGACAGCCCATCCCTTAAACGCATAAGAGTGTCTGTGTTTACTCTCCTGTTTACCAAGCCAGTGCTAAACACAACAGCACCGAGCTGTTTCTCAGCTTTCCTCTGGTCCCAACAAAGAACCCCCAAGTCACCACATCCTATAGGGTTTGAAGTTTCAGCACTACATTCTGCCACTTCTTTGTTGTGTTTTTTGTTGTTGCTGTTTCGTTTTGTTTTTTTGAGAGAGTCTCACTCTGTCGCCAAGGCTAGAGTACAGTAGCACTGTGTCAGCTCACTGCAACCTCCATCTCCTAGGTTCAAGCAATTCTGCCTCAGCCTCCCAAGTAGCTGAGATTACAGGCGTCCGTCACCATGCCTGGCTAGTTTTTATATTTTTAGTAGAGACGGGGTTTCACCATGTTGGCCAGGCTGGTCTTGAACTCCTGACCTCAGGTGATCTGCCCGCCTCGGCCTCCCAAAGTGCTGGGATCATAGGCGTGAGCCACCACGCCCAGCTGTGAAGTTTCAGCGGTACATTCTGCCATTTCTTTACCCTCCACTGTCACATTCAAAGAAAGTGAAAGCACTTTAACAGGCTGGATGCTTCCTGGATTTCACTGGTACAGATGCCACTAGAATCCCAAGGATCAATTCATGTGTTTGGACAAATGTAGATGCGGTTGGGTCATCGCCTCCTCCACAAAGCCCTCGTGGTCTTCTCCTGTCCTTTCCCCTCCAAGGTTCAGCCTGGCACCCTCCTTGGTGCCCTACTGTGCTGTGCTTATCATTGTGCTAACCTCGGTGTACAGCCAATTTCTACTCACTCATCTGTCTCCCCAACTAGACTAAATTCTTAGGCAGCAAAGAACCCTTGCCCTGGGGTCCTACAGACCTGGATGCAACTCCTGCCACTCAGGAGTTTCACCAAGGTGCTGAACCTTTCGAGATTTAGACTCTTCACTTACACAAAGAGGATAATAGTACTCACTGCACAAATTGACACAATTGATACACCCAACAAATGTTCACTGAGCGCTGGCCACAGGCAGGCACTACGTTAGTCACTGGATTCAGGAGTGTGCAAAGTAGACACAGAGTTTGCCCTCCGCGACTTTAGTCTACTGCAAGTTTGGGAGACAAAACACAAATACAGTAGTTCAGCAGATGGTTAAGTTTGGGGGAAAAAATTAAACAGGAAAGGGAGATGGGGAAAGGTGAGGCAGATCACTCTGTATTGGGGGGGGGTCACAAAAAGCATCAAATAAAATGTCACTTGGAGAAGGAAGAGGGGGTCATAAGGATATCTGGAGTTAAGGCAATCCAAAGACCCTGAGGCTGGATGTGCCTGGTGAGTTCAAGGTTAAGTGAGGCGGCCAGTGTACCTGGAGCACGGAGGGCACAGAGGAGGCAGGTCAGCGGGGCAAAGAGGGATTCCTGTCATTCAGCCCCTTCCTTACAGGTCTCTATAGAAGGGGAGCTCACTGGAAGTTTGGAGGAGAGTTAAACCATCTGATTGTATTAAAAGCCAACTCTCATGGTTGAGCGGAGAAAGAATTTTAGGGAGGCAAGGGTAGCAGTAAGAGGCCCCACTGGAAGGCCAGTGCGGTCATCCAGGTGTGAGATGGGGGTGGCTGGGACACAGTAAATGCTGGGTAGATTCTGAACATACTCTGAAGATACAGCCAACAGAATTCTTGACAAACTGGGGTATGAATCGCAGAAAGGCAGAATCACAAATGCCTCCAAGGTTCTTGGCCTGAGCAACTAGAATAATGAAAGCACCATTTACAAGGATGGGGAAAACCCTAAGAAAAGCAGGTGCAGGTGGAAACCAGGAGCTCATTTTTGGTCATTTGAGTTTGACATGCCTGTTAGACATCTAAGTGGAAACTCATGTGGAGTCAGTCTGAGACATCTGGCCTTAAGGAGGAAGGGCCAGGCTGAGTACAGAAACCACCGAGTGGCCAGTACAGAAGGCGATTTTAAAACCTGTGTGCTGGGTGAGATCAAGTGCTGCACAGGTGCACACATAAGAGCAAAGAGGCGGAAAGGCTGGGCCCCGGGCCCTTCAACGTTCCCAGGCTTGGGAGAAGAAGAAACGCAGCCACTGAGGCAGAAGAACAGGGAGAGTGTGGGGACCCAGAAGCCAAGTAAAGACTGTACTTCCAGGACACAGGACTTGGCAACAGTGTGAACTACCACTGAAAAGTGAAGTAAGGTGAAGGCAGAGGACAGACCCCTGGACTGAACCAGGCTGTCAGTGTGGTGGGGCATGAGCCTGCCTGCAGTGGACTCCAGAGAGAACAAAAGAAAAACTAGAGTAAGCAAACAGAAGAGCAGAGACACTGGCCTGCGGGAAACACGGGACTGAGAAGGATTCTATTTCCGAAGAGGGAGATCATAGCATGTTTCTGCACTAATAAGAAAGACCCAAGTGCAAGGGGAAAAGAATGATGCAGTAGAGAAAAGGGAGATGTTGGAACTGTGTCCTTCAGGGGGCAGGCAAGTGGGAGAGGGACTCAGTCACAAGCGGAGGACAACACATGTGGGCCACTTAACAAAAAGGGAGAGGAGGTGTGTGGGGGCCTAGCACAGCAGCTAGGCACCAGGCTGGGACCCCCGGCTTTCTCTGTGCCTTTCTGTATCCAGGAAACCCCTGACACACAGGAGGTCCTCAAGGCTTAACTGGTAACACAGAACCAAGAGAAGCTACTGGAAGCCAACTTGCATATATTAAGCTGTCATCAGGCATTACTTCAAACAGACAAACAAAAGCAAACACTGCAGACAAAAATGAGAAATTAAGCAAACTTCTATATGAATGCAACTGGATTGAGCTATAATTTTGCCACTTGCTGCTGTTATGCACACCATCCTACACCATTTCCATTGAGAGCCCTCTCTTGTGCTAGCTTCAAGCACTTGTCTCAATGCTTCCTTGGGGAAAATAAAAAAGCAATAGCTCTACTACTAAGTGCCCGCACAGATGTTAGGTGATTACCACCTGGGACACTGAGAGTTATGACTGACACAGGTATCTGTAAAAATCCATGTCTGTGCAAATCCTGATGGTGTACAAAGGGCACTCCATGTAGTTTTCTGTTTTTGCATCCCACAATGACAGTGCATGTTATTCCCACTACACCTGTCTTATATCTGAAGAAGCTGAGTGCAAAGAGAGAAGGAAGGGTTCAATACACTGAGTGCCTGTGATGGGCCATGCTTGCTGCTCAGGTTTGGATGTTACCATCTTTAACCTTCATGACAATTTAGTGAAATGCTGTCTACCTCTCAGTCAGGATAGTAGGTCAACAACTGACACAAGTTACAAAATGGTTCACTGGCAGAACAGGTTCTGGATTGGAGGTCTCACAATCCGAAAGCTCAGAGTCTTTTGCACTTTGGTGGTTCCTCTCCACATACCTCCCCAAGACCCTCCCATGTGGCTGCATTCCTTCCCTAGTCCTCAGTGACTGAAACCTCCCTCCCTTCCTCCCTGGCAGGGAAAGGGCCCCCATACCAGTAATGGTGCAGGCATCCCGGTACCCTCTGTAGCTGGGAGCATCTTCCACAGCCTCGCTTATGTAGTGTTCCTCAGGGATGCCCAGGCTGCAGGCTAGGACTGCATGGTTGCATGCCTCCGAAGGGGGCACGGAGTTGGCCAAAGTGTCGTCGTGCAGAGCTGTGGCGTCCAGCTTGGCAGGTTTCACGGGGAGGTGCCCACTGCCATCGGGGGCCCCACTGCCAGAGTCTGGGGCAGTTGGGCAGATGGCCCCCGGTAGTTCTGGTGCACCAGCAGGGGCTCCTTATAGGGAATCTATGGGACAATTGAAAGAGAGGGGCACAGTTAGAGTCTATCGATAAACCTGGACAATCTTTAGAAAATGAGGGCCCCGGGATGACGTGCGTTCAGACTGCGAATTCTGAAACGCGTTTCTCTCAAGTCAAGGCATCTCCAATCACATTGCTTAGTTTCAATAAAATAACTGCAGCAAAGTTCCATTCAACTAATCAATATTGACCAAAATGTGGAGCACATGGCTTCATTTGCTTACTGAAACCTGCCTTGAAGCAGCTCTAAGCAAAGAAACACACTGGAGCACAGCTAAAACCTGTATTCCTACAGGATTTATACACACAAAGAGAGGTAACATTTTTATTTGTATATGGAATTACATAAGATATGTTTCTCTTAAACTCTTTCAACCACAATAACTTCTCAACTCTCTAAGAACTTTAAGGTATGCCCCTACCTTAAGCTACAGTGAGAAATTAGGGGACTCCTTTAAGAACCTGATGAAAATGGCTGGACACGGTGACTCACTCCTGTAATCCCAGCACCTTGAGAGGCCGAGGTGGGCGGCTCATTTGAGGTCAGGAGTTCAAGACCAGCCTGGCCAATATGGTGAAACCCCATCTCCACTAAAAATACACAAACAAAAAAAAAATTAGTCAGGTATGGTAGCGGGCACCTGTAATCCCAGTTACTCAGGAGGTTGAGGCAGGAGAATTGCTTGAACCGGGGAGGCAGAGGTTGCAGTGAGCTGAGATCATGCCACTGGGCTCCAGTCTGGGCAACAGAGTGAGACTCATCTCAAAAAAAAAAAAAGAAAGAAAAAGAAGAATCTGATGAAAACTACAGACTCACCCTCATTTAAAATCTGACTAGGATGAAAGATAACTTCTGAGAAAAGATGGCATGTGACATAGGCTGCTGAACACTCCGCTCTGCGCCGGCAACAGCACACCTACATGCAGGCGATTTCCCACACATTTCAGGAGTGCCGCTGCCTCAACTCCCAGCGCACCTGCACACACATCACATGTGTACACACAAAACGTCAAACAGGAGCTTAATGAAAAAGGAAACCTACAAAACATTCCTCAGCACAAGAGATCTCAAAGTGTGGTCTGAGAATCCCTGGAGTTTCCTGAGACTAGTTCAGAGGGTCTACAAAGTCAGACACTCTCGCTCTCACTCTTTCATGGATGTACAGTGGAATTTTCCAGAGACTACATTATGTGTGATGATGCCACTGCTCTGAAAGCTAATTAATGGAACTTTCATATCCGTGTGGTTTTACATCTTATGTTTCAATTTCTATTACAATACATATGAATCAACAGAATCATTTAAATAAAAATGCTTTAGGAGGCTCAATAACTTTGAGGCGTCCTGAGACCACACCCACAAAAAAAGTGTGAGAACCACTGCTCTAATAAATGATGCATTATCGTTTGTTTAAAAAACACATACACACAAAAAGAGAAAGTTAATAGACATTTCCCCCAACATGGTAGAGTCAGTTCTGAAAGAAAACTACAGCCCTGAATCTGTGACCTTTTTCCCAACAGGTTTATTTACCAAAATACACCAGGAATTCCTATTACAGGCGGAGTATCCCTTAGCTGAAATGCTTGGGAACAGAAGAGTTTCAAATTTTGGATTTTTGACTGGGCACAGTGGCTCACATCTGTAATCCCAGCACTTTGGGAGGCCAAGGCGGGCAGATCACTTGAGGTCAGGAGTTTGAGGCCAGCCTGGACAACATGGTGAAACCCCATCTCTGCTAAAAAATATAAAAAGTAGCTGGGCATCGTGGCGCATGCCTGTAAACCCAGCCACTCAGGAGGCTGAGGCAGGAGAATCACTTGAAACTGGGAGGCGGGGCTTGCAGTGAGCCAAGATCATGCCACTGCACTCCAGCCTGGGCAACAGAGCAAGACTCTGCCTCCAAAAGAAAAAAAAATGATTTTTTTTCAGATTTGGGGATATTTGCCTTATACTTACCAAATGAATGTCCAAAATCCAAAAATCTGAAATCTGAAATGCTCCAATGAGCATTTCCTTTGAGTGTCATGTAAACACTCGAAAAGTTTCAAATTTCAGATTTTCACATTAGACATACTCAGCCTGTATAAATGAACTCAGCCCAGGCAATAAACTTCCTGCCCTCATTAACATGAAAAAATAAATATGAAAATGGGAAGGATGGGTAGGAGAGTCTGTATATCCCTGGTGAGAAAAGAAAGTTAACAAGAGAAGCTTGGAACCTTTAGGAATTTCTGCAAAACAACATGTAGATAAAACTGGATTGGCATAAGGAAAAAAAAAAAAAAGAAAACGGGATTGTCACGCCTAGTCAGTGACTCAAATACAGATGAATGGATAAGCTGCCTCACTAGAAAAGCCTATAATCCTCAAGAAGAACCCAGAACATTCTAGACAGCAGAGGGCTGAGCAGGATGAACTAGAAGACCCCCAAGAGTCACCAATGATGGTCAAGGGTCCAGGATGGGAATTCACCGGCTGAAGCCAAGGGAAGCTGGGCACTGCCACAACCCACCCCCAGTGGGGCCCAAGGGGGCTTCTCCATGCTGGGCAAGTTGTGATTCTTGGTCTGGAGACTGACTTGCTGACTAGAATCAGTGCATGAAACTCCATCAAGCTGTACTCTTTACAATTCACACACTATTTTTACACTTTTTTAAAAATATGGAGTCTTACTATGTTACCCAGGTTGGTCTCCTGGGTTTAAGTGATCCTCCTGCCTGAGCCTCCCAAGTAGCTGGGATTACAGGTGCACACCACCAAGCCCAGCTCTCATACACTTTCTTTGTATGTCTATTTCAATTAAGTGATGAAAAGATTAGTGAATGCAGATACCGAGTCTATAAATTAGCTTGAGAAGTCATCCCTAAAGCAAGAAGATAAAAAGGCACACTGATGAGAGTTCCAGAAAAAAACAAAAAAAGCTTAAGACAAAAAGAGTAAAGTATATAAAAACATTAATTTTAAAATGATTTTCTAGAGGTGAAGACTTACACCTTTAAATCAAAAGGTTCTACACCAAGACCCAGACAAAATCAATGAAAAACTAATAATAAACTCTTGGATATAATCTAGTAAAAATTTTAAATTCCAAAGATTTAGATAAAAATCTGACAAACATTAAAAAGGTATCCCCACATCTCTACATGCCGTACCAGTAGGATAATTCCTCAGAATTTATTTATTTATTTTATTTATTTTATTTATTTATTTTTTTAAAGACAGGGTCTCATTCCCATCACCCAGGCTGGAGTGCAGTGGCACAATCACAGCTCACCGCAGCCTTGACCTCCCGGGCTCAGGTGATCCTCCCACCTTAGCCTGTAGCTGAGACTACAGGCGCACACCACCATACCCGGCTAATTTTTGTATTTTTAGTAGAGATGAGGTTTCACCATGTTGCCCATGCTGGTATGGAACTACTGGACTCAAGTGATCCACCTGCCTTGGCCTCCCAAAGTGCTGGGATTAAAGGTGTGAGCCACAGCACCCAGCCAGTTCCTCAGAAATTTAAGTGAAAGATAGTCACATAAGACTTCTATACCCAATTAAGCTACTGTTATACACAAAAACAATTGGCAGATATTTAGAAACTCAAAGACCCTGATGGTCCTGAGGGGATCCAAGTCTGCTGATGACACCTCATGGGCTCTCACTAACACAGGTCACCATAAAGAACTCAAAAGGTGAGGAAGACATGGTAAAGTAAAACTGGCAGGGAAATTAAACCGGGAACACTTAAAATCAACATGTAAATAATGCACTTCATTCACAGACCTAAAGCAGATAGCCCAAAAGAAAAATGGGCAAAGGATATAAAAATTCCCTCCCCCTGCCAAAACACAACACACATACACACCCAGTTTAAGGAAACTTCACAGTGATTTTAAAAAAACAACAACAAAGATTTAAAAAATATAACGATGCTCAAGTTCACAAGTGATTTAGGAAACTTATAGTCTTATGTATTACTGGAATAAGGCGAGGAGTATACATTTGGAAGAACAGCCTGACAAAATTTACTGTAGCTCTCGGGCTCAAGTATATATAGGTCAAAGATGTATGGCACAGTGAAATGCTACAACCTAACAAGCCACAACAGAGGATCGAGTCATTAATTATGCGACAGCTATCAACAAGTCAACCAAGCCAAGAGGAAGCATCACAACAGATATTAATGTATCAACATAGAAAGATGCTGTAGGCAGAAAAACAGTAGATGATGAATGTGGTCTTGAAAAGGTTTTAAAATGCATTAACAAATTGAACCCTCATTCAAGCCTTCTTTAACTTGTACTTAGACATATTCTATCTGATCCATACACAGAAGTTGGAAATACTTTCTCACTTTGCAAAATGCAATTGTTCTTCTGAAAACTAAGACAGTTTCATTTAAATCAATATGATTTTGGTTTTTTGTGTTTTTTTTTTTAACAAAGGCTCTAATATGTAAAGATTTCTCTGGTTTTTGTTTGTTTGTTTGTTTGTTTTTTGAGACAGGTTTTGTGCTCTGTCTCCCAGGCTGGAGTGCAGTGGCGCGATCTCGGCTCACTGAAGCCTTGGCCTCCTAGGTTCAAGCAATTCTGCCTCAGTCTCCCAAGTAGCTGAGACTACAGGCACGCACCACTACGCTAGGCTAATTTTTTATTTTTGATAAAGACGGGGTTTCACCATGTTGGCCAGGCTGGTCTCAAACTCCTGGCCTCAAGTGATCCACCCACCTCAGCCTCCCAAGGTGCTGGGATTACAGGCGTGAGCTGCCAGGCCTGGCCCTAATATGTGAAGATTTCTTAAAGAGGTTTTACAACCAAGCTTTATATAACTTTCGCTTTCACTACCTATAAAATGAGGGAGATGGCCTAAATCATGATCAATAGCCCTAAATCACTACTGTTTCTCCTCCTAGTATCGATGTTTCCATTTATAGCTGCCAGACACTTAACCCAGAAACATACTGCTACAAAAGAAATATTTTAAGTATAAGCACTTCCTGAAAAAAACAAAATTTGGAGACATCAGCAAATGCTCACCTCACTCAAGACTCAAAAGGGAAACACAAGCCACAGTTCTGAAATCCAAAGAACATTTTACATGTACAGCAACTGGCAAAGCTATTCAGAAGCCTGAGAGGCCCCTCTTGAAATGACAAAACTAAGCTTTCACCCAGTAAATTCAAGTGGAAAACAACCAAATTTCTATTCGTAGAAAAACAGTTATAAATTATGGCACATCCAAACTACTGAATTCTGTAAAATGTAAGGCACTTATCCATATAAGGCACTTACCTCTGTGTCTAGTACAAATTAGATTCTCAAAATAATTACTGTCATTAACATTATAATTTCCAGATTCTCAGAATCTGGCACCTTTCTTGGTTCTACTATAGTATTCATATGCCAGCATTTCCAAACCTACTTTACTATGGATCCTTTCTCCACATACCTATCTACATGGCATTTGTTTCATGGAGTACATTTTGGGGAATGCCTCTCTATCTCAGACACAAGCTTCATGCATTGTCCATTGACCACCATTTGTCCAGGGCTGATCTCCCCCAAAAAATTGTGTGCTCCTTGAAAGCATGGACCGGTGTTGGCACATATTAGGTACTAAGTAAATGTCTGTAGAATAAATAACAACAAATGAAAGAAGGGGTTTGGTGCAAATGACTCTGAGGATCCCCTGAAGCTTTAAAGCCCAGGTTCTATCATTTATACTGGAACCAAAGGGTCTAAACTCCCAAATTTCACACTGCTAACCTTGAGGACTAACAGAAATCAATGAAAACCACCTGAGGGACTCCTAAGTGTTCCAAGTATGCAGACCACAGCCCATGGGCTCTCTAGGCTGGCTCGAGTTTAACCTTACTTCATTTTCAACACAGACCAATATACATCAAATGTGGCTCACAGTGGCCAGGCCCAGTGGCTCACACCATAATCCTAGCACTTTGGGAGGCCCAGGCGGGTGGATGGCCTGAGCCCAGGAGTTCAAGAGCAGCCTGGGCAACATGGTGGAACCCTAACTCTACAAAAAAATACAAAAAATTGACCAGGATTGGTGGCATGTGTCTGTGGTCCCTGCTACTAGGGAGGTTGAGGTGGGAGGACCACCTGAACCCAGGAAGTTGAGGCTGTAGAGAGCCATGATTGTGCCACTCCACCCCAGCCTGGGTGACACAGTGAGATCCTATCTCAAAAAAAAAGAGTAGTTTAATAGTCAAACATGTAAAATGACCCAGATACAATTCAAGGATCAGGAGACCTCATTTACAGACTACTCAAAAGCTGGTTTGTAAGGCCTCCACCCACTTTCTAGCTTGAAGAATGAGTCACAGCATGTGCCCTCTGGGGACACCCAGGAATTTGTAGGGCAAAGGTGACAATCTTTCCCCAAGGTGCCAGCCTAACTTCACTCTAATGTAAACAGGCATTTCTGAGGTTTCACAGGGGCTCAGGAACAAAGCATCCACTGCCCTGGATGTTCTCTGGCTCCAGCAAACCCTGGCACACCAGGCAAAAGGCTTCTTTCAGGCAGAGGAAACAAACAAGGCTTAAGAAAAGTGAGAGTGGATGGCATGGCCCTGAGAGATGAAAGCGCCTCTGTTTAGTTTACTGAATTCTGCCTAGAGAGCTGCAGGAAGGCAGGATTTTTCTTAGCAGAGGAGTGAGAAATTCTGCAACCAGGTCAATTTTTCAGCAAAAGAGGTGCCAGGAATAGTAGTAGGATAAAGTATACATGGAAGCTGAGCCTGGGGTGGGTGGCCCAGGTCCCCTGCCCCACTCTTCTCAACTCAATGATCAACAATTCCGGCCCCCAGTTTGTCAAGAGTACTTAACGCACGGTTGTTCAACGTTATGCCAGTTTGCTACTGAACTCAAATTTGCTGACAAAATACACGTGTGCAAGTTCCTAATATTTTCTCCCCGCTACCCTCAACCGATGTCATTTCTGTGACTCAGAACCTTAACTAAAACTCAAAGCTGTGTGACACTGAGGAAACTGTGTTATGTCCCTGGGCCTCAGACCCCTCATCTGGACAAGGAAGGGATCGAGCAACCTTCAACACACTGCCTTCCAGCTATACCACTCCAGGAAGTACAAAAGAGGGCAGGTGGAAATGCAGAAGGATTTGTGCACCCTGGTAAGTCCTTCTCCACTCCCTGGTGCAATGATTGTGAAACTATTCTCACCCACACACAGGTAACTTCCAGTAGGAGATCACGAGCAGACAGAGCTGCCCTTTGTAAACAATAAATCACTGATTTTGCAAGGGGTTAAAAAAACAACAAAAAAAAAGGAGCTTCCAGCAGGGCGCAGTGGCTCACGCCTGTAATCCTAGCACTTTAGGAGGCCGAGGAGGGCGGATCACCTGAGGTCAGGAGTTTGAGACCAGCCTGACCTACATGGCAAAACCCCATCTCTACTAAAGATACAAAAAAATTGCCAGGCATGGTGGTGAGCGCCTGTAGTCCCAGCTACTCGGGAGGTTGAGGCAGGAGAATTGCTTGAACCCGAAGGCAGAGGTTGCAGTAAGCCGAGACTGCACCATTGTACTCCAGCCTGGGCAAGACAGCAAGACTCTATCTCAAAACAAAAAAAAAAAAAAAAGAAGAAGGAGCTTCCTTCACGACAAACTCAGAGATTGTAAGGAGAAAATGAGAACCAGAGCACCAGGTTGAAGCCCAAAAGGTGACAAGGAGAAGCTAGTCCTGGGTGATCCCCTCCATGGCCAGCCAGGTACCTGAGCTTTCAAGGTTTCCTCTTTCTGGGCAGAGGCATCTGATATACCAAGGGATTTTACTCAGCAATTCTAAACAAGCAGGTCCAAGTATGGCAAAAGTTTTCAAAAAGGGACTAATTGTTCTCCGGGATTATGTCAGTGTTCTATTACTACTGTAACAAATTACCACAAATTGAGTGGCTTGAAATAATAGCCATTTATCCGATCACAGTTCCATATATTGGAAATCCAGCATGCATCTCAACAGGCTCCAATCAAGGTGTCACAGGTGTGAGTCCATTACTGGGGGCTCTGGGAAAGAACTGATATCCACACTTATTCAGGTTGCCGGTCTAATTCAGTTCCTTGTGGTTGTAGGACTGAAGTCCCTGTTTCCTGCTGGCCGTCAGCTGGGCACTAGCCTTTGTTCCTGTGTTCCTTATGCTTTCCATGAGCTCCTGGAGGCTTCTCTCCAGATTTTGCAAGTGGCTCCCACCCACATTCCAGAGCCAATGACAGCATATGGAATCCTTTTCACACTTGGAATTCCATGACTTCCCCTTCTGCCTCATCTTTCTTTCTTTCTTTCTTTCTTTTTTTTTTTTTTTTTTTTGAGATGGAATCTCCCTCTGTCTCCCAGGCTGGAGTGCAGGGGCCTGATCTTGGCTCACTGCAAGCTCCGCCTCCCAGGTTCACACCATTCTCCTGCCTCAGGCTCCCGAGTAGCTGGGACTACAGGCACCCGCCACCACACCCGGCTAATTTTTTGTATTTTTAGTAGAGATGGGGTTTCACTGTGTTAGCCAGGATGGTCTCGATCTCCTGACCTCATGATCCGCCTGCCTCAGCCTCCCAAAGTGCTGGGATTACAGGCATAAGCCACCGTGCCTGGCCTCTGCCTCATCTTTCTAACCTCCTCTTCTGCCTTCCTTTTCTGTTTTTACAGGCTCAAAACACGGTGCCCACTTAGATCATCCAGGACAATCTCCCTATCTTAAGGTCAAGGGATTAATAGTTCTAATTCCATCTGCACGGCACAGTCCCTTTACAGAAGTATCTAGATCCGTGCTTGACTGAATAACTAGTGGGTAGAAATCTTGAGGGGATGAGTTTAGATTTGCCTCCCACAGGGGCCTTTGATTCTGAAGGCATAAACTGTCTCTGGAGCCCCCATGTTACCCCAGCTTAGTGGGAAGGCAAACCAGAGTCACCTCACAGCCACTCAGACCCTTTGCCCCAGAAGGTCAGATTTAGATCTAACATACCAGACAGGCCTGGATTTAGTCCCACCTCAACCATTACCTACTGACAGCAGCCTCTGGCCAAGTTCTGAAATTTCTTTCGTCTACAAAACGTGGTGCCACCACCCACTTGTCAAACTGCGGAAGAAGTAGACACAACGAAAGTGGGTGGCTGCCAGGCCTGGGATGGTAGGTCTGAAACTGGATAAAAGTCTGAGACGCTCTCTCTCTTCACAGACAATAACATTCTATACTTAGAACACCCCACAGTCTCTGTCCAAAGGCTCCTAGTTCTGACAAATACTCTCAGTAAAGTTTCAGGACACAAAATCAATGTACAAAAATCAGTATCATTTCTATACGCCAATAATGTCCAAGTTGAAAGCCAAATTAAGAACTCAGTCCCATTCACAATAGCCACAAAAAGAACAAAATACCTAGGAATACAGCTAACCAGGGAGGTGAAAGATCTCTACAATGAGAATTATGAAACATTGCTGAAAGAAATCAGAGATGACACAAACAAATGGAAAAACAGTCCAGGCATGGTGGCTCACGCCTGTATCCCAACACTTCGGGAGGCCAAAGTGGGTGGGTCACTTGAGGTCAGGAGTTCAAGGCCAGCCTGGCCAACATGGTGAAACGCTGTCTCTGCTAAAAATACAAAAATTAGCTGGGCATGGTGGCACACATCTGTAATCCCAGCTACTTGGGAGGCTGAGGCAAAAGAATTGCTTGAACCCAGGAGGCAGAGGTTGCAGTGAGCCTAGATCATGCCACTGCACTCCAGTGTGGATGACAGAGCAAGACTCTGCCTCGAGGTAAAAAGAAAAAAAGAAACACTTTCCATGCTCATGGATAGGAAGAATCAATATAATTAAAATAACCATACTGCCCAAAGCAATTTACAGATTCAGTGTTATTCCTGTAAAACTCCCAAGGATATTCTTCACATAATTAGAAAAAAACTATTCTAAAATTCATTTGGAACAACAAAAACAACAAAAAGCCCAAATAGCCAAAGCAATTATAAGCAAAAAGAACAAAGCTAGAAGGATCACACTTACCTGATTTCAAACTATACTACAAGGCTACAGTAACTGAAACAGCATGGTACTGGTATAAAAGCAAACACATAAATCAATGGAACAGGTTACAGAGCCCAGAAGTAAAGCTGCACATCTACAACCATCTGATCTTTCACAAAGCCAACAATAACAAGCAATAGGGAAAGGACTCCCTATTCAATAAATGGTGCTGGGATAACTGGCTATCCATATACAGAAGATTGGAACTAGACCCCTTCCTTCTGCCACATAAAAAAATCAACTCAAGATGGACTAAAGAATAAAATGTAAAAGCTAAAACTATAAAAATTTAAGAAGAAAACCTAGAAAATGCCATTCTAGACATGAGCCCTGGCAAAGATTTCATGACAAAGACTCTAAAACCAATTACAACAAAAAACAAAAATTGGTAAGTGGGATCTAATTAAACTAAAGAGCTTCTGCACAGCAAAAGAAACTATCAATAAACAGAGAGCCCACAGAATGGGAGAAAATTTTTGCAAACTATACCTCTGATAAAAGTCTAATATCTGGCCAGGCCTGGTGGCTCTCACCTGTAATCCCAGCACTTTGGGAAGCCGAGGCGGGTGGATCACCTGAGGTCAGAAGTTCGAGACCAGCCTGGCCAACATGGTGAAACCCCATCTCTACTAAAAATATGCAAATCAGCTGGGCGTGGTGGCGAGCACCTGTAAACCCAGCTACTCGGGAGGCTGAGGCAGGAGAATCACATGAACACAGAAGGCAGAGGTTGCCATGAGCCGAGATCGCACCATTGCACTCCAGCCTGAGCAACAAGAGGGAAACTCCATCTCAAAAAAAAAAAAAAAAAAAAAAAAAAGGTCTAATATCCCAAATCTATGAGGAACTTAAACAAATTTACAAGAAACAAAAACGTTTAAAAATGCGCAAAGGAGGCTGCGTGCAGTCACATGCTTGTAATCCCAGCACTTTGGGAGGCTGAGGCGGGTGGATCACCTGAGGTCAGGAGTTTGAGACCAGCCTAGCCAACATCATGAAACCCCATCTTTACTAAAAATATAAAAAATTAGCTGGGTGTGGTGAGGGGCACCTGTAATCCCAGATACTCGGGAGGCTGAGGCAAGAGAACTGCTTGAATCTGGGAGGCAGAGGTGGCAGTGAGTCGAGATCGTGCCACTGCACTCCAGCCTGGGCAACAGAGCAAGACTCTGTCTCAAAAAAATAAAAAATAAAATTTTAAAAATTTTAAAAATGGGCAAAGGCCATGAACAGACACTTCTCAAAGGAAGACATACACATGGCCAAAAAGCATATGAAAAAAAAGCTCAACATCACTAATCATCAGAGAAATGCAAAGCAAAACCACAATAAAACACCATCTCACACTAGTCAGAATGGCTATTAAAAAGTCAAAAAGTAATGGATGCTGGTGAGCTTGAGGAGAAAACGGTATGCTTATCCACTGCTGGTAGAAATGTATTATAAATTAGGTCAGCCTCAGTGGAAAGCAGTCTGGAGATTTATCAAAGAATTTAAAATAGAACTACCATTCAACGCAACAATCCCATTACTGGGCATATACCCAAAGGAATAGAAATCATTCTACCATAAACACATAAGCACATGTATCTTCATCGCAGCACTCTTCACAATAGCACTTGAGCCCAGGAGTTCAAGACCAGCCTGGGCAACATAGTAATACCTCATTCTTTTTTTTTTTTTTTTTTTTTTTTTTGAGACTGAGTCTCACTCTGTCACCCAAGCTGAAGTGCAATGGCGCTATCTCAGCTCCCTGCAACATCCCCTTCCCATGTTCAAGCAATTTTCATACCTCAGCCTCCAGAGTAGCTGGGATTATAGGCGTGAGCCACCACACCCAGCCAGACCTCATCCTTTAATTAAAATTTTTTTTAAATTTTTAAAATAATAATAAACAATAGCAAAGACATGGAATCAACCTAGATGGCTATCAGTGGTGGACTGGTCAAAGAAAATGTGGACATATACCACAGAATGCTACGCAGCCATAAAAAAAGAACAAAATAATGTCCTTTGCAGCAACATAGATGGAGCTGAAGGCCATTATCCTAAGTGATTTAATGCAGGAACAGAAAACCAAATACCACATTTTCTTATTTGTAAGTGGAAGTTAAACACTGAATACACATGGACGCAAAGAAGGGAACAACAGACACCAGACGATGGGGCCTACTTGAAGGTGGAGCGTAGGAGGAGGGTGAGGATTGAAAAACTACCCATTCCATTAGGTACAGTGCTAATTACCTAGTTGATGAAATTATCTGTACACCAATCCCCTGTGACAGGCCATTTACCCATGTAATAAACCTATACATGTACTACCTGAACCTAAATAAAAGTTGGGAAAAAAAAAAAAAAAACTAGTCTGAGACTCACCCTTGGGATCATAAGCATTTTGCTGCTGAACATTAAATGAAGGCATGTTTTCAACATTTTGTTTCTATCTGAGGAACAATCACCCTAGAAAGCTAGCTAACTTGCAGACAGTCACTTGGAATCAGGGTGGGCACTCCAAGACCTTGTCTCTCATCTGTGGCCAGCTCGCTCATGAAGGGCCTTGCTTAAGCTGCAACCAGCCCTACAGTCTCCCTGTTCTCTAGCCAGGGCAATTCTTTTTCTTGCCATTTTACAGCTTCTTTTCTGAGCAAACTGATGCCTGCGTAGAAGGTGATGAGACCAACATGTGCTCTTTTAAAGCGTCGACAGCCCCAGCACTCTTGTAATTGTAAAACAGGCCAGTGGTCTGGTACTATGCTCAGTAATTAACATGCATGACCCTGTTTAAGGCTTACAACCTATAAAGTAATATCAGCACCCACTTTTTACAAGAGAGGAAACACAAAGACTAAACATTGCCTAGGATGCGAGTCTAGCTTTGAATGGATCCAAAGACACTGCTTGCCCTATGATGGCTCTAAGTAACACTGCTCTTAAAGGAGCTCATGGTCCAGTGGAGAATCGGACATTCCATGTGATCCTTGACCACTGACCATTCTCCTACATCTGTCCACTCTCTCTTAAAACAACCCTCTTGTCGTAACAGGGGCAAAGGAACTCAAAGCAAAGACTCGCTGAGACTGCTCAAGTCCATATATGAAATATGCATACTCCAGCTAGGACAATGATGGGGTCTGAACTCCGGGGTCAAGTTGGGTTGGGGGCAGCTGACAGGCAACCATGCAAAGAGGTCTGTTCCTCCCGTCTTTCATCTTACCACTCTCCTACCTCATTTGACCTTTCTGGCACGCCCATCAGTCCGGGTCAGCTCCTTAAATAACTGGACAAGTGGCTGCGCAGTGGAAAATATCATGTAAAAGTTGAACAGGTGGGAGATGAGGAGATGAGTTGCAGGTTTACAGCAACAATGCCAGGTGAGCAAAAAAGCAAGGCTGTCAAGAAGCCGTTATCCGCCTCACAGGACCCTCATGCTATACACCTCACAATGGGCTTTCACATGCCCTAGGCCACAGGTCCTGCCCGTACAATAATCATATGCTAGAGCTTCGTAGAATCATCCCCATTTTGTGAGGCAGGGGTTGGGGAAAAGGCTTGGGCAAAGATTAAGTGACTTAATCAAAGTTTATCTCAAATAATTGTAGATGTAGGACTGGGAAGCATTTCTGATCACTGGAAAACTGCAACTACTGCTACACTATGCTGTGAAGGGAAGCAGCATCTTGGAAGACGGTGTGTGTGACCACCCACAGAATAAGAAAGATTTAGACGAGCCGACAGCAGCAACTATAGTCAGAAAGTCGGAGCAGTGTCAGGGTAACCAAAGGCGCAGGGAAGGAGATGACAAAGGGTCAAGGACAACTGCCAGAGCCTCTTGTGAACTCCTGGGAGAGCCCCCAGGGCCTCCTGAACAGCACAAGCCAGAACAGCTAGGGGCCCCAGGCAGCCCCTGTTACAGATTCTGCTCGAATGACTTCAGGGCAGACTTGTATGTGGACTGGGGGCTGCACGTGCATGCTGTCATGCGTGTCTGTCCTCTCTTGCTCTCATTTCATATACACTCAGGCCCACGAACACACAAACACACATATGCACACAGATAAACACAAAATAAATGCCACTTTTAAGGCTAAACCTTTCTCTGGCCCTGGAAAAAGGGAATCCCCCCAAATAATAAATCAACGGTCACTCAAAGAAAAATTCCACAACTCAAGGCAACTGGAGAAAAATAACTCTGACCCAATTTAGTTCCAGAATCCAGCCCTCTCTCTTCTCTAAACCTTGTTTAGGACAGAAGCAAACACCCCAACACATGCACTGCCCTCAGTAAACACCTATGAAGTAAAGAGAAATCCATTTAATCGATCCACATCTCATGAATGAAAACTGCTGTCATGTGACCAAATCCCCGTTTCCAAAAATAATTCTGCTGCAACTGAGAGAAAAGAAATCCCAAACCACGCTGCCTTCTGTAAGCTCACGCCTGTCTCCCAAAATGAGGAAGAAAAAGAGAAAGAAAAAAAAAAAAGCTGCACACTGACAGCCTTACATAACGGTCTGCATCTCTCCCTGGCTGATGGCAGCAGATTTATAAAATGCCATAAATAGCTCCCTCTCCTGCCACAGGAAACCAGGCTAAGAGGCTGAGCTGCAGAGCCTGCGTACAGCTGGCCTCCTCCTTCGTTTACAATGGAACCTTTACGAGCAGAGCTTTCCGGCACAAAGCAAGTTCAGTGAGACCAGCTGGCCCAGGTCCAGTGAAGATGCACCACCTGAAAGACCCAAAAAGCTGAGTCAGACATTCAAAACTTGGCTGGCGACTCCCGAGAGAGACAGCACTCCCAGGCCAGTGTAGGAATGGTGACCACAGGACATTGCTCTGCAAAGGGGCTTCTCCAGCAAACCAGGCCAACGGGCTTGCTGTTTTGGGTACATAGTGGCCTCCGGACGCTTAATACTGCCAGCCAAGGGGCACGACGCCAGCCTGACAGGCAGCTGGCAGGATGGAGGCAGTTCTCAGAGAGGCATCCCAGCAGGATATTACATGCCCCACTGTAACGTCCAATCAGAAAATCAGAACCTGAAGCAGGGTTCTCTCCACATTCTCAGGACACCAGGAGGAATTCTGGAGGCTGGCCAAAGCCAGGAAGGGTGGTAGGAGTGGTAATCTCATCCCAAATCCCTGTTGGAAATCTGAGACTCCAGGCTGAAAAGCTATTGCTTTGAAGAGGAAAACTTTGCCTGAGAAGGGTTAGATGTCCCGAAGCAGGATGGCCTGCAGCCCACATTGCATGTGTCATCACTCTGAATGGCAGGGGGTCTCTGGGGGAGAAAGAAAAGGGGGAGAGAGAGTGGGTATCTTTTTTTTTTTTTTTGAGACAGACTTTCGCTTGTCATCCAGACTAGAGTGCAATAGTGCGATCTCAGCTCACTGCAACCTCCATTTCCCAGGATCAAGCAATTCTCCTGCCTCAGCCTCCCAAGTAGCTGGAATTACAGGCGCCCACCACCAAAACCAGCTAATTTTTGTATTTTTAGTAGAGACGGGATTTCACCATGTTGGCCAGGCTGGTCTCAAACTCTTGCTCTTGGGTGATCAGCCCACCTCAGCCTCCCAAAGTGCTGGGATTACAGACATGAGCCACCACGCCCTACCAAGAGTGGGTATCTATGGGAAGGCAAGCACCTGGGGCCTCATGCCTCCCAGTGAACAGGCCTGGATTAGGAATGAACCTTATCCACCCAAAAACAGCGGCTGCCAAGCTGTCACAGCCTAGGATAAAGTTAACAAAATAACTAGAGTGAGAAAGAGGTCCGGGAATATGGGACATGGGTAGGAGAGGAAGAGAACAGTTCTGTTTGTGATTCCTCCTTAGGTCCTGGCTTTCACTGCACTCACTCCGTAGGAGGAACTTGGCTTTTAAAAAATCATGACTCCAACAAGGAAAAGAGCAATATTGGCTGCCACTTACTGCAAAGTGACTGTGTGCTTAGCCAGGCCTGGGTGCATTACCCCAAGGAGTTATTTGTCCAAAAACTCACAGCAGCCCATGAGGCCCACAACATCACCCTCCTCAAGTCACCAATGGGGAAACTAGGGCTGGAGATAACTTGCCCACAGGCCTAAGAACCAACAGGTGAAGCTGGTGTTGAACCCAAGGCTGTTTATTACAATAGCTCCTGGCAAACATGCTAATAAATGCATAATATAAACATCAATGTACTTCACTGTATTCTTATTTCACCACTTACAGATTTAAAATTTATCAGAACAAACAGTTGGGACATAAAAAGAACCAGCAGGCACAAGCTACTGTGCCACACCTTCTGTATCTTTATTAAAGACAATTCAGTGCTGGGCATGGTGACTCATGCCTGTAATCTCAACACTTTGGAAGACCAAGGCAGGAGGATTGCTTGAGCCCAGGAGTTGGAGACCAGCCTGGGCAACATAGTGAGGCCTCATCTCTACAAAAAATAAACAAAATTAGCCAGATACAGCAGTGCGCACCTGTGGTCCCAGCTACTTGAGAGGCTGAGATGGGAGTATTGCTTTAGCCCAGGAGTTCAAGGCTGCCGTGAGCCATGATGGCGCCACCACACTCCTGCCTGGGTGACAGAGTAAGATCCTGTCTCAAAACAACAGCAACAACAATAAAATTCAGTAATAAAAGTTTTCAGGAAAAAAAATGTCACTAGTGATCAAAGAAATGAAAAATAAAACAAGTATGAGATACTATCATGTTATCTGTCAAACTGGCAATTAATTATATTAATTATTTATAATTAATATAATTATAATTATTATTCATAATTATTATAATTATAATAATTATTATTATTCATAATTATTATAATAACTATTGCTGCTGACAAGGGTGCAGGTAACAAGCTCACTCACACCCAGGAACATGAATCAAAAGCAATTCCAGGCTGGGCACAGTGGATTAAACCTGTAATCCCGGCCTTTGTGGGGCCAAGGCGGGCAGATCACCTGAGGTCCAGAGTTTGAGACCAGCCTGGCCAACATGGTGAAACCCTGTCTCTACTAAAAATGCAAAAATTAGCCAGGTGTGGTGGCGGGCACCTGTAATCCCAGCTACTGGGGAGGCTGAGGCTGGAGAATCGCTTGAACCCGGGAGGCAGCAGTTGCAGTGAGGGGAGACTGCGCCACTGCACTCCAGCCTGGGTGACAGAACAAAATTCTGTCTCAAAAAAAAAAGCAATTCCACTTCTTCAGTTATTTTCTAAGAAAAATCATAACTGCATACAAAGATGTAACTTTCCTCAGCAGTTATATAACTGTTAAAAATTGGAAAATGAAAATGTCTAATAATACTGATTTTGATTAAATAAGGCATGGTCCTCCCATATATCATGTCTGCACATTTTTCACCACAACGCCATTTCCAGTAACACTGCAGAGAATCACATGGTGGCCAAGAAAAGACGCTCTAGAGATAGATTAAGTGGGAAAATTGCAGGTCACAAAACAAAGTACAGAATATAGTATCCCTATTTAAATAAAAGTGAGACATGTAAAAATATAATTAAAGAATATTTCCAATAGAATTTCATCTTCACAGGCAGACCATCCCCACCCAGAGAAATACATCCAACAGTCCTCAGTTACCTCCTTATTAGGTACTTGTCTGACCTCCAACATGACAAACCCAGCCCTCCCCTGTTGACAGCTAAGTGAGCTTAGCACCACTGCACCATCCGACCCACCCATAACTTTTCTTTTTTCTTTTTTTTTTTGAGACAGGGTCTTGCTGTGTCACCCAGGCTGGAGTAAAGTGACACAAGCAAGTCTCACTGCAGCCTTGACCTCCCGGGCTAAAGCAATCCTCCCACCTGTAGCTGAGACTACAGGCATGCACCACCACGCCCAGCTAATTGTGTGTGTGTGTGTATATACACAGTCAGGGTCTCACTATGTTGTTCAAACTCCTGTGCTCAAGTAATGCACCCACCTCAGCTTCCAAAGTGCTGGGATTACAGACATGAGCCACCATGCCTAGCCTCCACAACTTTTAAACAGCCTGACATGAGCACATTTCCTAACCATGACTACACAGACACAAATGCATTTCCTAAAGTACTTCCACTATAAGTTCAAATCCTGTAGGGACAGAAAGACACAGTCAGAATAGGTCACTGTATGATGTTGGCCAAGTTAAAATCAGTTAACCCCTACAACCCTCAGTTTTCTCATCTATAAAATGGGAAGCTGTTACAAGGATTAAACGAGCTAATACAATAATGTAAAGAAAAATGCACTCTAAGCATACAGTTAATGTTCAATAAATGACTGCTCTACAGTTACCACTGAGGTAATTTCCCATAAGTAGTAAGGGTTAACTTGTTGGCGAAATGGAGACCCTATTTCAATAGGTATTGTCCTACAAACAGACTATGTGCAAATTTCAAGTAGAGACGAATTATATTTCATTCCTTAAAGACTCACTTCTACCTGTTTTAGTTCACTGTTGTGTCCTCAGTGCCTGGAACACGGTAAAACTCAAAGAGTGCAAAATGAACTTAATGATTCACTCTTTATGCCCAAGGCACTGAAAATAACCAACCCAACTCTTTTCTCTTAACTACAGCTAATGGACCACATGCAGTGGCATGCCTGTAATCACAGTGCTTCGGGAGACCAAGGCTGAAGGATCATTTAAGGCCAAAAGTTCGAGACCAGCCTGGGCAACATAGTGAAACTCAGTCTCTACAAAAGATTAAAAAAGAAAAAAAGTTAGCTGGACGTGGTGGCACACCTGTAGTCCCAGCTACTTGAAAGGCTAAAGTAGAAGGATCGCTTGAGCCTAGGAGTTCAAGGCTGCAGTGAGCTATGATCACACCACTGCTGCTCTCCAGCCTGGGTGGCAGAGTAAGATCCTGTTTCTTCTTTTTTTTTTTTAGACAGAGTCTCGCTCTCTTGCCCATGCTGGAGTGCAGTGATTATGATCTTGGCTCACTGCAACCTCCGCCTCCCAGGTTCAAGGGATCTTCCGCCTCAGCCTCCCATTACAGGCACCCACCATCACGCCCGGCTAATTTTTGTACTTCTGTAGAGACGGAGTTTCACCATGTTGGCAAGGCTGGTCTCGAACTCCTGACCTCAGATGATCTGCCCGCCTCGGCCTCTCAAAGTGCTGGGATTACAGGAGTGACCCACTGCGCCTGGCCATAAGATCCTGCTTCTAAATAAATAAATACATTTTTTGAAAATTCACATGGAAAAAGGTGATTGCCAAAAAAGAAAAAAAAACTAACTACGTGATAGGCCAATTACAAACATATCAATATCAACCTATAAAGCACAATGGATATTCACTGAACCAACTGTCGCATTAGGAAATGAGAAGAAAGTGTGTGAGGGGCTTCCTGACTAACACTACAGAATGACAGTCCACCAGGATCACATTGCCGTCAACTTCTGAAATTAATCTGCAAAACTTACAAAGCCTGAAAAAAAAAAAAATCTCATCTAAGCACTAAAGGGGAACTGGAAGTTTTTGTTTTAAGGCATGTATTTTGAAAAGTTTCATTTCTATTTCCATATTAGCTTCTCAATGTGCACTGAACTACAGTGAAATCACAGCCTTGTGTTTTTGAAAACAGATTCTGCAGCTATGGAAACTGAATCTGTCACTATATTTTGACTTCACTGTAGGATCGAGTGAGAAGAAACATCTCAGCCCGGACACAGCCACTTAGCTACATATCTTGTTCTTTTTAATAAAAAATGTGCTTAACCATAATTGACAAAGTCCTTAAATACCTAATTTTCAGAACAAACTGTATCACATAAAAGTTCCTTCAGTTAACAATTCCTTCAGGCTCGTGTGAAAAAGTACTTGATTTTATTAATTCTAAATAATCCCTAGAGAGGCAAGGGGGTTTTGCTTGGTCCACAATTAAAAGTCAGATTCTAGACTTAAATCAACTTGAGTACAAAGAAGAAATTCTCTACGAAGCACTAACACACACATCTGGGAAACGACAGCTCAAATTTTATCAGCCACTTTTGATAAGTAATCCAAAGCAGACCTCAAGATTACTCAAGAAGTAGCACAAATAATTAGGAATGTGTGGTATTGAGAGAAGAAGCCAAGAGCCTCTGTATAAGAATCCCCCAGGAAACAGTGAGGTCAAGGACCAAAGACACAGAGGGGCTAAAGGGAGCACATCATCCCTCCCCCCAGCCCCTGAAAAAGGCACCCCATTAGCCTTTCTCATTGAAATTAACAGGGCCGTTACTAGGAAACGGGTCCAAACAGTCATGTACACACCAAGTGAATAAACAGTGACAGCTGGGCCTTCAGTGACCATGTCATGGGATGGCAAGATGGCCTTAGAGTGAGTGGGCTGTGATAAGCCAATGCATAAAAGTAATAGCAAGATAGGAAATGAAAACAGGAAACACACAGGCTACAAACTGCATGCATGGTAGGCAGGGAGGACTGAGCCGTGCCTAAGCTAAGGAATACTAGCTCCTCACTGGTCCTTGCTGGGCACTACTTCCAGAAGCACCAACGGCGGAAGGTCCCACTTCTGCACGGCTCATGACCTTGCTGCTTGGGGTGGGGGTGGGGGTCGATGTCCACACCCAGCCTTCCCACGCTGGGTGCTCTCTCTCTCTCTCTCTCCATGACCATCCCATTTCAGAGCAAGTGAATCCCTCCATGGACTTAGGGGTTCTAACACACTTCAGAGCTTCCCCTTCACAACTAAAACTTTTCTTTTTTTTGAGACAGAGTCTCACTCTATTGCCTAGGCTGGAGTGCAGTGGCACAATCTCAGCTCACTGTAACCTTTGCCTCCGAGAATCAAGAGATTCTCGTGCCTCAGCCTCCCAAATAGCTGGGGCTACAGGTGTGTGCCACCATGCCTGGCTAATCTTTGGAATTTTAGCAGAGACGGGGTTTTGCCATGTTGGCCAGGCCAGTCTTGAACTCCTGGCCTCAAGTGATTTGCCTGCCTCAGCCTCCCAAAATGCTGGGATCACAGGCGTGAGCCACTGGACCCAGCCTCAACTAAAACTTTAATAGGGGTTTGTTCTGTTGGAAGGGTAGAAAAGGCATTTTTGGCACAAGGAATAAGAAAACCCTTTAAAAGCTCAACATGGAGTTAGGATTCAAGAGATAGCCAGGTGTGGTGGCTCAAGCCTATAATCCCAGCACTTTGGGAGGTTGAGGCGAGTGGATCACTTGAGCCCAGGAGTTGGAGACCAGCCTGGGAAACATAGTGGAACACCATTTCTATAAAAAAATTAAGAATGAGACAGGTGTGGTGGTACACGCCTATAGTCCCAGATACTTGGGAGGCTGAGGTGAGAGGATAGCTTGGGCCCAGGAGGTCGAGGCTGTAGTGAGTCATGATGGCACTACTGCACTCCAGCCTGCACAACAAAATGAGACCCTGTTTCTTAAAAAATAAATAAAACTATTCCAGTACTTCCACAATTCTGTGGCCCAATTATGTTGGGTAAAGGCTATTCAGTTTGATATTGTCTGATTAATATCAAACTGAATAGCCTTTACGCAACATAATCACAAGCTGAGTACCCCAAATCTGAAAATTCAAAACCCAAAATGCTCCAAAATCCAAAACTTTTGAGCACTGGCATGGTGTTGAAAGGAAATACTCATTGAAGTATTTTGGATTTCAGAATTTCAAACCTGGGATGTTCAATCCGCAAGTATAATGCAAATATTCTTAATTCCAGAAGAATCTGAAATCTAAAACACTTCTGGTTCCAAGCATTTTGGCAAAGGGATACTCAATCTGTATTTTTATTTATCTTATTTTATTTATTTATTTGAGATGGGAGTCTCGCTCTGTGGCCCAGGATGGAGTGCGGTGGCACAATCTTGGCTCACTGCAACCTCCACCTTCCAGGTTCAAACAGTTCTCGTGCCTCAGACTCCAGAGTAGCTGGGGTTACAGGTGTGTGCATCCATGCCCAGCTAATTTTTGTTTGTTTGTTTGTTTGTTTTGAGACAGAGTCTTGCTCTGTCACCCAGGCTGGAGTGCAGTGGCGCGACCTCAGCTCACTGTAAGCTCCACCTCCCGGATTCACACCATTCTCCTGCCTCAGCCTCCCGCCATTCTCCTGCCTGAACCTCCTGCGTAGCTAGGACTATAGGCACCTGCTACCATGCCTGGCTAATTTTTTGTTATTTTTAGTAGAGACAGGGTTTCACCGTGTCAGCCAGGATGGTCTTGATCTCCTGACCTCGTGATCTGCCCGCCTCGGCCTCCCAAAGTGCTGGGATTACAGGTGTGAGCCACCATGCCTGGCATGTATTTTTTAAGTATAGCTACTTAACCCATTAAAAATATACCCTTACTATTCTATGGTAAAATTAATTCACAAATCATTATGAGAAAAGCTTTTCATATCAGGAAGTCTAGCACAAATATTTTAACTTCAGTATTTTAGGAAACAGTCTATAGTCTGCTTAAAGTATTTATTATGTATTTGTATTTCCATAATAAGTTCATAATGAAGCAACATTCATTCTATGCTATTAGTCTAGGATCACATGGTAGCTTCCTAGATTCTAGGTGATAATATTTTAGAGTTCTTAGAAATTACATTTGGGTAACTCAGACAGCAAGTTCAAAAATTTATTTTATTTCTTAATCTTCCAACATTGACATCAGACTGTAAGAGAATTCTTTTTAAAGGTTTTTTTTTTTAATTTGTATCCCTCTATTTATTTATTCATTTGAGACCGGGTTATAAGACTGGCTAATTTTTGTATTTTTGGTAGAGACAGGGTCTTGCTACGTTGCCCAGGCTGGTCTCAAACCCCTGGGCTCAAGGGATCCACCCACCTAGGCTTGAAATGTGCTGGGATTACAGGCTTGAGCCACAGCGCCCGCCTGGCTGCGAGCATTCGCATTTTTGTGATGTATCATTACCACCCAATACAGAAGGCATTTGTGATCTCCCTCAGGTCAGATAGTAATAAGGGCTGGGCATGTAAAATGGGTTCCCTCCCATCTCTAGTGCTCTGAAAGGGATGACTGGGCCTCTCTCTCACGTGGATATAATTTCCACATGGCCACCAGGGCTTCTCACATGCTGGCTGGATCCCAAGAAGGGGTGTTCAAAGTATGAGACAGAAATTACAGATCTCTTTAGACTCAATTTTAAAAGTTACACAGTGTCACTTCTACCGCAAACTATTGGTCAAAATACATCACCGGGCCAACGCAGATTCAAGGGGAAAGGTTACAGACTCTACATCTGGATGGGAGTATGGTAAGAACTTTCAGCCCACCACAGGGCCAGAGAGCAGACAATAAGGCACAGCTGGGCTGCCCCGGCACATATGCTTTTTTCACTGTGTGGCTCCCACCACTTTTTTTTTTTTTTTTGGAGACAGAGTCTCACTCTGTCACCAAGGCTGGAATGCAGTGGCACAATCTCAGCTCACTGCAACCTCTGTCTCCCAGGCTCAAGCAATCATCCCACCTCAGCCTCCCAAGGAGACGGGGCTACAGGCGTGTCCCACCAGGCCTGGCTAGTTTTTGTAATTTTTGTAGAGACAGGGTTTTGCCATGTTGTCTAGGCTGGTCTCAAACTCCTGATCTCAACTGATTTGCCCGCCTCAGCCTCCCAAAGTGCTGGGATTACAGGCACAAGCCACCACACCCAGCCCCACCTTTACAAAAGAGCAAGAACTGCATCACAAAGGCATTCCTGGTTGGGCAGGGGCAGTGGGGAATGTACTGACAGACAAAACCCGGATGCTCCTTCAGCAATGGCTTAGGGCAGGGCTTGGCAAACTTTTCCCGCGAAGCGGAAAATAATAACTATTTCAGGCCTTGAGGGCAATACAGTCTCCGTTGCAATTCCGCAGTTGTAGCTGGAAGGCAGTCAGAAAATATGGAAATGAATGGGTGTGGCTGTATTCCAATAAAACTTTATTTATAACAGCAGGCGGTGGGATGGATTTGACCCATGGTCTGTGAGAATAAGCACTGGATTTGGTACTGGAAAACCAGGCCTGGAATTCTGACTTTACTACTCACTACCAGTGTGACCTTGTTTGAGTTTCTTAAAATTTCTGAAGCACGTCCTCCATATCTCAAAAACAGGGATAATGTCATCCATCTCCTAAGGTGGCTCTGGGGAGTGAGGTAATACAGGTGAAAGTGCAGTGCACATCCCCTCATAAGACAAACACGCCTTCACTGCAGTGCAGAGCCTGGAAAACAGCTCAAGGGGCTGTAGGGAAGTCCCACCAGGCAGGACACAAGGGAGTGTCAGGCACTGTTTTCCAACAAAGTGAAGACTTCACTGATGAGAATTATATTAGGCAGCAGCAGCCTAAATAGTCTTTGTTAAAGACCTATCCTTGTTTTGCTTTTTCTCAACAGCATAATACTTTGTTTTAAGGCATACAGATAGCGCTGACACAACCTATTTCACAAACCCTATTTCACACAGAGTAGCATGCATGGTCAGTGAAAAGGAAAATAAAAACCACCAACATGAAGAAGCCTCAGAGGTGCCAGGACTCAAATACAAAGTTTTTCAGAGGGGTAGCAGTATAGTCATGCTGTATTTAAGCTGGTTTTGTAGATTCTGAAATGTTAAAAAATAGTCTCCAAGACAAGCATATTTTTTAATGCTAAAAGTATAACTGGAATTATTAAACATGTGAATGCAAACTTGATTTTTTTTGAAATTGGCCCTAGTAGGAAAAAAAATATTCAAAATTAAGACCTATCCTTAGCCAAAGGAATCAAAAGCACTGAAGCATTTTGTTTGCACCTCCGCTAATACGGCACTCCTTTATAATACCAGTAGTTCACCAAGAGATTGAGAGTTTCACAAGAGTAACAGGCAGCACTGTACTCCTGCTTTTGGAAAATTCCACTTCATCCACAGGAAAGTGGACATGTTAGAAGGTGAGTGACTTGTCCATTGTCAAAATCTTGTCTGCTGTAGGATTCCTGCCACACATATGAGCAGGATCTCTCTCAGCCATGACTCCTCTTGCAATTTCAATGTCCCCTTCTCCCAAATGGGCAGCCTTAGCCAGAAGCAGCTGTCCCAGAGCCTCCACCCGAGACAGCTGCATTCTGGAGGGATGGCGTCAGCAATAGCCTAGAAGGGCGTGGTTTCCCTCCTGAGCCCCAGAGTGAGTGCCAATGGCTGTCATCATTTGAATTGAATATCCGTTTCCAAAATAACCTGGACCATTTCCAAGGCAAAGTACTACTGAATAAAGCTCAAATCCATGCAGATGGGTAGATGGATGGGCTTGTTGCTCCTGATTCATTAGTTAATAAACTGGTATATATTGTTGGTGTTCTGATTCATAAATTAGATGGGAAAGAAGTGAGATGACTTAGCATAACACAAGCCAAAGTGAACATTCCCAAATTCTCTTGTATTTGTACTTGCACGGAATGGAATTCTCACATGATGGCTGGGATTTCTATATTAAGTGTCTCAGGCCAATCTTCTACTAAATAAAGTTCAAGTGGCACTGGGTTCACATGATATTCAGAGCTCTGTAGCAGCTGATTGTTTTCCCCGTATCTCCTGCTTTGGAACTTCAGCTTCAAAGTAGCTCCTTGCCTGCTTTTGCCATGGCCAGGGTCCACTCTGTATCCAGGAGGTGTAAATATGATGAGCTATGAAAAGGCTGACAGACAACAGGGCTGCCTCCCTGGCACTGTGTGTGTGTGTGTGGGTGTGCGTGGGGGGGTGGGGTGTGCATGGGGGGGTGTGCGTGGGGGAGGTGTGCATGGGGGGGTGCGTGTGTGGGTGGGTGTGTGCATGCACGCATGCACAGATGTAGACACACACCCATCACTTGAAAACTTAAGGTCAATGGTTACGTAAGATGTTAACATTAGAGGAAGCTGGGTCAAGGGTGTATGGGAACTCTGCACACTTTTTGTAACTTTTCTATAAATCTAAAATTATACCATAACAAAGAACTTTTTAAAATGCACTTTTAAGTCAGCTTCCAGGCCTGAAGCATACCATTTAGGTTTTCACAGGGTCCTTCAGCATAAGTCATTAAGTCCCTTGGAGGGTCAGTTTATTTAGCCCTAAATGAACCTGATGAGATCCCCAAAAAACTGCAAAACAAACAAACAACAACAACAAAAAAGGCCGGGCGCGGTGGCTCATGCCTGTAATCCCAGCATTTTAGGCGGCCAAGGTGAGCAGATCAACTGAGGTCAGGAGTTCGAGACCAGCCTGGCCAACATGGCGAAACTCCGTTTCTACTAAAAATATAAAAAAAATCAGCCAGGAGTGGTGGCGGGCACATGCAATCCCAGTTACTCAGGAGGCTGAGGCAGGAGAATGACTTGAACCAGGAAGGCGGAGGTTGCAGTGCGTAGAGATCGCACCACTGCACTCCAGCCTGGACAACAAGAGCAAAACTCCGTCTCAAAAAAAAAAAAAAAAAAAGCAGCCAAAAATGACCTGACAAACAGGTGTGATATTAATATGACAACATTCACATTAAGGCTTGTTCCCAATGACAGACTGAGACTATAAACCAGTGAGACTGCTAAGGGACCACGCCTGGAAAAAGAGGCACTCCTCTACCGTTACATTACTCTCCTGTCCCACAGTTTCAAAGCTGCCCCGTCTCTCCTCCCTGCTCCTCAGAACCCAGAGGTCTTGGTATCTGCTATTCCCTCTACCTGGAATCTCCCTTTACCACCCGCCCTCACCCACCACCACCCCCCACCCCCCACCGTGGTGCTGTAGCCATCTCTGTCTTTTTTCATATCTTAACTGACATCTCAACCCCTCGGCATCCCCTTCCTTTATTTTTCTTCTTAGAAGCTATTCCTTCTGATACACTACAATATACTCATTTGTTTATTTCCCCTCTCTCCCAAATAGAATGTAAGCTCCATGTGGATGGAGCTTTTGTGTGTTTTGTTCACTGCTAACAGGATTTCTTGAAAACCTTCTATGGGCTTTCCCCTGTGAGTCTTATTGACATGGTTCTCTGGAATCATTGGGAAAAAAACAGAATGTTTTTTAAAAAGAAAAGACATTTCTTATGCAGGGGGAAAGAAAGAAGTGATTAATATCAAACAAGCACTTTCAGAATTGCTATGTACCTGTAACACTGTCCTCCATGCTTTATTGTATCATTGTCCACACTAAGTATATTACTTTATATAATCTCACTCATTCCTCAATGATCTGTGAAGTCAAAGGAGCAGGCGTTATTATGCCCACTGCACAGAGGAAGAAACTGAAGTACCACAAGCAAACGGTGAAGCCAGAACAAGAATCTAAGTTACCCTATATCCTGCCTAGAAGAGCCTCCATCACAGCTAGCTGTCTCTCTGTAGAAGAATAAAAATACTCTGAAATAAGTCACTTTTAAATTTTTTTCTGGAAAATAAAAAGCTTTCTGAGTTGGATGATTTTTTTAATAGAACACAAATATGAAGGAAAACTATACATGACCTGTCACGTATATTCTTGTAGGAAAATGCACAGAAGTGTCCACGAGGAAGAAAGGAAATCCCCGAGGCCTGCTGATAGGCACAGGGAGAAACAGGCCACAGTTCTCTTTTAGCCACTGTTTTGAAAATTTTATTAGAATTCATAAAGACTATCAAAAAGATAACTGATGAAGACAAGTCATTATCTTTCTAAAATATGGTTAACTCAGGTCCTATCCTGGAGTGGAGAGCAGGGATGGGAATCTCAAAATCTGTATACACACAGAAGCACACTTGACAGGGCCCTGAAGTCCCAGCCTGGGCAACACAAAGAGGCCTCGTCTCTAATAAAAATTTTTTAAAATTAGCCAGACATAGTGGTGCATGCCTATAGTCCCAGCTACTCAGGAAGCTGAGGGGGAGATTCACTTGAGCCTGGGAGGTTGAGGCTACGGCAAGCCATGATCGCACCACTGCACTCCAGCCTGGGCAACAGAACAAGACCCTGTCTCAAAAGGAAAAAAAAAAAGTTCCCTGAAGTCCAAAGCCTACTTATATCATACGTATGTATATTTGTGTGTATACATATACATACAAATATATACACGCATGCATACACACCTGGATTTATTTTAAATTCAGTAAATTAGCACTTTATCTTTAAAAAAATTGCAGCACAGAGCAGATGGTAAAGAGTAAATCTCTTAAGATACACATTTTTTCACATTTCAATATCTCTAAAATTGAATTTTGTCTTATAGCCAATCGTCCTTTACTATGCTTACTTTGTAGCATTTTTTGCTTTCTTAGAGGTACATAAAGCAATGGCGTATCTTACGATCTGTTGTGTGTGGGGGTGGGAGCTCAGCGCAACAATTCAAATGGGCCACCAAACAATGGGCAAGGCCCACAATGGACATTAAAGGGAGATCCCTGCATCAGCCAGGAGGTAGGACAGGTTGACTTTAAAGGTTCCCTCCAGGCCAGGCATGGTGGCTCATGCCTGTAATCCCAGCACTTTGAGAGGCCGAGGCAGGCAGATCGTCCAAGGTCAGGTGTTCAAGACCAGACCAGCCAACATGGTGAAACCTCGTCTCTACCAAAAATACATTAAAAAATAAGCTGGGCGTTGTGGCGGGGGCGCCTGTAATCCCAGCTACTGGGGAGGCTGAGGCAGGAGAATTGCTTGAACCCGGGAGGCAGAGGTTGCAGTGAGCTGAGATCACACCACTGCACTCCAGCCTGGGCAACAAGAGTGAGACTCTGTCTCAAAAAATAAATAAATTAAATTAAATTTAAAAATAAAGGTTCCCTCCAGTCCTCAGTTATCATAATAAAGATGAACATGATAAAATGAAATTTAAAGGCAAAAGCATACTTACAAACAAACCTTGTCTTCGTCAATCTCCACAACTGCCAAGGTACATGAGTATTATCTATATTTTAAAGATGAGGAGGTTCCAAGGAGTATTTTACCCAGAAGCCGGCCACAAGTCTCACTTCCCAATGAAATGCCCACTGTGGCAGAGCAGTAAGAGAAGCAGCAGCCAAACCAGAAGAGCTTAAAGGTGGCAAAAATAACCCAACCAAGGGGCGAAGGGCAAACCTGGGTAGCAGTAAAGGAGGAAATGATATTTGAGTTCAGCTTTACAAGGAAGCTCACTGAATGACATGTTCAGGTTTACAGGCATTTAAAATGAAAACGCCTTTCAGTTGGTTGTATTTTCTGGTTCCTTCAAATACTTAAGAATAAAAGCACAAACTGATTAACATGGTGTGGGCCACGTGTCAGGTGAACCAGGGTGAGTTCTCCAGGTTACAGGACACTTGATGGAGGAGAGACATGTGGCCTGCCCAAGATGCAAATGAGACAGAGCCAACCCCAGAATCTAAGTTCGTCTGCTCCCTTTCTGCTTGGCCACACACAGCAGGTCAGTGCTCGCCTTCCAGCAGGTTCTCCTCAGATCACAAGATGAGAGCAGCAGATACAGCATCACCAGCAAACATAACAAAACCTCCCCAGGAAACTGCAGCCCACTTGTTCTGATCCCAATCGGCCCAGTCACAACTACAGCAAAGGGAATGGGGCCACTGTGATTGGCCTGGACCAATCAATACCCACTGGACGCCTCCTCAACCCCTACTCCAGCATGCTGCAAAGGAGGCTTAAGAATGGAATGAAATCTGGATTCTATTAGGAAAGAAGAAAGTGTGGCAGAGATGGATGTGAATTGGCAATCAATTTCTGTTACTCCCATCATTCACCCTTCATTCCTTCCCTTCTTCCTTCATTCAAGAAGCAGGACCGTGAACCTACTGTCAGTCTTTGTGGAGAAAACAATTGCACAAAACTGGATTCCAGCCCTCCAGGAGCTCATGGTCCATCCATATTTACATAAGAATATTCCATTTTCCTTGGTATCCAAAGTAGCACTGGACAGCCCAGGTGGTCTAAACAGCAAAGAGTAATTTAGAGTGCCTTTAATTACTGCACCTTAAAATGCACCAGTGTCCTAGTTCCCATCTTCATGATCACTGCCAGCCAGGAGGTTGCTGGATCTCAATCGGCCAAAGTGGCAGAAGGTGCCCTTCACCAGGTCCCTGTTCTATTCATGGCAGCTGTGCACGGCTCAGGTTACAGGTTGGTTCAAATCCACAGAAAACTGGCTCCTCTAACTGAGGCAATTTTGGTACTTTACTTTGTCTCTCACACAAGATTTTTATTTTTAAAATCCTAATATTGGAAATAGAAATGTTGAGCTAAAAGGTATTAAGAAGGATGTAGAATAGCCTATTATTACAATCGGGGCAGAAAAAAGGACTGTGAATTCAAAAATATACAAGCACTCAATATTGTATCCTAACATGGCATACATTTAAAGGTTAAGATATGAAAAATGCATACTTTTATGTTGCACTTGGGACAATATTAAAAAGTGGAAATTTTAACCTTTCTTCTAGATTTCTGGGTAAACAAAAGAATGTTTTTAATTTCAAAATTTCTAATAATTCTCCAGGGTAAAATAATCTCTTTAATAATCAGCTAATAACTTTGCTCAATATAATTTTAAAATCAATTATATAAAATATTTCTGCTTCTGTTGAAATGTTTTTAACATCTGTTATCCAATAATTATTTCAATAATAATTTCAAAAGTCAACAAGCACATGAAAAAATGCTCAACATCATTAACCATCAGGAAAATGCAAATCAAAACCATAATGAGATACCACTTCATACCCACAAGGATTTCTATAATCAAAAAGACAGATAATAACAAGCATTGGCAAGGACATGGACAAACCAGAACCCTCACTCACTGCTGGTGGGAATGTAAAATAGCGCAGCCACTTTGGAAAACAGTCTGGCAATTTATCAAAATGTTAAATACAGAGTTACCACATGATCTAGCAATTCCTCTCATAGGTATCAACATAAAGAAATGAAAACAAATGTCCACAATAAAAAAAAGTCTACAGATGTTCACAGCAACATTATTCACAATAGCCAAAAAGTGGAAATAATCCAAAAGTTTACCAACTAATGAAAGGATAAACTAAATATTAAAAATACATAACAATGGAATATTATACAGCAATAATAAGGAATGAAGTACTGATACCTACTACAACATGGGTGAACTCTGAAAACGTTATGCTAAGTGAAAAAAGCCAGTCACAAAGGACTACATATTGTATGATTCCATGTATAACAAATGTCCAAAAGAGGAAAGTCTATACAAACATAAAGTAGATTAGTAGTTGCCTGGGGCTAGAGGATTGGGGGAAATGGGGAGTAACTGCTAATGGATACAGGGTTTCTTTTGCGGGTGAAGAAAGTGTTCTAAAATTTATTGTGGATGGCCGGGCACAGTGGCTCACATCTATAATCTCAGCACTTTGGCAGGCGAGGAAGGAGGATCGCTTGAAGCCAGGAGTTCAAGACCAGCCTTGGCAACATAAGGAGACTCCATCTTTACAAAAAAATTAAAAAATTAGCAGAGCATGGTGGCACACGCCTGTGATCTCAGCTACTCAGGAAGCTGATATGGGAGGATTGCCTGGGCCCAGGAGGTCGAGGCTGCAGTAAGCCATGATCACACCATTGCATTCCAGCTTGGGCAACAGAGCAAGAGAACCTGTCTCAACAAATAAGATTTGCTGTGGTGATGTTGCACAACTCTGTAAACACTGAAAACCATTGAATTCCATACTTTAGATGTGACAACTGAATGGTATGTTAATCATATCTCAATAAAGCTGTTATTTTAACAAAGCTTTTTAAAAAGTCTATGGGAGAGAGTTTTATAAAGAGAGAGAGTTTTACGGGCAGTTTCTTTGGGGTGTCAGAACTATTTTGTATCCTTGGGGTGGTTACATGACTCTATACATGTGTTAAAATTCAGGCTGGGTGCAGTGGCTCACTCTTGTAATCCCAGCACTTTGGGAGGCCAAGGAGGACAGACCACTTGAGGTCAGGAGTTTGAGGCCAGCCTGGCCAACATGGCGAAACCCTGTCTCTACTAAAAATACAAAAATTAGCTGGGTATGATGGCACATGCCTGTAAATCCAGCTACTATGGAGGCTGAGACAGGAGAATTTCCTGAACCTGGAAGGCAGAGATTGCAGTAAGCCAGATCGCGCCACTGTATTCCAGCCTGGGTGACAGAGTGAGACTCTGTCTCAAAAAAAAAAAAAAAAAAAAAAAAAAAAAAAAAATCTAGTTTGCTGTAGATCATTTACAAATTAAAAAAAAATTTAAGTCTACAGCTTTGGGCATACACAGCTGTATTATTAACAAAAGTTCAGAGATAATCATGGCAATGGTTAGTTTGTAAAATGGAAAATGATTCAACTTTCACTGACTTAGTTATGTTTGCTTCAGGGAATAAAAAAGTTATTTCCACTTTTCACCATACATACAATTTCTACTATATATAAAATAACTTCAAAAATATTTCTACCATGCTGGGAACAAGTACGATGGTGGTAAAAGAGGAGAAGGCTGTTTTTATAGAAAACAGCTGAGTCTTCCAATGGAATGAATGCTTCTTCCAGGCACCAGGCTAGGTAGAAATGTGAAGTCCTTGGTTCTTGGTCTGGCTATATAACTGATTTGCTGGTGAGGTGACCTGGGGTGAGTTATTTATGATTCTCCTGCTTAAACTCACCTACGGCTTCCTATCATTGCTAAAATAAAACCCAAGCTCCTGATTCTGGCTTGCAAGGCTCTCAAGGTGCACCCTGTACCTGCCTCTCCTTGCCTCTGCCTACCAGGCTGGGGCACCAGATGAGGAAGGACAGCAGGGTGGACCATGAAACCAGCCAGGCCTGACTCTCCAGCCAAAGGGGGTGCTGAAGGAGGTCACTCACTTCAAAAGTATTTATTGATTATGTTGACAAAGTGCTTAGCACAGTACTTAGCACATAAGGAGCCCTGAATATTTCGTTATTCAGGTAAATAATGAAATTCATTTTTCATTGAGTATGCACAGATACATACTCAAATGTTAGCTTGCTTTATAAGGACAGGTCGCTGTCTACCCTGAATCCTCAACACCCCAGTGGTAATTAGCAGGTGCTCACTAAATCTACTGACTCCACGATGTTGGTCTTAGGAAACAGGGAAGATTCAGGGAGAGTCAGAGTGTTTAGAGAAATTCCAATTAAACTCAAAAGAGACCTTTGTGCATCCAAGTATCTTTTGTCACAGCTTAAGCAAGCATCAGAGTAGGGCAGACTGATTGCAGGGCCAGAGATTTTGGTCCCAATTGTGTGGGATGAGCAGTCAATCCATCAAAGGTAACAGAAAAAGCAAAGGTAGCCCTCGGCACGTGGGGTTTCATTTTCCCTTGGTGAGGGAGGGGAAAGGCGGTATGATGGACTTGGGATACTCCTTCACCCGGGCAGTTCAGGCCTACTCTACTTGACCAGCCCAGGTCAGGCAGGGGCAGCGTGGACTTGGCTCGGGCAGGTCCTGGGTGTGGGTGCCAACCCAGCTTTTGCCAGGTCCTCTGGGCCTAGATCCTGGGGGCGGGGTGAGGAGGCAGTGGCTTCCATAATACTGATTTCTCCAGCCTACACCAGGGTCCAGGAGGAAAGAAGCCCATACCACAGAATGGGGCCCTACACAAAGTATCCCCAGCTCCCCCAAGAAGGCTGACTCCCCACCCCATCCCCAGAACAGTCATTTGCCCTAAGGGTCCTCTTTTACCCTCCCCCTTTGCCATCCCCCGCCCCCCCCCCCCACCCGACTCTGAATGGGACTGCAGTCTTTTCTCTCTGAGTGCCTTTTTTTCTGGAGGCAGGGAGGGGGAGGCGGTCCATTATCCACCTTTTCTTTTTCTTCACACGGAAAATGAGCTCGGCTATCACACTACACGAACTGTAAACATTAGAGAAAAGTCAGCCAGACAGAGTCCATAAGGTCCACTAGCTTACACAAACGGGAAAGAAAAGACTTCACTGTGTGGGCCACTGCCTGGGAGAAGCAAGATCTCATAAAAACAGCCATTGTTCAGAAGGAAAGAATCAGACAGCTTTAGTCCAGGCAGCACATGAAAAAGCAACATTCAGCCAGCTTGCAGAGTCAGGAAATCTAAATGGCAATGGAGTAGCCCAGTCAGTCAGCTCCCCCTGTCTTTCCCCTTAACAGAGGTCCAAAATGTGCCAGTAGCACCAACAACTCCAAATGCCTTGGGAAAATGACTTCTTCGGGGACTACGCATTCAGCCACCAGTTTTCTCAGAGCTGGGGACCTCTGATAGCCACTGACATCCTGGAGCCCTTACCACCTCAGTCCTTAACACTGTGGTGTCACGGGACTCTTTCATAATGGGGGAGGGGGCAATACAGAACAATGCATACAATGGGATCCCAACTAGATTAAATGCACATCCTGCATGCACACAGAATAAAGATTAGAAGGAAATCCCCAGTATGCCAACTGTTATCACTGGCATCCACACGAGACCCAGTTACTTCTTCACATGACGCAGAGTAGCCCAAGTTATTTTTTTCCTTCAAGACTGAATCATGCTTTTTGCTCCAATTGGCTACTTTCCTAAATCAGAGGCTGAATCTGCTCAACAATAGCATAAGAGGCCTTAAGCTGGAGGGTTATTTCCCTGAGGAAGCCTCAGATAAGACTACTGTTCCCTCCTTCCAGGCTATGTGGGAGCAACCCCCAAACCCAGAAGGACTGACTTTTGCACCAGTCTACAAGATCATCTAAACCAGTAAAGAGCATCAGAATCTCCTGAAGGGCTTGTTAGAACACAGATTGCTGGGCCCCCATGCCTGAGTTTCTGAGGTCTGAAGACCCAAGAATTTGCATTTCTGACAAGCTCCCAGTGATGCTGACGGTACTGGTTGGGGACTATAGTGAGGGCTACTGCTGAAAGAGCAAGTAATGTCAAGCCACATAATCCCTAAGATATGACACAATGGACTGTTCAGCACAGGGCTGATGCCATGTCCCTTAGAGACCCGCCCAGGTGGTGCTTCTTTAATTTATAATCATCTTTAACTACTTTGTGAGTTTGGACTTCACAGATTACTCCTTGCTTCTGATGGAGTCTGCAGATTTAATCATTCAAAAGCTGGTCACATGCTAAGCTGTCATATCACAAAGGCACAGGGTGGCTTCCAAATGAGTCACGTCACTGGGTAGTAGAGAAGATAGGGCTCAAAGAGGAATAAGTTTAAGAAGGAAAAAAATCTCAGCCACACACATCTGGATAGCCACCAGGACTGTATTCTGGGAATTGGGGGTGAAGCAGCCAGACCTCCATTGTCTTTCATGTCTTAAAAGATAAAGGTCTCTCAGTCTCCCAGATCACTCAGAATTCTCCATCCTATCTTTCTCATAATGGCTCATTCAAGTGCAAGTAGCAAAGGGCTAGCCATCTCCTCTGAGCCTTTGAAGGCCAGTTCACTCAGGTCGTGGGCCATCGAATAGCCACTCAGCTGCTCAAGCTGGTCCATATGGAGAAAGGACAGCCAAAGCAAGAAAATAAGCTGCAGATGTTGGCCCAGGATTTAGAGAAAGCTGCAGATAAAGGGGAAGTCCCTGCTAAGAGCATCTGACCTTCCAACAGGGTTAATACCATCCCCACCTTGGTGGAAAATGAGAAGGCATGGATCCACTGGGTTGGCTGTCTTCCTCCCTCTCTTGGGCATAGAATGGAGGCTCCCTACTGAATTATCAAAGGAAACGCCATAGAAAAATCTGCACCACCCTCACCTTCACTGGTTAATTCAGACAACTAAGAGCTCTCTCTGGCTAGAATGGTGAAAGCTATCAGGATCTACAACAATGACAGATATGATGAGATCTGCACTGCTGGGGAGGCAATGCCCTGGGCCACAAACCCAAGGCTTGCACAGCCAAGCCCACCTGGAAAAGACAAAGGCCAAACAAGTTGCCATGAAACTGGATTAAAAATTAAATGAATGCCAGGCGCGGCAGCTCAAGCCCATAATCCCTGCACTTTGGGAGACCAAGGCAGGTAGACTGCTTGTGCCCAGGAGTTCAAGACCAGCCTGGGAAACATGGCGAGACCCAACTGCTACAAAAAATAATAAAATTTAAAATTTTTAAGAATTAAATGTATAATGTGAGCTCTTCTGCACATAAAAATAAAAATTCTCCTTCAAAATAAGAAAGTGAACCAGAGGGTCTCCGACTTTATTTCCTTAATTCCCACCAAAGTGACCATAAAGGAAGTTTTTAAAAGATATAATAATGACCAGCCTGGCCAACATGGTGAAACCCCGTCTCTACTAAAAATACAAAAATTAGCTGGGCGCGGTGGCACAGGCCTGTAATCCCAGCTACTCAGAAGGCTGAGGCAGGAGAATTGCTTGAACCCAGGAAGTGGAGGTTGCAGTGAGCTGAGATAGCACTACTGTACTCCAACCTGGGCAATAGAGCAAGACTCCATCTCAAAAAAAATAAAAATTAAAAATAAGATATAATAAACCCACAAGGACAAAGAAAACGGAAAAAAGGATGAAAATTTTTGACAGATTTTTGGAAGATGAAAAAACAGCTAGACAAAGCCTAACTGCCTTAATGGGACAAGGCCAAGATTACCTGCAGGGGTCCCAAGGAAAAGCGATGAACTCTAAGGGGGTTCAGGGCTTGTAGGAACTGGGCTTTGGAGGGTAGTAAGGGAGAATCAGGCTTATAGCTAAAAACGGGAGGACTGACCCAAGGTTCATATAAATGAGCACTGATACCTCTCCAGCTCCTGCAGGTCCTCACCTTCCTGAACGCCCGGGCAATGGTCCCTTCTCCACTGCAGCAGAAACTGATCAGAGAAAGTGAACACACAAGCTTAGGCTCTGGAACACCAGGCACAAATGAAAGTAGGATTGAGAATGGATTGTAAATCTATACTTAGCAGTGTAAGACCCCCGACTCTCACACCCCCCCACCCTCAGTTCCCTTCCCCAACTCGACTGACAAAGCATCATCAGCCAAGCAGGGGACTGGAGGGCTCCCCTCTGGGCAAACCAACCAGTCCAAGGGAAAAAACTACCAATACCCAAACAGTCCCCGGTGAAAAAGGCCAAGTGTCTTATTGTTCATAACACAGCCCTACTGTCAACAAGCCCTGCTCTGCACATAGAGCTCCAGCCAGCTCCCTCAAATGAGGACAACCAAAGACCACTAGACACCTGAGGAAAGCCTCCAACTTGCAGACAGACACCAAAGCAAACAGAGAAAGAAGCCAGGAAACAGAGACGATGCATAGAACAGAAGAAAACTTCCAAAAATCATCATTAATGCCTTCAGAGAGAGAAGGCACTGTATCCAGAAAATAAGACTAGGACACTCATTCCAAAAAAGTTAGGAGGGGCTTTTGAAAGCTACAAAGAAAGCTTTTGAAAATTAAAGAATAGTAGAAATAAGAAAAATAAAAGGACTAAGGATAAAGCTGAGGAAATACCAAACAAATGAAAGAATGAGAATTAAGAATAGAGAATGAAGAAAAACAGAGGATCAATTCCAGAGGATATCCAGATTGAGAAAACAGAGGGACAATGAGAGGAGGAAATTATCAAAGAAATGATACAAGAAACCTTCCTAGAAATAAAGAATATAAACTTCTAGATGGAAAGGTTCATACTAAGAAATGGGTGATGGAAAAAGTAAGTAAATAAATAAATAAATAATTTTAAAAAATAGATGGAAAGGGCCCACTGAGTGCCTGGCATAATGAATTTTAAAAGTACCACCCAGTACCCCAAAATTTAGATATTTCTAAAAGCTTTCAGAGAAAAAAAAAATGAATGACATAAAAAAGGAAGAGGAACCAAGATGGCAAAAGACTTCTTAACAACAGGTGGTTAAAAGAACTATGAGGGAAAATTATTTCAACCTAGAATTCCATATCCATTTCAACCAGCAGTCAAGCATGGGAGCAGAATAAAAATAACATCCCTGCTGGGTGCGGTGGTTCATGCCTGCAAGGCCAAAGTGAGTGGATCACTTGAGTCCAGGAGTTCAAGACCAGCCTGGGCAACATGGTGAAACTCCGTTTCTACTAAAAACCCCAAAAAATACCTGGGCATGATGGTGGGCACCTGTAATCCCAACTATTCAAAAGGCTGATGCAGAAGGATTGCTTGAGGCCACGAGGTTGAGACTGCAGTGAGCTCAACATAGTGGGGAACAGAGTGACACCCTGTCTCAGAAGATAAAAATAATAATGTCCCATGTACAAGGATATTATTTAGAATGACAGAGGCAGGCCAGGCACAGTGGCTCACATCTGTAATCCCAGCACTTTGGGAGGCTGAGGCAAGTGGATTGCTTTGAGCTCATGAGCTCAAGACCAGCCTGGGCAACATGGGGAAACCCCGTCTCTACTAAAAATACAAAAATTGTTGTGGGGTGTGCTGGTGTGCGCCTGTGGTCCCAGCTACTCAGGAAGCTGAGATGGGAGGATCCCTTGAGCCCAGGGTGGAGGTTGCAGTGAGCTGAGATCGCACCACTGCACTCCAGTCTAGGTGACAGACAAAGACACTGTCTCAAAAAAAAAAAAAAAGAAAAGAACTGTAGAGGAAAAAAAGAACTGTAACCGAAGAAAAAGAAAAAGTTACAAGTTAGAAACAGTGACTTTTCGGGAACAAGACTAAGAGTAGAGCAGGTGGAACACAGAATAGAATCCACAGTGGTTTTCATTGACCTTTGAGTAGCATTTGCCTTTTTTAAAACCACATACATGGAATTAGCAGGAAATACATTGAACTGAGAGCCATGCTGACATTACTCTTGGGCACTGTGGTGGCTCATGCCTGTAATCCCAAAACTTTAGTTTTGTGCACTGTGAGTATGCACAAAAGTAAAGTTATTTCAGACCCGTGGTAAACTCTACAGGTTCAACGGCCTATCTCTCAGTAGATAAAATGTAAGGAAAAGAAAGGCCTGGAGGGGGACCTGCAGATTGAAAAAGACAACATACATATCAAGTTCTTAAGAACAGGCAAAATTTTATGTTGCCTAGAGATTATGATAAAAAGATGGCAGTTACTCTTGGAGTGGAGGAGAGAGGGGTTACTAAGGAAGCTGGCAAAGTTCTATTTTCTGACCTGGATGTTTATTGTAGAAGGATTTATCTTATAATTCACCATCCTATTACTGTTTTGTGTGGCTTTGTGCATGTGATTTTACCAAAAAAAAAAAAAAAAAGAAAAGAAACTATGGGGGGGAGTGTTTTAAAAAGCTATGTGCATATGATTGCCTTGATGAAAATGAATTATTTAAAAATAAAGTCAGGCAGACGTAACACACACAGAAGTTTCTCTGGCAAGATGTTCCCTGCTACCAACACTAGGTATTTCTGAGTAGTACAATTTGGGATGGTTTCTTACTTTCATCTCTTTCCTAAATAATTGGAACCTTTAAAATTGGTTGGAACACAAAAATAGTCATTATTTTACATTAAAGTTAACTATAGGTATCTATGGGTGCCAGAGTTTCCATCTTCCTTCTTTTGTCCTGACTTTACCTAATTAATGCCAAACCTAGAAGTGTGGGACAGAAATTAGAAAAAGTAAATCTTAAGTCCACTTTTCTACTTTTCAGATCTGCTAAAGGATCAGCTTTTATGGCCAGATGTGGTGGCTTACGCCTGTAATCCCAACACTGGGAGGCTAAGGCAGGAATGTGGCTTAAAGTCAGGAGTTCAAGACCAGCCTGGGAAACAAAGCAAGACCCCATCTCTACAAAAAGTTAAAAAAAAAAAAAAATCACCCGGGCACAGTGGTGTGTACCTGTAGTCCCAGCTTCTTGGAAGGCTGAGGTGGGAGGATCACTTGAGCCCAGGAGTTCAAGGCTGCAGTGAGCTATGATCATGCCACTACAATCCAGCCTGGGCGACAGATTTAAAAAAAAAAAAAAAAAAAAAAAAAGATCAGTTTTTGTGAGAGTATTTATACTCCCCTTGTCTCCATTAAACATATGAAGACAATTCAGGTACACAATAACTATGCATTTTTAGAACAGCTTTTCCTTTTAAAAAGTACAAGCTAATACCTTGGCCATGTTTAACTTAAAGAATGAATTTAAATAGTAAGTATTAAAATGTTATCCTAAATTAGATAAATCTATGAGTATCTTCCATTCTAATCAGTTTCCATAACCCCTTAAAAACTAAATGAAATTGAGGCCATCCTAATTTAAAAAATAATAATTTCAGGGCACTCAGGAAATAAATACCAAAGCTCATGAAATCCAGAATCAATAACCAAAAAGCACGCACATATTGAAAAGGAAGAGAAAACTACTCAATTAGCACCATTAGTGCTTAGGGGTTTATGATGGGGAATTAGTCTTAGGGGGAAAAATTTACATTTCTTCCACCCAAAGCAAGTACTATAAATTCTAGCAGACACTGTGCCTTCTAGTCTACATCAGACTTGACAATGGTAAACATAGTGATTAATCTTCTCCCTTCAGAAGGGCTCCAAGCATTCTGTAGACATCCTCTTAATTCCATCTTCCCAGCAGTGGGGATACTAAAGTCAGAGGAACTCTAGGCACCAGCTCATTTATCCTCTGGCTTGTTAGATGAGCCAATAAATCCCTCCAGAAGGGAAGCCCAGGCAGCCAGGCGAGATGGCCAAAGGGCCATCGAAACCCTCATTCCTCTAACTCTACCCTGCCGTAGAGACGTGGCCCCTATTCCCAACCTTCCCAGGTTATGGCCTCCTAAGGGTCTCTTAGGAGTTCCTGAACGGTGTAAAAATTATGTGTGGTCTTTTTTTTTTTTTTAAATGTTCTCTACAGAAGATTTAAATCAACAAAAAGATATAAAATTGCAAAGGTTGCTCAGTCAAAACCATGATTATCAAGGAAGCAAAGCTTCTGGTTCCAAATTTGGTAATCTGCTACCCATGTTAAGTTTCCAGTTTTTATCTGGTTGCCCTTCAGTTTAGGGACCACTGGCCCAGAACACACATTACTGGCTTAGATACCGGCCTGACATAGGAAAGAGAGTGGTAGGGTGAAGAGAGTCATTCTCTGCAGGCTCAGAGATGTGTAGGCACAAGGACTCCCGCTATGTAATATACTGAATTGCTCAATTATCCAAAGTCCACATAAGCAAAAAGCTCAAATAAACAGATTTTTCAAACTGTCTGTATATGCTAATAGGCAATTATAGCAATGGCCCTGGAATATAGGCCTGATTCAGAACTCAGTAACTCTGAATAAAGCACATTATAAAGTGTTTCAATTTACTAAACACAGCAGCCTGATATCTAACCATCCCAGGTAAAAGAGTCTTGGCTAAGGGTGGTAGCCAGATGGCACTGCCTCAGAATCACAGAATAACTGCTGGTGGGGATAAGAGCTGGACTCCCCAGTCTGGGTCCTGGATCCCAACCACAGGTGTAAATTCAAGTCCAGCAAATGCCCCCTACTCCCATCTCTCCAAAGTCTGTACAAGGTGTACTCAGCAGCCAGAGCTTACGCATTAGCATTAGGCAAAGGGTGTTTTCCCACCACCTAGGATCGGATCCATGCTGACCCACCACCTCACAGAGAACAATGGGTTTATGTTTTTTGGGGTTTTTTGAGGCTGAGTCTTGCTCTGTCGCCCAAGCTAGAGTGTAGTGGCATGATCTGGGCTCACTGCAACCTCTGCCTCCTGGGTTCAAGAGATTCTCCTGCCTCAGCCTCCCTAGTAGCTGGGATTACAGGCACGCGCCACTATGCCTGGCTAATTTTTGTACTTTTAGTAGAGATGGGGTTTCGTCATGTTGGCCAGGCTGGTCTCAAACTCCTGACCTCAGGTGATCTGCCCACCTCAGCCTCCCAAAGTGCTGGGATTATAGGCGTGAGTCACCATGCCCGGCCTGGGTTTATGGTTTAAATGAGTAATAATGTGATTCCTCCTTCAAAATTTTTACCCTCAAATAGTTCCCACAGTAGGTTTCCTTTAACAGAAGCATGAGTCCAGCTTCTAAATACAGTTAAAACAAACAAACAAAAAATACATGTTTGTAGAGAAGTAATGCACTATGAAATGCATCCTCAGGAGCATACATTTATGGTAACAATAGATTTCTCCTTTGAAAAATTTTAATCACCACATTTCAAAATTGCCACATCCAATTTCCTGATTAGGAAAAAAAACAAATCTTTAAAAAAACACACAAGCATCAGCTGGCAAAGTTTTTATTTTCTTAAGCACATTGGTTTTGTAGCTCTAGCTTCCAAAACTAAGGTAACATAAAAATCCAGAGAAATCGTGTAATTGAAGTAAAAAAAAACAGAGCACAGGAAAGAAAACAGAGAAAATTGGCAGCAGACTCGTGGCTGTTTCAGTGGTTGATCTTTGCCATGAAATCTTCTTAATAACAAATAGAGCATTTATTAATAAGCATTTAACCTGTAGCACCTCCCCTTCTCCCCATGCAGATGGAGGAGGCTCCCACATCGGCTCTACCAGGGAGCTCAAGAAACAGCCACACACAGCTGGCAAGTGGCACAGACAGCCTTGAACTTGAGCCTTCTGGCTCCAGAGCCCAACCTCTGCAAATCCAATTTGTTGACTCTACTTTCTAGGAAAGTTGCCCTCTTAAACAGAGAAAAGTCCTTCCATTTAACACAACCAATATTCAAATGGCCTTCAAGAAAATACAATGGGCTAGGCACAATGGCTCACTTCTGTATTCCCAGCACTTTGGGAGACCGAGGCAAGTGGATCTCTTGAGCTCAGGAGTTCGAGACCAGCCCGGGTAGCACGGTGAAACCCTGTCTCTACCAAGAATACAAAAAATTAGCCAAGTGTGGTGGTGTGCACCTGTGGTTCCAGCTACTAGGGAGGTTGAGGTGGGAGGATTGCCTGAGCCTGACAGGCAGAGGTTGCAGTGAGCTGTGATTGTGCCACTGCACTCCAGCCTGGGCGACAGAGCAAGACCCTGTTTCAAAAAATAAATAAATAAAATGAAAAGCAGATGGGGATGAAAAGGACAGACTGGACACTGAGGCAGAACTGAAAAATTGATTTAAAATTCCAAAATCAGTTTTAAGATCCAAAATCAAACAATCCAGTGCCTTGGGCCACCTGAAAGCTGGGCTTCTGCCCAGGCCCAGGGCCCACCAGCAGATGACAAACACATGAGTTCCCATTTTCAAAATAGTAAACTTGACCACAGAAATAATTTTGTTTTATTTATAATAAATTTTAAAGTAATTTTAAAAAAAAAGGTGGCTTCCTGCCAACTGAAAGGTATAGAAGGCCGTCTGTCAAGTAATCAAGTGCTCTTAAGAGACCAAAGCATGGTCCTCTTTCAAACCTGTGCCCCCTCTGGGGAGTTGGGGTGGCGGGGGGGTGGGGTGGGTCCTGTCATCCTAACAGGCCACTGGGAGAACCGGAAATACCAAGAAACAAAGCCAGGGACTGGCTCAGAAATGGCCAAACGCTGCAGACACAGCCTGCCTGAGACCATGAAAACCAGGATCCCCTTTACTCCCCCCGCCCCCCCCCCAGCTCCATGGAGAAAACAAGACACAGGGTCTGGAGCTGGAAAAACACACTGGCGAAAAGCCAAAGACAACATCCATCAGAAGCTGGAGAGGTCTGCTCACAGGGCTGGGGGTAGGGGTGGAGGGGATGAGGTCAGAGCAGGGACAAAGGATTCCCAAGACAAAAGGAGAGAGGGAGGGCAGGGGTCAGGAGGAGGGGACTAGGAGGAGAAAAGGCAAAGAGACAAGGAGGAGGGAAAGAAGAGGGTGAGGGAAGCAGCAAGAGGGAGTGTGAGTCGGGGAGGGGATAGGAAAGAGAGGAATGCTGGACAAAAAGGAGGAGACGGGTAAGAGGACAAGGGAAGAAAGAACGGGAACGGGCAATGTGAGAGGGAGGAGAAGGAGGGCAAGAGGGGACAGTGACAAGCAGAGACAGACCCATGAGACAGCTGAGTGCCTTGAAATGGTTGCTAAGCTGCTGCCCATAAGCCCACAATAACAAAGCTTAAGCTTGGAGATGTCTGCAGATATACTAATCCTTACCCTTAAAGGGAGAGGAAAGATCAGCAAGAACTCTAAAGTCAGAGTCCCCAGGATCAAACTCCACAGAAGGATCCTTCCCAAAGTATTCTCTACAAAGGAGGCCAACGTCCTTTGGTAATAAGAATCTGAGATCATTCTTTTTTAAAGACGAGATGAGGAGATAAGTATAATTAGCCACACGTCCAGACCATGACAGGTCATGGTCTACTTAAATATTAGAGAATGTAATCAGAGCAGTGAGTACAACAGATGACCCGCCCCAGAGAGAGGAAGAGCTAGTGCACCCTCTACATTAAGAACTGTATTCCATCCTGGAGCATACACTGTGAAGCAATCGTTTTCATGGGTTCACTGAAAAACAATTTGCAAGCAGAAGAAATTTCTACTCAGAAGTCTCTATGTCATTGAAAAAAATAAAAGTTCCAGGCTGGGCGCGGTGGCTCACACCTGTAATCCCAGCACTTTGGGAGGCCAAGGCGGGCAGATCACTTGAGACCAAGAGTTCAAGACCAACCTGGCCAACATGGCAAAACCCCATCTCTACAAAAATACAAAAATTAGCCAGGTATGGTGGTGCATGCCTGTAATTTCAGCTACTCTGGAGGCTAAGGCATGAGAATCGCTTGAACCCAGGAGGCAGAGGCCACAGTGAACTGAGACTGCACCACTGCACTCCAGCCTGGGCAACAAAGTGAGACCCTGTCTCAAGACAATAATAATAATAAAATAATAATAATCTAAAAATCATTTATGATATACCATATTAATAAAAGGACACAACATATATGACCATCTCAATAGATGCAGAAAAAGGATTTGACAAAATTCAACACCCTTTCATGATAAAAACATTCAACAAACTAGAAACAGGCCGAGCTCGATGGCTCACGCCTGTAATCCCAGCACTTTGGGAGGTCAAGGTGGGAGGATCACCTGAAGTCAGGAGTTTGAGACCAGCCTGGCCAACATGGCGAAACCCCGTCACTACTGAAAATACAAAAATTACCTAGGCACAGTGGCTCATGCCTGTAATTCCAGCACTTTGGGAGGCCGAGGCAAGCGGATCACCTGAGGTTGGGAGTTCAAGACCAGCCTGACCAACATGGAAAAACCTTGTCTCTACTAAAAATACAAAAGTAGCTGGGTGTGGTGACACGTGCCTGCAATCCCAGACTCAGGAGGCTAAGGCAGGAGAATCGCTTGAACCCGGGAGGCGGAGGCTGCGGTGAGCCAAGATCGCGCCACTGCACTCCAGCCTGGGCGGCAGAGCGAGACTCCGTCTCAAAAAGAAAAGAAAAGAAAAAAAAAAACAATAGAAATAGAAGGGAACTTCCTCAACCCAATACAGTGTATCTATCAAAGACCCACTGCTAATATCAAACTTAACAGTGAAAGATTCAATATTTTGCCCCTATGATCAGGAGGGCATCCACTCTTACGACTCCTATTCAACATCGTACTGGAAATTCTAGCCAGAGCAATTAGAAAAAAAAAAAAAGGGCCCTCATATTGAGGAGGAAGAATTAAAGCTACCACCATTTGTACATGACATTATCTTACAAATAGAAAGTCCTAAGGAACCCGCTAAAAAACTATTAGAACAAATACACAAATTCAGCAAGGTTGCAAGATATAAGATCAACATACCAAATCAGTCGTATTTTTATACACTAGCAATAAACATTCCAAAAATGAAATTAAGAAAATTATTCCATTTATAATAACATCAAAAGGAATAAAATACTTAGGTATAAATTCAACAAAAGAAGTAAAAGATTTGTAAACCTAAAACCACAAACAATGTGGAAAGAAATGAAAAAATGTCTAAATAAATGGGAAAACATCCCATGATCAGGTATTGGAAGGCTTAATATTGTTAAGATGTCAATACTCCTGAAATTGATCTACAGATTCAATGCAACTCCTACCAAAATCCCAGCCGTTTTTTTTTTTTTTTAAGCATAAATTAACTAGCTGGTCTTAAAATTCATGTGGAAATGTAAGGAAACTAGAATAGCCAAAATAATCTTGGGGAAAAAAAAAACAACAACAAAGTTGGAGGACTCACACTGTCTAATTTCAAAACCTACTACACAGTTACAGTAACCAACACAGTGTGGCTGGGCGCAGTGGCTCACACCTCTAATCCAGCACTTTGAGAGGCCAAGGCGGGCAGATCACTTGAGGTCAGGAGTTCGAGATCAACCTGGCCAACATGGTGAAACCCCGTCTCTACTAAAAATACAAAAATTAGCCAGGCATGGTGGTGCACACCTGTAGTCCTAGCTACCCAGGAGGCTGAGGCAGGAGAACTGCTTGAACCTGGGAGGTGGAGGTTGCAGTGAGCCGAGATCCGTGCCACTGCGCTTCTAGCCTGGGTGACAGAGTGAGACTCCGTCTCAAAAAAAAAAAAAAGGTGTAGTACTGGCATAGGATATACAGATCAGTGAACTAGAACTAAGGGCCCAGAAATAAGAGCCCAGATAAATAAACCCTTACATTTATGGTCATTTGATTTTCAATAAGGCAACTCAATATGGAAAGAACAGTCTTTTCAACGAATGGTACTAGTACAATCAGATATCCATATGTAAAACAATAAAGTTGTACCTTCACCTCACAGAACAAAGTTGGACCCCTCCCTCACAAAAATTAACTCAAAATGTATCACAAACCTGAATATAAGAGCTAAAACTATAACATTCTTAGAACAGAAAAGAGTAATAGACCAACTCTGGGCAAAATGCCTATGAGTTAGCCCTGCTCTGCAAGGAGCAGTTATATAATTAATCAATTAATTAATAAATAAATAGTAGCAACTCTTGGTGACCTTAAGGTAGGCAATGATATTTCTTAGATATGACACCAAAAGCACACGTGACCAAAAATAAATAAATAAGACTTCATTAAAATTAAAAATGTTGTGCTGTAAATGATACCATCAAAAAAGTGAAAGACAATCCATGGAAGAAAATATATGCAAATCCTATATCTGATAAAGGACTTGTATCCAGAATATATAAAGAACTCTCACAATTTAAAAAAAAAATAGGCAAAGGACCTGAATAGACATTTCTCCAAAGATATACAAATGGCCAATAAGCACATGAAAAGATGCTCAACATCATCAGCCGTCCTGAAATGCAAAACCACAATGAGATAGCCCTTCATACCCACTAGGATGCCTATAATCAAACATATGAACAGTAACAAATTTTGGCAAGGATCTAGGGAGAATGAAACCATAATACACTGCTGGTGGAAATGTAAAATGGTGCAGACACATAGGAAAACAGTCTGGCAGTCCCTCTATGACCAACAATTTTGTCCTAGATATATACTCTAGCAAAATGAAAACATGTTATACATCCACACAAAAACCTGTACGCAATGTTCACAGCATTATTTATAAGATAATAAATAATAAGTGGTTGGCTGGCACATTGGCTCACGCCTGTAATCCCAACACTTTGGGAGGCCAAAGTGGGAGGATCACTTGAGGTCAGGAGTTTGAGACCAGCCTGGCCAATATGGCGAAACCCTGTCTCTACTAAAAATACAAAAATTAGCTGGGCATGTTGGTGTGCACCTGCAGTCCCAGCTACTTGGAAGGCTGAGGCAGGAGAATCACTTGATCCCAGGAGGCGGAAGTTGCAGTAAGCTGAGATCACGCCATTGCACTCCAGCCTGGGTGACAGAACGAGACTCCATTTCAAGAAATAAATAAATAATAAGTGGAAACAACCCAAACATCCATCAACTAACTGATGAATGGAAAATAAAATGTGGTATATCCATATGACAGATTAATATTTGGAAATAAACAGAAATGAAGAATTGCTACATGCTACAACATGGGCAACACTTAAAAACACTATGCCAAGTGAAAGAAGCCAAACACAAAAGACCACATATTATATGATTCCGTTTACATGAAATGTCCAAAATAGGCATATCCAGGGACAGAAAACAGATTAGAGATTGCTTAGGGCTGGGAAATGGAGGGAGGGAGGATTGACTATTGACTGCTAATGAGAATGGGATTATGTTTTACGTGGGATAAAATGTTCTAAAATAATATTGTGATCACAGTTGTACAACCCTATGGTATATTAAAAATCACTAATTGGATGAACTGTAAGGTATATGAATTAATCTCAAGGCTGATTTTTAAAAAATCAATCCCAACACTTCGGGAGGCCAAGGCAGGAAGACTGCTTGAGTCCAGGAGTTTGAGACCAACCTGGGCAACATAGGGAGACTGTCTCTACCAAAAAAAAAAAAAAAAAAAACTTTTTTTTTTTTTTTGAGATGAAGTCTCACTCTGTCACCCAGGCTGGCGTGCAATGGCGCAATCTCACCTCACTGCAACCTCTGCCTCCCGGATTCAAGCAATTCTCCTGCCTCAGCCTCCCAAGTAGCTGGGATTACAGGCGCCCGCCACCACGCCCGGCAAATTCTTTTGTATTTTTAGTAGAGATGGGATTTCACCATGTTGGCCAGGCTGGTCTCGAACTCCTGAGCTCAGGTGATCCACCCGCCTTGGCCTCCCAAAGTGCTGGGATTACAGGCGCGAGCCACTGTGCCTGGCCGCTACAAAAAATTTTTAAAAATAACCGGCCAGGTGTTGTGGCACACACCTGTGGTCCCAGCTGAGGTGGGAGGATCACTTGAGCCAGAGAGGTTGAGGTTACAGTAAGCTGTGATCACACCACTGCACTCCAACCTGGACAACGGAGTGAGAACCTGCCTCAAAAAAACACCAATATCTCCTTGCTATTTTGGGCTAGAGAAATTCAATTCAATTCAGTATTCCTGACCCTATCCCAACACCCTTGCACCTAGAAAAGAGATGAATTTAAAAGATTTTAAAGCCACCACCATGCTGTAAACTTCTGGGACGTCTCTGACCCACTGCCTCCCTTTCCATTTGAGGTCCTGCATTAGAGAAGGCAACTGACCTCTCTGAGCCAAATCTCTATCAGGCAAGTGGCTGACAATGTTATAATCCTGTCTTTCACTTAAACATGGTCCAGCAGCTTCAGGGTAGCATCCCTTTGAATGACCTCTCAAGAATCTAGGACTGATGGTATCTTTTAAACATCACACCACACACAACTCATATCAGGAAAAAGGAGAGGCTATCTGGACTCGAACCCCTCACCCAGCCACCTGACCTCTAATGGATTTCCCAGGCTCCACTCCGGGGTCACTGGAAGGATGGAACACTATACTGCTATCATCCACACAAACACTCACTAAATGTTATTTGTTGTCATCATTAAGAAAGGAGAGGCATATGACTAAACCTGCTCTTAGAGACAGAAAGACATGATTCCAATTTTGCTCCAGTTGTTTCCTCTAGCACACACTCTCCAGACACAGGTCACGAGACTTCCTCCACCTGGGTACCTTTTCTTTAGCCCTTGGCAAGTTCTCCCAAACTCCTGGCTAAGCCAAAGCTCTTATGTTAGTCATCTGAGAACAGTGGTCTCTGCCACAGAAACTGTCAGAGTTACAATTTGACATTTGTTTGTGAAATTGCATTAATGTCTGTCTATAGTACCAGACTGTAAACACCATGACAGTTTATGCATCTGCATGCCTGCTCACCATCCCCAGTACCCTGCCTGCCATTGACTCAACACTTGCCAGGCACCTCTCTAGGTCCTGAACATCTGCAGGAAACATCAGATGAAGCCCCTGACCTCTGGAAGCTTCTGGTCTACTTAGAGGGAAGGCCGAAAACAAAATCCATAAGCCAGTGAATAAGATAATTAAGGAAAATGGGTCTAAAATGGACACACCGTGTATATTTGTCCAATAAAAGAATGATGATGAACCTTATCTAATCAGTTACTTGAATCCTAAAACTCTAAAAGCAGCTTCTATGGTATCACACTACAACAATAGCACATTTCTGCTCTGTGGTACCACAGCATTATCTACTGCACTTGGCCAGGTTAAATTCAAAGCATGATGGCTCACACCTGTAATCCCGATGCTTTGGGAGGCCAAGGTGGGAAGATAGCTGGAGCCTAAGAGTATGAGATCAGCATGGGCAACATAACAAGATTTGTCTCTACAAAAAATAATAAGAAATTATGATGATTCAAGCAGCAGAGAAAAAAAGAAAAATAATAAAATTTACAAAAATAGAATAAATGAATAAATAAAAATTAGCCAGGTGTGGTGGCATGCACCTGTAATCCTAGCTACTCAGGAAGCTGAGGTAGGAGGACTGCTTGAGCCCCAAAGTTCGAGGCTACAGTGAGCTATGATTGCACCACTGCACTCCAGCTGGGTGACAGAGCGAGACCCTGTCTCAAAAAGATAGAAAATAAAAAGTACAATAAACTCCCTAGAAGGTTAAAAGGCATTTGGCTGTTACAGAGTCAAGCCTAGGAAGTCTGTAACTCTTAGGACTAGAAACACGCTAATTTTCCCCTTGTGTGACATGAGTCAGAACAGTCACGGCTATCTCATGACCCAGGAATTCTGTTACACTGCTCTGGTGATTACAGCTTGTGATTTCAAGAGGTTCACAAATGTGTGGGGAAAGAGCAGAGAGGCTGCAGAGAAAGCCTGCTCCAATGAGCCAGTACCCACTTCCAAATCCATGCCCATCTATCTACCCTGGCAGAGAGACAGAGCAACTTCTAAGAGCTGTAAGAGGAACACACACCGGGTATCATGAAAACCCACTAAGTGAAGATTGAAAAGTTCACATTTTAGTCATTCAGTAAATATTTACTGAGTACCTACTATGTACCAGGCACTACTGTGAGGCACTGCTAGTGCTGAGAATATAGCAGAAAATGAATCCAACAAAAATCTCTGCCCTCATGGAACCTACAATCTTTTGGGAGTAATGATCTCAACAAGCTCAGGCCCCTGTAACACACAGACAAGAACTGCCCTTTGGGTCAAGTGCCAGATGCCAGGTCAGCCATCTCTGTGTCCCCCACTGTCCAAATAAAGCCTCTCACAGATGCCCTTTACTTTCAAGGGGCCGCAGACCAAAATATCAGCAGTGCCAGGCCACTGTCAAAACTGCTGACACAGATGGGTCACTTGGGGTCAGGGAAGGCTTCCCAGGCCAACCGTAGGTCTGACTTAAAAGTTGAGCAGGAAATACCTAGACTGCCAGCACAAGCTGGAGCTGCCAGAACAGGCTGTGCAGAGAAGCAAGTAGGGTTTGGGGGTGGGCAGAGTTCTCTATATAGGCAGAGGTAACTGCAGAAGCAAAAGTCCTGGAGAAGGGAGAAGCACGGCCCATTAGAAAACTGAAAACGCTCTGAATGGCTTTAGCAAGGGGAGGAGAGGCAGCAGCCTCTTTTGCCCCATGGGGAGCTCCCGAACTGATTTTAAGCAGGGGAGTGATGGGATTCGATCTGCACTTTAGGAAGGTCACTTAACACCAGAGTAGAGAAAACATTAGAGCAGCCAAGTCCAACAGGACAATTAGGGAGATCTGGGAGGTGACTGACCAGAAGGGGCTAGAGCAAAAAGAAGTGTCAGGAAAACGTACTGGTTCCTGCCTGAGCAGCTGAGGACAGCGGTGCCCTCCATGTCACTGCTCACAGGCAGATCCTTTTCTTTGGGGGTGGCAGGGAACGGGTAATGGCAGTGGTGGTCAGCCGGGAAGCGTTTGTACAGGCTACGATGGAGGTGCGGAATGAGCAGACAGGTGGGTGAACAGGTCCAGAGCTCAGGAGACAGGTCTGAACCAAGATTTGGGTAGTGATGGCAACCAAGGCACTGGCCTGGCGAGATCACCAGGAGCCTTGCCAGTCTTAATTGCCATCTACAAGGCAATTAAGGTGGTGTGGTTGGAGAAGTAGGAGGAAAACCAAGAGGGTGTAGCTTCCCAGAAGCCAAGGGAAACAGCATTTCCAGAAGGAAAGAATGAGGGTATTATAGACCATGATGTCAAAGGTCAAAGAATGCCAGGACTAGAAGGTGGTTTATGGACTTAGCACCATATTCACTGGGTTATGGGTGCTCGAATAACAGGCTCAGATGTCTGATGGCAAGAAGGTCAGGGAAAGGAGAAAGAAGGCACTTTGGTGAGACCGGCAATGAAGTAGGAGAAGAGCAATGGCTGCAGGGGATGTGGCCTAGAAAACTGGTAGAGAACTGAGCATGTAACAGGATGGTGAGATGGAGGCCACAGGCAAGATGAGGCTGAAGAGACAGAGAGGGGCTAATGGACTAAGTGCTGCTCCTAAGGAGGTGGGATAGGATCTGTCTCGGTGGCACAAACTAGCTCAGGTAGGAAGAGGGCCCCTCCTTCACCTAACAGGAGGCAGACCAGAAGAACAGCCCTTACATGGCTGGGAAAGAGGGCTGGAGGCACCACACCTGGTGGCTCCTGCTCACGCTGTTAAGGCAGCTTCTAAAGGCCAAGGGCAAGCATGAGGTACAGCGTTTGAGAAAGACACGGAAAGTCTAGAACAGTAATCATGGCAAAAGGCAGAGAGAAGACTAACGAAATACAACAGGAGCCAGATGCAGTGGCTCATGTCTGTAATCCCAGCCCTTCAGGAGACTGAGGCGGGCAGACCACTTGAGCCCAGGAGTTAGACCATCCGGGACAACATGGAGAAACCTCATCTCTATAAGAAATACAAAAATTAGCCAGGTGTAGTGGCGCATGCCTGTGGTCCCAGCTATTCAGGAGGCTGAGGTGGGAGAATCACCTGAGCCCAGGGAGGTCGAGGCTGCAGTGAGCCGTGATTGTGCCACTGCACTCCAGCCTGGGTGACACAGTGAGACTCTGTCTCAAATTTTTTAAAAAAGGACCCTATGACCCAGCTGACACTGGTTTACAGGGTCACCATGCTGGATTGATAGGTGACTATGTGATTTCTCCAGCAGCTCTCAGAAGGCAGGGGCAGAGTCCTGCCAGGTGCACAAAGGAAGGACAATGGGTGCTCACTGATGAAAGAATGGGGTGCAGGGGAAAAGCCAGAACATGGATGGGGCAAGGAATGTCTGCAGAGGGATAGGAGGACTGGCATTCAGGGAACAAGGTGATTGTACTCAGGATTTCAGATGAACAGGTAACTCCAGGAGATGACACAGTCCAGGCTATGACCAGGGCAGTGGGTGAAGCAGGGTGGAGAAGCCACCACTGGACAGGAGATGGATCAAGATGCTAGGTGAGTCATTGGAACCCAGAATGATGCAGCGGTATGTCAGGGGAAGATGATCTTGAGCCAAATCTCCCAGTCTTCAAGGAATGAGGCAGAGAGTCTGGGAGTAGAGGGAGGAAAAAGAGAAAATATCAACACATCACCTGTCCCAAAGGAATGGAGATCAGAGATCTCCTTCACCGAATGCATCTTACATGCTGTCAACAAGCAAGAGCAAGGCAGAACTTTATATATATTGCCTTATCTAATCCCCACAACCACACTACACAGTCTTATTCTAGATGAAAAAACTGTGGCTCATAGGCTAAGGACCTGCCCAAAATCACAGATTATTGATTGATTGATTGATTGAGACAGGGTCTTGCTCTGTTGATTGGGCTAGAATGCAGTGGCCCAGTCACAGCTCACTGCAGCCTCAAATTCCTGGGGTCAAGTGATCCTCCTGCCTCAGCCCCTCAATAGCTAAGACCACAGGCGTGTGCCACCACGCCTGGCTAATGTTAAATTTTTTTGTAGAGATGAGGTCTCACTACATTACCCAGGCTACCAAGATCACAGATCTTAAACATGCTGAATCCAGAATTTGAGGTTCAGGCTTCCAAACACCAAAGCCGCTCCGCCCCACCACATTCACAGAACGACAGCATAGATTGCATTATTTATGCCCCAGCAATCCCTTATCCCCACACCAGAGCTCTCTAATTGCGCCTCACACATTTCCAAGGAGGAGGGGTCACAGACTGCCAGGCTGCTGGGTAATAAGCACCGGCTGTCCTCTTGAATGGCTTACTGTACTGGCTGAGATGGGAGGCCGCGGTAATTACCCAGAGCCCATTAAAAAGCACTGGGAATGTGATGTGCTAATACTTCCAGAACAAACACATCGAAATATTGGTTTTTAAGGAAACACTGGCCTAGAATTTATATTTCTAAAAAAGCTGACTTGATCATAACTCCACAGGAAAAATTCCTTCCCACATTTCCAAACAAGCCAGTCAGTGGTTTGTTTTGTTTCAAGAGTAGGTCTCACTCTGTTGTCCACGCTGGAGTGCAGGTGGCGCAATCATGGCTCACCACAGCCTTGAACTCTCGGGCTCAAGAGATCCTCCCACCTCGGCCTCTGAGTAGCTGGAACGACAGGCACGCACCGCTATGCCTGGCAGCCAGTGTTTTAATTCCAATGGCAACATAGTTTCATTATAAGAAGAAAAGCAGCCTACCACACTTGTTTTATGGGGTTACAAAATGTTTGCTGCCAGACTGGGAGCAAAAAGAAACCCTGAGGAAATAAAAGATATGACAATAGTCTTGTTGCCAACATTAATACAAAAGACAGCCAATGGTATTCATCTGGCTCTTAATTTGTTTGATATTTATTTATTTGGATATCAATAAGACATAGAGGAAAAGCCTGAGAAGAGGCTGGAGGTTGCAAAGATGGTTTTTTTTTTTTTTTTCAGGTTGACCCACTCCGGGTGTATTTGAGCAAAATCTTGGGGCTTCCCACAGTACTTGGCAAGACACGCCTGGCTACGAACAACATGGGACAATGGGCAGCCTCGCTGCACTGCACAGAGGAAAGGAAAGAGGCCTTGCAGCCACTGCCTGGGAAGGAGCAGCACATTCTGCATTAACCAGGCATGCCTCACTCACTGCAATCCCCAAACAAGCCCAACTCTCCGTGTTGATTATTCTTACCATACTCCACCAGAAAGCAGCATGATTTTCTGTCCTCAAATACTTCAGATTCCAAGAGAACTGCACCTTCTAGAGTCTCTACTGATAACCTCAGCCACTTACCCACTTGAAGCATCAGCACACACTTAAAAAGGAAACCCGCTAAGCACTCCTGACTCAGTCTCTCCAGGCCTGCGGGTGAAGGAGCTGATTCCCCTCACTTTTCAGAAGATGGGGAAGAATTCAGACTTCACCCCATGCCCCATCCCTTCCCCGCCCCCTAACCCATGCTGTGCTCAGAGCCAGCAGCTTTGCAGGGAGGGAACTAATCTCAGATTGTTGAGGTGAGCAAGAGTGATAATGATGAGCCTTGGATCAGCTGTTTAATCTTTTTATACTCTCCCTGGTCCCTGAAATTCTGATCTTTACTCTGGGGGCATTTTATTATCCATGCCGTGAGGAAACTGGAAACGCACCTCAGACAGCCCCACTCTTAAAAGGATCATTTTGAAAACAGTAAATTTCAAATGAGGCACTGCATCCAGACACAGCCTAAGCAAATTTTACAACACATATACTGAGGAAGTACTATCAAATCACCTGAAGAATGTTCAGAAAACTATTTTTTGAGACAAGGTCTCGCTCTGTCCCCTGAGCTGGAGTACAGTAGCACAATCATGGCTCACCGTAACCTCAAATTCCTGGGCTCAAGTGATTCTCCTCCCTCAGCCCCATAGTAGCTAGGACTACAGGCGCACACCACCATGCCTGGCTAACTTTTTTATTTTTTGTGGAGATGGGGGTCTCGCTATGTTGCTATCAAGCTATCCTCCTGCCTCAGCCTCCCAAAGTGCTGGGATTACAGGCATAAGCCACCATGTCCAGTCAGGAATCTTTGGAAAACTTTCAATTTTGAAAATTCAAGGCCAGGCACGGTGGCTCACGCCTGTAATCCCAGCACTTTGGGAGGTCGAGGCGGGTGGATCACAAGGTCAGGCGTTCGAGACCAGCCTGGCCAATATCGTGAAACCCCATCTCTACTAAAAATACAAAAAAAATTAGCCAGGCATGGTGGCACATGCCTGTAATCCCAGCTACTTGGGAGGCTGAGGCAGGAGAATTGCTCGAATCTGGGAGGTGGAGGCTGCAGTGAGCCGAGACCACGCCACTGCACTCCAGCCCGGGTGACAGAGCGAGACTCCATCTCAAAAAAAAAAAAAAAAAAAATTCAAATAGCTGAGGTTAAGTGTCACTGACACTGTGCTCTGAGCACATTGTTCCGTTTTCTCTTTGTACTCTGTTCAATCGTTACACCATGCTCAATGATTTGGGATGAAGTTTGAGGTTTACCTTCTTACTTCTGCCAATGAAAGTAATCTCTCAGCTACAAAATAAAAGAACATTCTCCTTCTTCATCCACTACTTCTAGCTTGAGATGAAGATGCTTCCACCTAGTTCTCAAATACCGGGAAAACTTTAACCCAAGCAGTCCCTACTAACTGCCTGACCAACAAGTTACATATATATATATATATATATATATATATATATATATATATATATATATATATTCTTTTTTTTTTTTTTTGAGATGGAGTCTCCCTCTGTCACCCAGGCTGCAGTGCAGTGGTGCAATCTTGGCTCAATGCAACTTCCATCTCCCAGATTCAAGCAATATTCCTGCCTCAGTCTCCCAAATAGCTGGGATTACAGGCATACGCCACCATGCCTGGTCCATCTTTGTATTTTTAGTAGAGATGGGGTTTCATCACGTTGGGCAGGCTGGTCTTGAACTCCTGACCTCAAGTGATCCACCCACCTCGGCCTCCCAAAGTGCTGGGATTACAGACGTGAGCTACCACGCCCGGCCATATATATATATATATATTTTTTTTTTTAGAGACAGGGTCTCGCTTTGTCTCACAGGCTGGAGTACAGTGGCGAGATCACAGCTTACTGCTGCCTTGCGCTCCTGAGCTCAAAAGGGATCCTCCCACCTCAGCCTCCCAATGTTGCCCATGCTGGTCTGGAACTTCTGGCCTCAAGCTATCCTCCTGTCTCAGCCTCCCAAAGTGCTGGGATTATAGGTGTGAACCACCACACCCAGCCAACAACAATTTTTAAGCCCAGGATTTTAAAATTATGTAAATGTTTTCTGACTTAAAAATTCCATTTAGATGTCTGTGAGATCTCGGCATCACCCTCGCCTCTTCTCTCCCTTGGCTGCTCCTGTCCCTCTACCCCACAGGGCACGTCACATCCTTCCACTGCCTTGAAATGCCACCTTCTACCACTCTCCTTCTCCCACCTATCCCAGTGCAAAACCCTCTCTACCATCCGTACTTCCAATCGTGCCTCCCCTATTCTGGCTCTCCACACAGAAGCTGGGGTTTCATTTAAAAAATCAATCAGGGCCAGTCGCAGTGGCGTACACCTGTAATCACAGCACTTTGGGAGGCTGAGGTGGGTGGATCACTTGAGGCCAGGAGTTTGAGACCAGCCTGCCAACATGGCAAAACCTCGTCTCTACTAAAAATACAAAAATTAGCCAGGCATGGTGGCACGCACCTGTAATCCAAGCTACTTGGGAGGCTGAAACATGAGAATCACTTGAACCGGGGAGGCAGAGGTTGCAGTGAGCTAAGATCACACCACAGCACTCCAGCCTGGCCAACAGAGTGAGACTCTGTCTCAAAAAAAAAAAAAAAAAATTCTATCAGGCTGGGCACACTGACTCATACCTGTAATCCCAGCACTTAGGGAAGACAAGGAGGGAGGATGCCTTGAGCTCAGGAGTTCAAGACTACCCTGGGCAACATAGTGAGACCCCATCTCTACCAAAAAAACAAGCAAAATTAGCCAGGCATGGTGGCGCGCACCTGCAGTCCCAGCTACTGGAGGGGCTGAGGTGGGAGGATCACTCAAGCCCAGAAGGTTGATGCTCCCATGAGCTGAGACTGCACCGCTGCATGCCAGCCTGGGTGACAGAGCAAGACACTGTGATATGGTTTGGATCTCTGTCCCCGCCCAAATCTCATGTTGAATTGTAATCCCCAATGCTGGAGGTGGGGCCTGGTGGGAGGTGATTGGATCATGGGGGTGGTTTCTTATGGTTTAACACCATCCCCCTTGGTACTGTTTAAAAGTGTGTAGCACCTCTATCTTTTCTCTTCCTCCTGCTCCAGCCAAGTGAAGTGCTGGCTCCCCCTTTGCCTTCCACCATGATTGTAAGTTTCCTGAGGCCTCCCTAGAAGCCAAGTAGATGCCAGCACCATGCTTCCTGTGCAGGCTGTAGAACCATGAGCCAATCAAACCTTTTCTTTGTAAATTACCCAATCCTAGGTATTTATTTATAGCCATGTGAGAATAGACTAACATACCGTCTCATAAATAAATCATCTAAAAATCAATCAATTCTTGTCACTCCCCTGCAGCTTCCTCCATACTCAGAATCCTCCAGTAGTTCCCAATCATATGCAGATTAAAATACCCACTCCTTACAACAGCCAGCAGGCCAGTGGGATGCAGCCGTCCCCTGACTATCTCCTGGCTTCATCCACGTCCACTATCCCCAGGGTCCCCTGCACTGCAGCCACACTGGCCTTCTCACCAAGGCCTCTGCACTTGCTGTTTGCTCTGCCTGGGAAGCTTTTCCTCCATATGTTCCCATGGCTCAATCCCCATTCAATCTCTGCTCACCTATAACCTCCCTAAAGACACCTCTGCTGCCACCTCATTCTCTCCCCTAGTCACTACCTGGTATCATATCCTACATCTATTACTACATTGGGTCTCTTTGGTCTGCCCCCAGACCTGGACTGTCTCATTTACTGTCATAACTCAGTGCCTGGCCCAGGGAAGCCACACAGCTCACACTTAGCAATCACTGATCTAAGTGGGTCTCCAGCTCCCCATTCTGCCAGGAATCCCCTGACTCTAATCAAAGGTGATTCTTACCTGCGGAAGACCTGTAAAATCAGAGTGAACCATGTATTTCCGGAATAAACATAAACCACTCAGCAACTCTACTGGGGAGCAGCATGTAAACACGTGGCCCACGGCCTGGTGTTCCGGCACCTGTATCCACTAGTTTGTAAGAACAGAGGCTGTGGCCGGGGGTGGTGGCTCATGCCTGTAATCCCAGCACTTTGGGAGGCCAAGGCAGGTGGATCACCTGAGGTCGGGAGTTTGAGACCAGCCTGGCCAACATGATGAAACCCCGTCTCTACTAAAAATACAAAAAATCAGCTGGGCATGATAGCTGGCGCCTATAATCCCAGCTACTCAGGAGGCTAAGGCACAAGAATGGCTTGAACTCAGGAGGCGGAGGTTGCAGTGAGCCAAGATCGCACCACTGCACTCCAACCTGGGCAACGAGAGCGAAACTCCATCTCAAAAAAAAATAACAGAGTCTGCCATTGAGATAAAAGGCTTCCTACTTTATGATTCCCCTCCTTCAGATAAAATTAGAGAAGTGAAAAATGGTTGTTCCTGGTTTTCTTTCCCAGTCTCTGAATTCGCAGGGAAATAAACATATTAATAAATAATTAGTTACCCATTTCAGTACCTCTATTCTCATACTGGCCTCACTGTATAGTTTAGGTTTGGGGCTTTTTAAAAAATATTTTCTACAACTAAATAATGTTTAAAATACAAAAGTACTTTTTGAAAATAGATATATTTACTTTATTTTGAAGAAAAACGCCTGGATTAGAAAAGCTTTACTTTTTTTTTTTTTCAGATGGAGTCTTGCTCTGTCTCCCAGGCTAGAGGGCAGTGGCGTGATCTGGGCTCACTGCAAGCTCCACCTCCCGGGTTAACGCCATTCTCCTGCCTCAGCCTCCCGAGTAGCTGGGACTATAGGTGCCCGCCACCACACCTGGCTAATTTTTTGTATTTTTAGTAGAGACGGGGTTTCACTATGTTAGCCAAGATGGTCTCGATCTCCTGACCTCGTGATCCGCCCGTCTCGGCCTCCCAAAGTGCTGGGATTACAGGCGTGAGCCACCACGCCCGGCCAAAAAGCTTTTCTGAAAATGTACTTCTGACAGTTGTGGCCATTATTAGAGTAAGATATGCCACTAATGTATGCACATATTATCTCATTATTTTTGAAATAAAAATGATGGGGTAATTAATTTTGTGCTTAGCTATAAAATTAGTGTAAATATATCAAAATATCAAATTTGAAATAAACAGTAGGAAACAACTATAATGAAGCTTGCATCATTCTGAGATTTTATTAAAGAGTATACATTGAGGTTACATTCACATAAGAGCCCATTTCCTGTAGAAAGTCAGTCTACCAGAGCAGTTATTTAAGTAAATTTGATATTGATTATACCCTATAACTCCAAGCTAAGACATGGGTTACTATAAATATGAGGGGAGAAGGAGGGTCTACACATGGAAGCTTACTGACAAAAGTTGATCACTGGCCAGGCGCAGTGGCTCACGCCTGTAATCCCAGCACTTTGGGAGGCCGAGGCAGGCAGATCACCTGAGGTCGGGAGTTCAAGACCAGCCTGGCCAACATGGTGAAATTCCATCTCTACTAAAAATACAAAAATTAGCCAGGCGTGGTGGCACGTGCCTGTAGTCTCAGCTACTCGGGAGGCTGAGGCAGGAGAATCACTTGAACCTGGGAGGCAGAGGTTGCAGTGAGCTGAGATCATGCCACTGCACTCTAGCCTGGGCAACAGAGTGAGACTCTGTCTCAAAAAAAAAAAAAAAAAAGAGATCACTGATCTCTTTGATCACTGAGATCCAGGATAACAGCTGCAGAAGAGGTGATTAGCCAAACAAACAACACACAAATTGGTATGTAAAAATAATCGGTGCCCTGGCTAGCTTATCAGTCCATTGAGGTAAAAGCGATCCTGTACAAAAACTACCACTGTGCCAGAGGAGTGAAGAGGCAGCAAGCTAACCACGCAATTCAAAACAGGCTCTTGTCAAAAAAATTCTCTAGTATATGATCACCCTGAGACTTACCCACATTTCTTATACTTTCTATGAAATGCTAAGGCTCACTTTTAATCTAAAATAGACAAACTTTCTTCATGTGCCTCTGAGTCCTCTTCTAGTTTCACAAAGGATTAAATAAAAAGGGCCTCAAAGGACAAAAGAAGGAAGTATAGAAAGGAGGGATGGAGGGAGAGACAGGGAGAATGAGAATACAGAAAAATAGAGGAAAGCAAGAAAGAGACAGAGGGAGAAAGATAAACGGAGAAAGAAGAAAGAACAAACAGCAGAGAGAGAAACAAAGAAACAGAGACAGAGGAAGAAAGAAAAGAAAAAAGTTCATGGGAAAAAAATAGTGATGCATTTCATGGAAAAGCTATTTGTTAAAGAGTCCCTCTTTTTTCTGTGTACAGTATCATGCCATATGTGGGAAGTGAACAAGGCTGGAACACCGCCTAAGAACATCTGCCACGGACTTTAAAAGCCCTAATAATAGCACAGCTGGTGTCCCCAGCCTAATGAGCTCACCACCCACGTGACTGCTCCTTCTCCAGCAGATTCTCCAGAGAGAGAAGGCAGCCAGCAAGAGAAGCAGTCCCCGCCCCCGCCCTCCCCCACATTCATGCTTTATTTCCTCCACGGCTTTCATTCTCCCCTTCCAGAAACCACCCCTTCTCATTTTCTTGAGCTAAGTTACCCTGATCCAGCAGTCCTTTGAACAGACACATTCTTCTTTTCTCCTTCCCCTCTCCCTTTGAACAGACACATTCTTAACATGAAAGGCAAATACCAGAAATAAAATATGGGGACATCACTACAGGTCTTATGGACATTGAAAGAGTAATAATTGTGCCAATTAATTCAGTAGCTTAGATAAAGTGGATAAAGCCCTTAAAATACACAACTTATCAAAATTAATGTAAGAAGATATAAATAACCCTATACTTATTTTTAAAATGGAATTCCAAATGAAAAATTTTCTACACCACAACGAAAGGCCAGCGTGCCCCAGCGTGCCTCGTTGCCAGGGTCTGAGGTACAGGCCCCTCCAGGAGTGCTGGTCTGGGAAGTTATGTCTGACAGGAAGACTCTCCCCCTGACCAAGGCATATTGCTAGGAGGAAACCAAGCACAGCAGAAAGCGGGGCAGGGAGGACGTAAACAAAGAAGTTAGGTTTTTACAAGGTTGGCAAGTTTTAACCCCCTCTGGTATAATCTTTTGAAACTAATTCCCATCACGGTATGCTTTTAAAAGCTCTCTAGCATTTTAAGAAACTGCAACTTAGCATCAGGAAGGGAAAGAATTTCAGCTTCTAAGGGGAAGCCTAGCAGAAAGTGACAAGAGGAGACTCACGTTGGCACTGATGTGGTATCCCTAGCAATTGGAAGAGAAGCTGAAAAATCTGGGATCTCTCACTCTCAGTCCAGGGCAACACATCCTGACAGCCAGGAAGAGTCAAATGGCTATGGTAAGACGTATGGGGTTTATTCACCAGAAAAAGACAAAGAACGCCACATTTCAAAACTCAGGCTTGGTAACACAATAGCATGGGTGTGTATGCAAGCATGAAGTACTGAAGCTAACAAATTACTAGATTCTATCCCTGTCTAGCAAGTACTTATTTCAATAGCAATCATATGATTAGCTGAAAGTGGGCAATCATTAACTTCATCTACTGTTAAACAGTTACACACAAAAACATGGTGCTTTATATCTTGTTAATATCATGAATAAGTTATGTAACCCTTGACAGTGTTCTGTTTTGATTTAAAATACCAATGCTATTGCTGCCATAAGTTAAACACTGCAAAATTATAAAACTTCAAAGATAATTACAGCATTTTAAGGACTATCATAAATACTTTTATGCAACTGCGATGTTTACAAGGCTAAGCCAGCATCTCTTCTGAAAAACAAAGAACCAAATGATACAACTAGAAATATCTGCATACCTACTATGTATAAACAAACCCAAAAGATATTTTAGCTTCTATCTCACTTGGCCTCTCACAGCAGAGTAACCCTGTGAACCCTACCCTTCACCAAAAGAACACTCCCTCCCCCAGCAATTCTGGTCTTCTCCCAATCTCTAGTCACTACTCCTCTGTGAGTTCTCCTACACATGGATATCACTACACAGGAATGGTCCCCAAACCCTTGCCTCAAACTCCTATCCCTCTTCGAAGTGTCAGGCCCAGACGTCCCACTGCCCTAAACATCTCCACTTAGAAATCTCAGGAGTAGCCGGTCACGGTGGCTCACGCCTGTAATCCCAGCACTTTGGGGGGCCAAGGAGGGCGAATCACCTGAGGTCAGGAATTCGAGACCAGCCTGGCCAACATGGCGAAACCCCATCCCTACTAAAAATATAAAAATTAGCCAGGCGTGGTGGCAGGCGCCTGTAATCCCCAGATACTCGGGAGGCTGAGGCAGGAGAATTGCTTGAACCCGGGAGACGGAGGCTGCAGTGAGCCAAGACTGTGCCACTGCACTCCAGCCTGGACAATAGAGTGAGATTCCGTCTCAAAAAAAAAAAAAAAAAAAAAAAAAAACCCTCACGAGCACGTCAAACTCAGCACATTCAAAACAAGACCCTCCAGGTCCTCACCGCTGGGACAACTGATTAATGGTGGTCCAACTCAGAAACCTCAGCCTTATCCTTCACTCCGCCCCCTCCCTTACCCTACCACTATCTCTTCAACAACAAAGGCTTATCTCTTAAACATCTACCCACACTATCACTCGCTAACCCCCACCCTCTCTCACCTTGAGTACAGCCAGAGCTTCCAGCTGGGTCTCAGTCATCATGGAGGTAAGATAAGGTCTAGGATCACATACGGCCTAGGACACGTTTACCAAAGTAAAGCCAGCCACCACTCCTAATGCCACCCAACCCTGCCATGGGCCTTCTCTTTGGAACATCTACAGACTGCATCTCTTTTCCGCCCTAGTGACCTAATGTGGATGCAACTTGAGTTTGTGAGGGAAATTCTCAAACTTGCTTGTGATGATCAATCTGCCATGCTGCCTTTTGCCAAACAGAGAATTCAGTATACTATAAAGAACAAAAACTACATTAAAAGATAGCCAAACTCCCAGGAATATTTATTTTCTTTTTGTTGTTTTTTTTTTTTTTTTTGAGATGCAGTCTCGCTCTGTCGCCCAGGCTGGAGTGTAGTGGCGCAATCTCGGCTCACTGCAACCTCTGCCTCCCGTGTTCACGCCATTCTCCTGCCTCAGCCTCCTGAGTAGCTGGGACTACAGGTGCCCACCACCACGTCCAGCTAATTTTTTGTATTTTTAGTGGAGACAGGGTTTCACCGTGTTAGCCAGGATCGTCTCCAACTCCTGACCTCGTGATCCGCCAGCCTCAGCCTCCCAAAGTGCTGGGATTACAGGTGTGAGCCACTGCGCCTGGCCAGGAATATTTATTTTCTTTATTCCTTTCCATGAGTATCACTTCTACTATACCATCAAGAGACTTACCCCAGCTAAAAGTTTTGCAAGTTAACACTCAATTGTTGTGAAAATATTCCTCTTGTACAAAAGTTTTTTGTTTTTGTTTTTTTTTTTTTAAAACAGGGTCTCTTTCCATTGCCTAGGCCGGAGTACAATGGTGTAATCATGGCTCACTGCAACCTCTGCCTCCTGGGCTCAAGCGATCCTTCTGCTTCAACTTCCCAGACAGCTGGGACTACTGGGGCACACCACCATGCCCAGCTAATTTTAGTACGTTTTGTAGAGATGGGGTTTCACCATATTGCCCAGGCTGGTCTCCAACTCTTGGGCTAAAGCAATCCACCCGCCTTGGCCTCCCAAAGTGCTGGCATTACAGGCGTGAGCTGCTACACCCGGCCAGTTATTTAACAAGACTAACTACTTTCCTATCTTTCAAATACAGTATAAAACATCTACTGCAGCAGTCAACGTTTTAGTCTATTTTACCAATGATTTGCCTGTCACACCTTTTATCCACTGCTGTAATAATAACAATCTGCTTGTTTTCTCAAATAGAAAGATGTTTTCCCAAATATATAACACCAAACTATGTTTCTTCCACAAGAGACCTTTGGAATGTCTTGATATTCGAATCCAAAGCAATTCTTCTAATGCCTTGGGACCACTGAAAAATTAACCCTTTCTCCTCAAAGTCAAAGCAGAGAAGCTAGTTGATGGGTGAGCAAAAACCACAGCTCACATCAATGCTTTAGGCCATGGGGGCTATTCCTGTTACTGTCATACAGAGCAAGTCCAGGGCACACCCCACCCTTGAGGTGTGGCACAGAATACCTGTTCCAAACTATTTTTGGATGAATGGATCATAAGGAGTTCAGTAAAAACAATAATTATGGCTAACACAAATGCTTCCTCTTAGCCAAGCACATGTATAAATTCACATAATCCTCTTAATAACTGTATGAGGGCCAGGCGCAGTGGCTCACACCTATAGAATCCCAGCACTTTGGGAGGCCGAGGCAGGTGGATAACTGACCAGGAGTTCGAGACCAGTCTGGCCAACACAGTAAAACCCGTCTCTACTAAAAATACAAAAATTAGCCAGGTGTGGTGGCACACACCTGTAATCCCAGCTACTTAGGAGGCTGACGCAGGAGAATTGCTTGAACCAGGGAGACGGAGGTTGAAGGGAGGCAAGATCGTGCCACTGCATTTCAGCCTGGGCAACAGAGTGAGACTCCATTTCAAAAAAATAATAACTGTATGAGGTTATCATATAAGGTAATGATTCCGAAGCTGCCTGTCATAAACAGGAGTTGCTGGGTTCAACACACCTAAGCAACAATCTTACAGGGGAAAAAAGAACATGGCTTCAAACACATCAATGCTGTGCTGCATTGTATCTACACTGTTCAATCTGAAGGTTTTTACTTTTTAATTAATGAATGAAAACAAAGCTACTTCCCACTCAGGTACATAAAGCAATTGTACAACTGTACAATTCCCATAGTATTCTGCATTTTATTTAAAATATATTCTAGATGCAAAGGTTGAAATGAAATGCTCACTGTCTAGGTGACACTCTTTTATTCTCTACTAAGAAAGCCAGTAAACCAATTGTCTCAGAAATTCTGCACCCAAATGTAATACTCGCAGACACAGCACCAGTGAGTCATACACATAACAAATTGCTCATTTTCCTCCTCCCCACCTTTCCTCTAAATCATTATAATGCTATTCCTGAATCATAGGTTTGGTTTTTTGTTTGTTTTGAGTTTTTAATTCTCCAGTATAAAGCTTGCCAATTCCAACTTCCGAACATGACAAGAATCTGTCCCTTTAGTTTAAGTAAACCTCCAATTTTCTTCCCAGGTTTGAAATTCTTCAGTGCAGGCAAGGCCCACACCTCTGGATCTCACACTAAGTAAAAAATGCCCCTTGATACTATAACTGTCTTACTAGATCTCTTAAGATATCAGATTACCAAACTCCCCAACTGGAAGTCCAACAGGCAAACCAAGTTTACTGTGGGAGCCCTGTATTCAGAAACACAAGATGTAGCATACTCTTTTACAGAGTTATCTTTTTTTCTTCTGGAAGTCTCATATACCAAATCCAGAGAAGAATGAACACTTGGAAAACTTAATTTTTACTAAAGCTGAACATATGTCTTATGACCCAATGATCCACTCCTGAGCATATACCCGATAGAAATGAGTACTTATACACTTAGTTCATAGCAGCTTTATCCATGATAGTCCCAACTGGAAAAAAAACAAATGTCCATCCACAGGTAAATGTATGAACAAATCATGATATAACCATAAAATGGAATACCATCCCACACTAAAAAGGAATGAAGCACTAGTACATGCAACAAATGGATGAACATTGCAGACAAAACATTGAGCAAAAGACCAGACACAAAAGTACACACTATATGACTCAATTTACATGAAGCCCAAAACAGGCACAATTATCCTATGGTAATAGAGGTCACAAGAGTGGTTATCTACAAGGAGTTACTGGCAGTACAAGTGGTATATGTAAGTAAAATTAATGGAGCTAAGATAATTAAAGGTTCAATGCGTAAGAAATTAAAGGTTCTAGTTAACTTGTCAACCTTAGATGGTAATGCAACATGATATAAAATATTTGTTCCACAGAACACAGTAGCAACCAAAAGTCAGGCAGAAACCGAGACAGCATTGTCCCTCTCGTGAGCATTGTCCTCTTCCCACTGCTGTTCTCCAGCCAGAACACGGCCACCTGGTTCCACCATGAATCTGGACCGTCAGTCCCTTTGGCATGAACAGCTGAGCTGTCTTCAGTCACTCTCTCCCTGATTTTCTCATCACACTGAGGACAATCAATTCTTCTGGAGGTCAAAGGAATTTGTCTTCCCCACTCTCCAAGAAATATTTCCCAATGGTCCTCAGACAAACATAAATTCAAGGGTAGTTTCTGCTCTCATTGTTTACCTGCTCCTAAAGGTCCAAATTCCTGACTCAATAATACAGCTGAAGCCAAACCACTTCTAACATTATAAGGAGACATTTTATCTTTGGTCACATCTCAAATCTCAAACTGGAAATTATTTGATAGAAACCCATAATAAAAGGAGGCAGCCTACACTAGAGGCTGTGTATCTAGAGTAGGTTGTATCATATATGTTCTACATTTTGCAAAACTTAAAAACTGAGAGCTTACAGAATGTTAGCATAAAAAAAATCCAGACCCACAGCACACGTTGTTTATGTTAAAGAACTGCCTGGCCAGGTACAGTGGCTCATGCTTGTAATCCCAGTACTTCGGGAGGCCAAGGCAGAAGGATCGCTTGAAGCTAAGGCAGCCTGGGCAACATAGCAAGACCTCACCTCTACAAAAAAATTTAAAAAAGAAAAGAAAATTAGCCAAGTGTGGCAGCACGCATGCTACTCAGGAAGCCAAAGCGGGAAGATGGCTTGAGTCCAGGAGTTCAAGGTTACAGTGAGCTATGATCAGGCCACTGCACTTCAGCCCAGGCAACAGAGATTCTATCTCTAAAAAAAGCACTTTTTTATTGTACCAAAACAACCAGAGGAACTGATGGACAACTTCTAAAATCCCGTGGTTCTGTATATGCATAAATGCTTTATCTCTGTAATCCTGGAGAGAGACAAAAAAAAGTGAGATCCTATATCCCTATTCTAATTAATATGCTTTTTTTTTCTTTTTCTTTTTCTTTTTTAATACTCTGTTGCCAGGCTGGAGTGCAGTAGTGCGATCTTGGCTCAATGCAACCTCCACTTCCCGGGTTCAAGCCATTCTCCTTCCTCAGCCTCCCGAGTAGCTGGGATTACAGGCGTCCACCAGCACGCCCAGCTAATTTTTGTATTTTTAATAGAGACGGGGTTTCACCATGTTGGCCAGGATGGTCTCGATCTCATGACCTCGCAATCCACCTGCCTCCACCTCCCAAAGTGCTGGGATTATAGGCGTAAGCCACCACACTCAGCCATTAATATGCATTTTAAGTGACATAAATCAACCTGCATCTATGTAACGGAAGATAGGATTTGCTAATAGTTCATCTGTATCAACATAAATTAGTAGACGGTGACATCTTTTAATCAACATAATCATGTTATCTAGTAACTAATTCTAGTCATTAAGGAGGAATGCAATAAGTGCTCTGAATAGTATGCTAAAGAGATACTTTTCGAAAATGTCAAGCCACTTAGTCCACATGTTCACAGTTATTTTCTCCTACTTCTTAAAAGAAAAAAAAGATTTTTAAAGTCACCTGAGTACCCACAGCATGGTCTTATTTAACATTCAAATGTGGATAATTTATACTGTGATGGAGCATCCTTGTCGGATGTTAGTACAAAATCCACTTCCTCTGGATAGACTATCCTCTCCTGTTGAATGTCCTGGAACTAGAGGAGACCCTAGAAATAATCCAGCTCCACGATTCCCAAACTGGGGTACATGTGCTTATGCTGGGGATTCCCCAGAACCTCAGGGAAAACAAGGTACATTTTCCTTAAGAGCACTTTTTGACTCAGACAGCAATATTTTTTTTTTTTTTTAGATGGGGTCTCGCTCTGTCACCTAGGCTAGAGTACAATGGTGCAATAATGGCTCACTGCAGCCTCAATCTCTTGGGCTCAAGAGATTCTCCCACCTCAGCCTCCCTAGTAGCTGGAACTACAGGTGCACATCACCACACCTGACTAATTTTTCTTTTGTCTTTTTTTTTTTTTTTTTTGTAACAATGAGGTCTCACTATGTTGCCCAGGCTGGTCTCGAACTCCTGGGCTCAAGTGATCCTCCCACCTCAGCATTCTAGGAAGGGCTATTCCCAGCTTCACCTGTTACATAGCAAGAACCTGTCTCTATTTAAGAAAAAAAAAGTGTTTAAGGAAGTCCAAACAGGCTGCCTACAGGCACACTGCCTATGAGTTAGCCCTGCTCTGCAAGGAACAGCACTGTAAAATAAAAATAATAAATTTTGAAAACAAAAAAATTAAGTCCAAACAAGGATTTCAAGAGCTCCCCTCCCACCCCATTCCACCCTGTTTCACCTCAGGTGCACTATTAACAATAATAATTAAATAAATTTCTCACTATAATGAATCATACTACACAGCCTTTCATAAAATGCCTATCATAGCCTTTAAGCAGCTCAACATCATTGGTATTCTGTGTAACTCAGGAGACATCCAGTTTTACACATATGCAATTATTTACTGTCTCTTCACTAAAATTTGCACTTTTCAACACTGCAAGTGGCCTCCACTTAGATACATCTAAGAAGACAAGTCAGAATAGGGAACATTTGTTTGAAAAGAAGGGGGGAAAAGGAGGTGAGAAGCCAGAAGACCCATTCATTCAACAGTGTATCTCTGTCTAACAACAGTGTATCTCTGTCCAAGAATAAAATAAAACCTAAGAACCCACATAAGCCCTTGGGTTCTATCTCCATCTTTTAAAAAGAACATCCTCTTGTCTTTCCCTACAAAAATCACAGTGCATGCCAAATATAGATGAGTTAAATAAATCTGAGTCCATTTTCTTTTGTTTTGTTTTGTTTTTGAGACAGAGTCTCACTCTGTCGCCCAGGCAGGAGTGCAATGGCACAATCTTGGCTCACTGCAACCTCCACCTCCTGGGTTCAAGCAATTCTCCTACCTCAGCCTCCCACGTCGCTGGGATTACACACGCATGCTGCCACGCCCGGCTACTTTTTTTGTGTTTTAGTAGAGACGGGGTTTCACCATGTTGCCCAGGCTGGTCTCGAACTCCTGAGCTCAGGCAATCCACCTGCCTTGGCCTCCCAAAGTGCTAGGATTACAGGTGTGAGCCACCGCAGCCAGTGGTCAGAGTCCATTTTCAAAACCAAGGGTCACAGAATCATATATGTGAAGAGGCTGGTCATGGTACTTTAAAGTTTATCAAACTTCCCGACCATACAGTATTAAGCTCTGGCATGCACAAAAGGCTTTACTGAATATCTGCAACTCTCAGTGAGTTTAAATGACTGTTCGCCCTCCAATGCCTTTCTTACTTGAGCCCCAAAGGGTAAAAAAAGAACTGTCCCTTGCAGAAAAACTGGCCACCTATCTGCTTACTCTCCTTGGCTCTCTTATGAGCTATATGGTGCTACAGAACAATCGCATCTATAAAAACTCCGACAGCTGACGGAGAGGAGAATGCCCAAGGTCTGTTCTCTACCTTGGGAGCACGAAGTCAAGATGGAGAGCCCAGATGGTTAATTCAAGAATCACCAAACAATTACAGAGGCCTACTATATACAAGGTCAGAGGCAGGGACTCAGAATGCAACGACAGGGACTGGGAGTGGTGGCTTGCGCCTATAATCCCAGCACTTTGGGAGGTCATGGCCAGCAGATCACTCGAGGTCAAGAGTTTGAGACCAGCCTGGCCAAAGTGGTGAAACCCCGTCTCTACTAAAAATACAAAAATTAGCTGGGCGTGGTGGCAGGTGCCTGCAATCCCAGCTACTCGGGAGGCTGAGGCCAAAGAATCACTTGAACCTGTGAGGTGGAGGCCGCAGTGAGCCAAGATCGCACCACTGCACTCTAGCCTCGATGACAGAGCGACACTCTGACTCAAAAAGAAAAAAAAAAACAAAAAACCAGAATGCAATGACAGGAACAAAGTCCACTTAAGATGGCAAACCTTAAGGTGTTGTTAGTTTGGAAAGTGAAAGTTTAAGAACTCCATTCAATGTGAATAGTGCTCTATTATTTTTGAAAGCCCTTTTATTTTTATGTTTTTTGTTTTTGTTTTTGTTTTTGAGATGGGGTCTTGCTCTGTCGCCCTGGCTGAAGTGCAGTGGCGGGATCTTGGCTCAATGAAACCTCTGCCTCCCGGATTCAAGCTATTCTCCTGACTCACCCTCCTTAGTAGCTGGGATTACAGGTGCCCATCATCATGCCCAGCTAATTTTTGTATTTTTAGTAGAGACGGGGTTTCACCATGTTGGCCAGGCTGGTCTCGAACTCCTGACCTTAAGTGATCCACCTGCCTCAGCCTCCCAAAATGCTGGGAATACACGCACAAGTCACCATGCCCGGCCCAAAGCTCTTTTATATTACCTGATTTGACCCTCATAATAAACCTATAAAACAATAATTACTATTATATGCTTTATTATCCCTGTTGGGGCTCAAAAAGCTTACCAAATTACAAACCCAATCATGTTGGAAGGAGACCTGAAAACGCTCCCATGTCATTCAGTCAAACTTTTACAGACACCTCCATTTAAAACATTGTCTCCCAGAGAGGGGAGAGCAGGACAGAGAGGTTAAGTAAGGTCACACAGCCAATAGAGAGGAGTTGGAATTTCAGTCCAGGTTTCCCACTCCAAGACCACAGAGAAGGAGAAGCAACACAGCCAGAGTGGAGACACCCTCAAGCGAGCGCTGGGGATGGGAAACTGGTCCCTGGGGCATCAAACAGGAAACGGCTGGTGCTGGGGCCAAGCTGAAACCCAACTGTTGCCAAACTCGCAGCCCTGAGACAAGGGCTTTAAACCGATTCAGCATCCCCCAGAGCCGGGCTCAGCTTTCCAGCTGGCTTAGGCTACACTGGGCTGGGAACCTCTGTGACAAAGCTGAGGTCCAAGATCAAAGAGCAACCGAGTATGACCATTCCAAACCGAGAGACAGAGGGGAAGGCGCCATCTGTCACTCCAGGTCCAACTCTCCAAACCTACCAGTCAAGCTCCCAGCCTGTTGTCCCTTCACTCAATCTGGGGAGACCCTCCCCAGTGCAGACTGGCTCCAGGGCTAATCAGAGCTTAGTCTGAGCACCTTCCTCTTCGCTGCTCTTGTAGTTGGAAATTGGAAAGGACCCTGGAACTAGACCGTTTCCCTATGGTAACCTCCACTCTCCTTCCAGATAAACAAAAGACCCTCCAGAAAAGGTTACCAGTCCCGAATACACACTCACAGACAGTATTGACAACGTTTACACTTTTGAAGCAAATAAAGTTCCAGTGAAGCATATCAGAAAAAAAAAAAAATCAGCGGTCCAACGACGAATACTCTGAAGGCTCTCAAAGCGGACGCTAATTTCAGTGTCTGAACAAGTGCAGCCACGGGTTCTAAAACAGGCAAGCTTAAAGCGGAAGGGGCACCCAGCACCAGCCTCAAGAGCAGGCCGACTTTTAACATCTTTCCTGAAACACAACTTTACAAAAGAAGAAACGATACAGTTCATTACATTTGTTTTTACCTGCAAGAGCTTGACCTTGGAGACTAGAAAAGAACTTTAAAAATCAGGTCAAGAAAGTGACAAAGTAAACTTGTTAACTCTCAAGGATGCAAAGGAGGGCTCTAAAGGCTCTCTGCTCTCTGACACGCTCAGATGATGTCATTTTCATCAAGTTTTGCGGGTGAGTGGGAATCGGGGTGCTGCCCGCGCTCAGCTCCAGGCTCTTTGAAGGTCGCCTCACTGTCACCTCGGAGTGCCGGAGCGCGGAATCCAGGCCACGCGGCGTGGCCGACACGATGCCCTAGGGGCACTTTTCCGGGCTCCGAGGGCCTCCTGCAGGTGCGGCCGGTGCATTAGGAGGGCTGTCCCCGCAGGGTCCCGGCGCCCGGCCTCTCACGCCGCCACTATCTCACGCGGACACTCCCAGAACACCCGTGTCCTTCCCCAGCCCCTGGGCCCGAGGCGCAGGCGGCGCGGGTGAGCGGACCCCTGGCTTACCCGCAAGAGGTGCACGGAGCGCAACCCGGCAGCAGGCGCGGTGCCGGGGGGCCTCGGTGGGGGCTTCCTCCGCGTCGTTCTCGGCCCGGCCCCGGCCGCCCGGCGGCTTCGGTTCCCTCCGCTGCAGCCGGCCGGGCGGCACGGGGGCACTCGCGGGGGCTCCGCTCTGGCGCCGCCGCCTCCTGCTGCCCGCCTGCCGCTCTGGCGCTCCTGGGCTCGGAGTCCGGGGTTCCGAGACGCGGGGGTCGTCGGGGCGTTCGAGACTCTCGGGGACGCTAAGGCTGCGCTCCGGCTCTCCCGCGCGCGGCCCCACTCTGGGGGACGCCTCGCTTGAGGCGCGCGGGCGTCAAGGGCTCGGGGCGCGCGGGGGCGGCGGCCGGGTGGGCCCCGGGGCGGCGGGCGGGGGCGCTGCTGCGGACGCGGGCACTGTTGCGGGCGCCGCCGCGCGGCCTCTCGCCATGGCTCCCCCGCGAGCGGGCGGCTTGCACCTCCCCTCCGCGCTGCCGTCACCGCCCGACGCGCGCCGAGCCCTCCCCCTTCCCAGCCCCGCCCGCCGCCCCGCGCCGCCACCTGCGGGCCGCCCTCCAGGATGCCCGCCGGCCACGTCCTAGTCGCCTGGAGCCGCGCCCCGCCTTCCTCGCCCGCGGCTGCCCCTGCACTTTTACCCACGCCGTGGGGCACAGAGAAGTATCCGGTAAAGACCTGGATCCGGAAAAGCTGATCACATCCCTCCCCGAGCGCTTATTTACTTCTAGCACTTCTCGGGGTCCTTCCAGAGTCAGTCTAAGAGAAGGATGGGACCCCCGCGGCCCGGGGCGCTGATTGTCGTGAACACAGTGGAAGTCCAGGCGTTCTGTTCCTGCAGGGCGGGCTGTCTCCTAGCAAAGCCGCCCTTAGGCTTAAATGGAGGGAGGATGGAGCCGGGGACGGGGGGAAGGCTGGAGGGGATGGAACTGGCTGTTGGACTAAGATGCCACCAAAGGGTGACAGGCAGGGGGCTGGCGGACAGCAGAGAGGGGATCAGGAACCGATCCAGGAAGTAAGAGCTCACAGGCCACTCTATTATGCAAATCACTTGTGGACGGTTTAACAGGGAACAACCCACATGATCTCATTTCCAGTTGAGGCTACTGAGTCTACTTCTTTTCAACCCAGGGGTCATAGAGGACATTGGGAGGACTTGAAGAAGACTCAGACCAGAACCAAAGGTGTAAGGAAACTAAACCCTGCAAAACCTGATTTCTCATACTGGCATAGACTTGACTTGAAGAGATCATCAAGTGTATAGTGAAGATTGGCTCAGGCAAGAATCATCCATGAATGCTTACTCTAGGGGGCTGTTACTGGCTGGCAGATATTTGTCTGGGTTGATGTGTCTCCCCATAGATGGTTTAGACCTGTTAGTAGCAAAAGCGGAAATAGTAACTATACAAAGAGGCAGGCAGACAGCATCTTAACCAGGTGATCAAAATTTACATCACCAATGAGAGCAGATGGATATCATGTCCACATCAGCTATGCAGTATTCCTGGGGACAATGCATAACCTGAATCATGATAGTGAAACATCGGACAAACCCAAAATGAGGAACATCTATTAAAAAGAGGAAGGGTCTGTATTATTCAAAAATGTCAAGGTCATTAAAATCAAAAGAAAGCTTGGGAAATGTTCCAGATTAAAGGGTGCAAAAGAGTCAGGGCAGCTAAATGCCATGCCTGATCCTAGACTGCATCCTGTGCTAGAGGAGGGGAAATACATCACGGACATTCCAGCTGACAAAATCAGAATCCATGTAAGAGATTAAAGTATTGGATCAATGTTAAATGTACTGATGTTGATAACTTCCACTGTAATTATGTACAAGAATATCTAATTCTTGGGAAATACACACTAAAGTATCTTGAAAGGGTAAAGGTCATAATGTATGCAGCTTACCTTCAAATGATTCAGGGGAAAAAAAATCTTGATAGGAAAAAATGATAAAGCCAAGTGGGCAATAAAGGTAAGGTGCATATTATCAGTGAATCAGCATATAGAGTGTACTTGAACATTTCTGTAAGTTTGAACTTATTTCCAAATAAAAAGATTTGGAAAAATCCATCAAGTTGGGGAATGAAGTAAGGTGGAAAGAAAGCAGGTATGATATAAAAGGGCAACACAAGGGATCCTTGTGAATTTGGAACTGTTAAACATCTTGAGTATGGTAGTACAGGTGATAAAATTATCTAGAACTTAATATACACACAAATGAGTACAAGTAAAACTGGGAAAATCTGAATAAGATAGGTAAATTGTATCAATGTCAATATCCTAGTTATGATATCATATTAAGGTTTTGCAAATGTTGTCATTGGGGGAAACTAGGCCAAATATATATATGTGTGTGTGTGTGTGTATTTTTTTTTTCCCAAGACGGAGTTTTGCTCTTGTTGCCCAGCCTGGAGTGCAATGGCACAATCTCAGTTCACTGCAACCTCCACCTCCCAGGTTCAGGGAATTCTCCTGCCTCAGCCTCCTGAGTAGCTGGGATTACAGGCGTGCACCACCATGCCTGGCTAATTTTTGCATTTTTAGTAGGGATGGGGTTTCACCATGTTGGTCAGGCTGGTCTCGAGCTCCTGACCTCAGGTGATCCACCTGCCCCAGCCTCCCAAAGTGCTGGGATTACAGGCATGAGCCACCGCACCTGGCCCAAATATATTATTTCTTAGAAATGAATGTGAATCTACCATTATCTCAATGCAATTTTTAATTACAAAAAAAATCATTTTTAATTACAAAAAAACTGTATGTAAATGGGCATGCCCATCAGGGAGCATGCCAGAGCAGATATGCTGGAGCTCTCATAGTGGATCTAGAATAGACATGGTGCTGTTACCAACAGTGAAGGCTTTCAAGAAAAAAAAAAAATTAGACTATTTGAAGTATAACTGACCGATCAGATTCCTTCCAGTTCTGTAATTTAACAATCCTAGAGCTGGGGGTTCTTTGAGATCATCTAGTCCAACCTACTCATTTTCTGGAAACTGTGGGCAGAAAAGTAGTGTGTGTCCACAGGAGCATCAAATTAGCGGTAGACCCGTTAACTACTGCTTGTCTGCCAAATATGTTCTACTTTCTTTACACCTTTACCAGCTGTCTGTCACTCCCTATATCTATGAGATTCAGTTAAGGCTGGTAGAAAATTTTGAAGTCATTCATTCTTTGGAGTCCCTGATTTGTTCTGTAGTGCCAGATGACAGGCATGTGGATTCTGCCCCTGAGGAGTAGGGACCAGTTTTCCTCTCCTACTCTCAGCTTGGAGGAAGCAGATGGCAGGCGGGGCCCCAGTGACAGCCCCAGTTCTGGGCCTGACTGAGCTGATGAACTACTTGGAGCAGCTGCTGACCTGCTGCTGCTGGAAGCCAGTGGAACAGGAACCTGGGAGGGAAGCAGAATGGATACAAGAAAGGAAAACAGTAATTGCCCTGGTAAGTCCTCCCTTCATCCAGCATGAGGCAGAAGTAGCTGCAACAGAGGCAACTGGCTTCCCTTGAGCCACAGATAGCCACTGTATTCTTTCCTTTTGTTGAATCAAATCGAAATTAATCTATGTTTACTTGCATTTGCCAGGCCCTCGTTAGTAACTGTGGGAAAATACAAAATAGAATATCTGATCCCTACCCATTAGGAACCCAGAATGCATCCAGGGACCCAAGGTGGAAATGTTGAAAGTGACCCAACAAAAGCAATTAAAAGGCTAGCTATATTAGCTGGGGTTCCCCCCAAAAGCAACATTGGAGAAGGACTCATGGGCAGATACTTTCTTCTGGAAAATGATCCCGTAGGATATGGGTAGAAAAAGAAATTGGGACCAGAAAGAATGAAACAGGAAAGAAAGAAAGCCTATTGAAGGATATAAAATTTCTGTAAACAACTGGAGCTTAGTCCCACTGAGGCCCCCTGAGGAACTGCGCAGAATGTAAGACAGAGGAGGAAATATTTAGCCACCAGTTCCTATCTCCCATTGGCCAACTTGATGCTGAGTTCAGGAGTGGTGGCTCACACCTGTAATCTCAGCATTTTGGGAGGCCAAGGTGGGTGGATCACTTGAGCCTCAGAGTTCAAGGCCAGCCTAAGCAACATAGCAAGACCCCATCTCTACAAAAGAAAAATTTAAAAATTGGCTATGGAAGTATGAAGGTATATGCCTGTAGTTCCAGTTACTCAAGAGGCTGAAGCAGGAGGATTGCATGAACCCCTGAACTCAAGACTGCAGTGAACTATAACTGAACGATGGCACTGCAGCCTGAGCAACAGAGCAAAACTCTTGTCTCAAAAAAAAAAAAAAAAGTAGATGCTGAGCAAAAAAAGCTAACTAAGATACAACATGGGACATATATAAAAGATGCCTGACACCAGCTTTATTCATTGCTGCAGTCCCAGCACCAACAACAGTGCCTGACTCATAGATGCCCCGTCAATAGATACAGAAAGAATGTCTGGGTGCGGTGGCTCATGCCTGTAATCCCAGCATTTTGGGAGGCCAAGGCAGGCAGATCACTTGAGGAGGATCACTTCAACTTCTGTTGAAGACCAGCCTGGCCAACAGGGTGAAACCCCGTTTCTACTAAAAATACAAAATTAGCTGGCATGGTGGTGCATGTCTGTAATCCCAGCTACTTGGGAGGCTGAGGCAGGAGAATCATTTGAACCCAGGAGGCAGAGGTTGCAGTGAGCAGAGATCATGCAGTTGCACTCCAGCCTGGGCGACAGAACGAGACTCTGTCTCAGAAAAAAAAGAAAAACAAAAAGAAAAAAAAAAAAGGGCGGGACGAGGTGGCTCACACCTGTAATCCTAGCACTGTGGGAGTCCGAGTCGGGCAGATCACCTAAGGTCCGGAGTTCCAGACCGACCTGGTTAACATGGTGAAACCCCGTCTCTACTAAAAATACAAAACAAATTAGCTGGGAGTGGTGGCACATGCCTGTAGTTCCAGCTACTCGGGAGGCCAAGGCAGGAAAAGCTCTTGAACCAGGGAGACGGAGGTTGCAATGAGTCAAGATCGCACCACTGCACTCCAGCCTGGGCGACAGAGCGAGACTCCATCTCAAAAAAAAAAAAAAGAATGAATGAAATACTGTAAAAAGTAGATCCATAAGTCATATATTGACAGTTTTGCGTGTGTGTCTATTTTTTTTGGTTTTTGTTTTTATTTTTTTTAGAGACGAGGTCTTGCTGTGTTGCTCAGGCTGGTCTCCAACTCCTGAGCTCAAGCAATTCTCCCACCTGAGATTCCCAAAGCGCTGGGATTACAGGAGTGCACCGCCATGCCCAGCCTGTGTCTGTTGGACTAGGCTAGGGTGATAGAGTAGTGGGTAAAACAGATGCATTCCTCAGCCTGGGCAAAATAGGGAGGCCCTGTCTCTACAAAAAAATCAAAAAACTAGTCAGGGATAGTGACATGTGCCTGTGGTCCCAGCTACTTTGGAGCCTGAGGTGGGAGGACTGCTTGATCCCAGGAGGTCTAGGCTGCAGTGAGCCATGATTGTGCCACTGCATTCCAGCCTGGGTGACAGAAGGATACCCAGTGTCAAAAAAGAAAAAAAAAACGGGTATATTCCTAGCCCTAATGGACCTTTCTGTCCAGGAGAGGAGTCAGATAATGTGATACACATATACATATTTAATTAGTTTGTGAAGGCCAGGCATGGTGGCTCACGCCTGTAATCCCAGCACTTTGGGAGGCCAAGGCAGGCAGATCACTTGAGGTCAGGAGTTTGAGATCAGCCTGACCAACATGGTGAAACCCCTGTCTCTACTAAAAATACAAAAATTAGCCAGGCGTGGTGGTGTGCGTCTGTAATCCCAGCTACTCGGGAGGCTGAGGTGAGAGGATCATTTGAACCCGGGAGGTAGAGATTGCATTGAGCCAAGATCGCACCACTGCACTTCAGCCTGGGTGGCAGAGTGAGACTCTGTCTCAAAAAAACAAACAAAAAAAAAATAGTTTGTGAAAAGTGCTATGAAGAAAAAGATGCAGGTGCTGTAAGTAGGATAAGAAGGGGGTTTATGATAAATCAGTTGGTTGAGGAAGATCTAAGGCGCTAACACTTAAGCTGAGACCCAAAGGAGGAACAGGAACCAACCATGCAAAGTGGAGGGGCAAGATCAGACCCAGAAGTGGGAAAGGCCCTCGATGGCTGGAGCCATGGTGGGGTTTCAGGGAAAAGCCAGGCAATGAGACTTCATGGTTCTGGTAAGGAGTAAAGAGTTTTAGGTAAGACTGACATGGTCACATTCACTTTCTAAAAACCTCCTTCTAGCCGCTGTGTGGAGGATGAACTCAAGTGGATAATCAAAAACCTCCACACTGCTGGCTGTGGAGGGTGTGAATACCAGACCACATCAAGACCAGCACAGAAGGGTCAGCTGCCACAGCATCTCCTCTACCACCACTACTGCCACCAGTAATTCTTCAGGAATATGCTAAAACCCACTGTAACATAAATGGGTTCAAAAATGGCAATTGGTAGACTATCGGGTTCCATAGCTGAAGGTTAATTAAAACCAATATTTCTAGGCCGGGTGCGGTGGCTCACGCCTGTAATCCCAGCACTTTGGGAGGCCGAGGCGGGCGGATCACGAGGTCAGGAGATCCAGACCATCCTGGCTAACACGGTGAAACCTGTCTCTACCAAAAATACAAAAAATTAGCCAGGCGTGGTGGCGGGCACCTGTAGTCCCAGCTACTCGGGAGGCTGAGGCAGGAGAATGGCGTGAACACGGGAGGCGGAGCTTGCAGTGAGCCAAGATCGTGCCACTGCACTCCAGCCTGGGCGACAGAGTGAGACTCCTTCTCAAAAACCAAACCAAACCAAACAAAACAAACAAAATCAATATTTCTAGCCTGGGCAACATAGGGTGACCTTGTCTCTACAATTTTTTTTAATTGGCTAGGTGTGGTGGTGCATGCCTGTGGTCCCAGCTACTCAGGAGGCTGAGGTGGGAGGATTGCTTGAGCATGGGAAGTAGAGGCTTCAGTGAGCCATGATTGCACCACTACATTCCAGCCTGGGCGACAGAGCAAGACCCTGTCTAAAAGAAAAAAAAAAAAACTCTCAGACAATCTTACAATTAGTGTGTGAGGGAAAGGGGAAAAATGTTTTCTATTATTACATGTGTAGGAAATGGAACAATTACAACAAACAAAGTATCAGCTTGAATTGAACTGAGAGCACCCCACATGATTGTGGGGTATTCATCTATAATCACCCCAAACACATACATACTCTAAGAAAAGAGCTTGAACCTGTCACCATTTCAGAAGGAGAGCAGAGTCCAATTATGTTTCATCCACATGCACATTATCCTGAAATCTCTTTTTTTTTTTTTTTTTTTTGAGACAGGGTCTTGCTCTATTGCCCAGGCTAGAGTGCAGTGGTACGATCTCAGTTCACTGCAACCTCCACCTCCCGGGTTCAAGCAATTCTCCTGCCTCAGCCTCCCGAGTAGCTTGGATTACAGGCACATGCCACCGTGCCCGGCTAATTTTTGTATTTTTAGTAGCGATGGGGGTCTCACCATGTTGGCCAGGCTGGTCTCGAACTCCTGGCCTCAAGTGATCCGCCCACCTCAGCCTCCCAAAGTGCTGGGATTACAGGCATGAGCCACAACATTCGGCTCCCCCTTTTTTTTTTCTTAGAGACGGTGTCTCGCTCACTGCGCTGCCACCCCCCTTTTTTTTTTCTTAGAGATGGTGTCTTGCTCTGGCACCCAGGCTGGAGTACAGTGGTGCTATGATCACTCACTGCAGCCTCAAACTCCTGGGCTCAAGCGATCTTACTGCCTCATCCTCCCAGGTAGCTGAGACTACAGGTGCATGCCACCAAGCCCAGTTAATTTTTTTTGAGGGGGGGTAGAGATTAGGGGGCACATGTCTCACTATGTTGCACAGGCTGGTTTTGAACTTCTGGCCTCGTGATCCTCTACCTTTGCCTCCCAAAGTGCTGGGATTATAGCTAGGAGCCACCGTGCCCAGCCATCATAGAATATTTTATGCCAGATTTTAATCTCACATTTATTGAGCACAGTTTGCACCAAGCACTGTGCTAAGTAGCACTGCACTAAGTGCTTTATTTTTTTAATTTTTATTTTATTTATTTATTTATTTTTGAGACAGAGTCTTATTCTATCACCCAGGCCAGAGTGCAGTGGCAAGATCTCAGCTTACTGCAACCTCGGCCTCCAGGGTTCAAGCAATCCTCTTGCCTCAGCCTCCTGAGTAGCTGGGACTACAGGCGTGTGTGCGCCACCATGCCCAGCTAATTTTTGTATTTTTAGTAGAAATGGAGTTTTGCCATGTTTGCCAGGCTGGTCTCGAGCTCTTGACCTCAGGTGATACTCTTGCCTTGGCCTCCAAAGTGCTAGGATTACAGGTGTGAGCCACTGCACCCAGCCATGTGCTAAGTGCTTTAGTAACATCAGTTCCTTCATTCTGACAGCAACTCTATGAGACAGCTATTATCTGCAGTTTATAGATAAGGAAACTGACCCTTGGATAAGTGAATTAACGTATACAGTCATAAACTATTGAAAAAGTCAGGCTGCTAGCCCCATATGACTGATTAAACACTTTGCTTTTGTCTCTGCGAAGTAAAAGAGAGTCAACCTCAGTCTTGGGTAATGGGAAGAATGAAGAGGAGAGGAATGGCACGGGAAAAGAATTCTAGGATTAAGACATGAGGGGCTGGGCATGGTGGCTCAAGCCTGTAATCCCACCACTTTGGGAGGCTGTGGCAGGTGGATTGCTTGAGCTCAGGAGTTCGAGACCAGCCTGGGCAACATGGAAAAACCCCGTCTCTACTAAAAAATACAAAAAAATTAGTTGGGCATGGTGACATGCACCTTTAGTCCCAGCTACTCAGGAAGCTGAGGTGGAAAGACAGCTTGAGCCTGGGAGGCAGAGGTTGCAGTGAGCCGAGATTGCGCCACTACACTCCAGGCTGGGTGACAGCGCCAGACCCTGTCTCAAAAAAAAAAAAAAAAAAGACATGAAGACTTGTGTTTATAAACCAGACTTATTGTGCATGGATTTTTTAGACATAAGAAAAACCATGAATTAATAACAATAACTTCTTTACAGCATCTGGTCTTTTGCCTTGAATCCATCTACTTTCCTCAGACAAACCAGATGCTATCATTCTTGTGCTGTAAACTCTTCAACAACGCCCTAGTGACCTAGGGGTATAGCCCAAACTTTCACTCAGGGAACAGTATTCTTCACTGGCCCCCATCCATCTCTTTAGCCATCTGCTCCACCACACTTTTTTTTTTTTTTTTTTTGAGACAGAGTCTTGCTCTGTCGCCCAAGCTGGAGTGCAGTGGCGCGATCTTGGCAAACTGCAAGCTCCACCTCCCAGGTTCACGCCATTCTCCTGCCTCAGCCTCCCTAGTAGCTGGGACTACAGGCTAATTTTTTGTATTTTTAGTGTAGATGGGGTTTCACCGTGTTAGCCAGGATGGTCTTGATCTCCTGACCTTGTGATCCACCCATCTCGGCCTCCCAAAGTGCTGGGATTACAGGCATGAGCCACCACACCTGGCTTTCTCTGTCTTTATTGGGTAGCCACCTCTGAGCTCTAACAATTGTTCCGATGTCTAAATGCAAACCCAATGTTGTCTTATCTCCTAGATTTTCAAAAGAAGTCAGAAATCTGGATTGCAAATAAAATCTACCTGTTTTAGGCCAGGTGCAGTGGCTCACACCTGTAATCCCAGCACTTTGGGAGGCCGAGGCAGGTGGATCACTTTAGGTCAGGAGTTCAAAACCAGCCTCATCAACATGGTGAAACCCCCTCTCTACTAAAAATACAAAAATTAGCTGGGTGTGGTGGCACATGCCTGTAGTCCCAGCTACTCGGGAGGCTGAGGCAGGAGAATCACTTGAACCCAGGAGATGGAGGTTGCAGTGAGCTGAGATTGCACCACTGCACTCCAGCCTGGGCAACAGAGTGAGACTCTGTCTCAGAAAAAAAAAAAAAAATTATGACCATGAATCTCAGGTGAGCTTTACTGCTGCTGAACAATTAATAACTCTCTAATCCAGTCATTCTCCCACTCTTCATGAAAACTACAACACATTTTTTCTTTTCATATCCAAGTTCTAGCAACTCCCTCCCCATCTTCACTGTCAGATGGTGACTTTGTTTCTTATCTCACTGAGGAAATGGAAGGAATCAAACGAACTTGTTTTTTGTTTGTTTGTTTGACGGAGTTTTGCTCTTGTTGCCCAGGCTGGAGTGCAATGGCGCGATCTCGGCTCACCGCAATCTCCACCTCCCAGGTTCAAGCGATTTTCCTGCCTCAGCCTCCCGAGTAGCTGGGATTACAAGCATGTGCCACCACGCCTGGATAATTTTTTTTGTATTTTTAGTAGAGACAAGGTTTCTCCATGTTAGTCACACTGGTCTCGAACTCCCGACCTCAGGTGATCCACCCTGCTTGGACTCCCAAAGTGCTGGGATTACAGGCGTGAGCCACCATGCCCAGCCCAAAAAAACTTCTACAAGCTCCCACCACTATGTCTACCCACCTAGTTGTGACTGGGACCAAATCATCTATTCACCCTACTGAAATTAGTGATGAATTATCCCTGCTCCCATCAAAAGCCGACTCCTCCCGTGTGAAGTAGACCCCATTCCTTCTCACCTACTGCATTAGGGTGAATGGTGGTCCCCCAAAATGTATTTCAGGTCCTAATATCCAGAACCTATGAATGTGACCTTATTTGGGAAAAGGGGATTTGCAGATGTCATTAAATTTTTTTTTTTGCGGGGGGAATGAAGTCTCACTCTGTCACCCAGGCTGGAATACAGTGGCACGATCTCGGCCCACTGCAACCTCTGCCTCCCAGGTTCAAGCGATTCTCCTGCCTCAGTCTCCAGAGTAGCTGGAATTACAGGCGCCTGCCACCAACATCTGGCTAATTTTTGTATTTTTAGTAGTAGAGATGGGGTTTCACCATGTTGGCCAGGCTGGTCTCAAACTGCTGACCTCAGGTGACCCGCCCACCTTAGCTTCCCAAAGTTCTGAGATTACGGGTGTGAGCCACCACACCTGTCATTAAGTTAATGATCTTGAGATGAGATCATCCTAGGTTACCTGGGGAGGCCCTAAATCCAATGACAGTGTCCTAGTAAGAGAAAAGCAGAAGGAGATTTAAAACAGACAGAAGAGTAGAACGCACACAGAGGAGAAGCCAATGTGAAGGCAGAAAAGAGAGAGATGCATCCACAAGCCAAGGAATGCCAGCAGCTGCCAGAAGCCAGAAGAGGCAAGGAAAAAATTTTCCCCTAGAGCCTACAGAGGGAGTACATCTCTGCTAACATCTTGAGTTCAGATTTCTGGCTTCTAGAATTCTGAGAGAGTAAGTTTTTGTTGTTTTAAGCCACCAAATTTGTGGCAATCTGTTATGGTGGCCCTAGAAAACTAATATACCTGCTTGGGTATATCATTACAATTTTCTCCCCTCCTTCCTCCATCATCAGTTTTTTTCCTCTCTACTGGGGCATTCTCACCAGCATACAAACATAGTTATTTCTTCTGTCTTTTTTTTTTTTTTTTTTTGAGACAGACTCTTACTCTGTCACGCAGGCTGGAATGTAGCGGCATGACACTGCAACCTCCGCCTCCTGGGTTCAAGTGATTCTCCTGCCTCAGCCTCCCAAGTAGTTGGTGCCTGCCACCACACCAGGCAAATTTTTGTATTTTTTGGTAGGGATGGGGTTTCACTGTGTTGGCCAGGCTGGTCTCGAACTTCTGGCCACAAGTGATCCACCAGCCTCAGCCTCCCAAAGTGCTGGGATTACAGACTTGAGCCACCATGCCTGCCCTATATTTCTTCCATCTTGAATAGAAGAAAAAAACTCTCTTGACTTTACTTCCACCTCTAGATGCCACCCTGTTTTTTGTCATCCTTCATAACAAAGCTATTTGAAAGAATTGCTTATCGTCACTGTCTCAATTCTGTCCATTTTTTCCTGAAACCCATTCCACTGAGACTACTCCACCCAGTCAAGGTCACCATTGACCTCCACATTGCTACATTTAGGGTCCATTATCAGTTCTCCTTTTACTTGACCTCTCAGCCACATTTGACACAACTTTTGTCATCTTTCTTCTTGGAACACTTTCTTTACTTGGATTCTAGGAAACTGCACTCTACACTCACTCCTTAGTGATCTCATCTAATCTCAAGGCTTTAAACACCATCTACACATAGATAACTCCAAGTTTATACTTCCAGTCCAGACTTTCCCTCTGAACTCCAGACTCATGTAAACAAACTTCCTACTTGACACTGGCATTTGGATGTCTAATAGGCATCTCTACCTTATTATGCCCAAAACTGAGCTGCTGGACTTCTAAAAATTCTACTATTCCACAGTTTCCTAGATTTCAATTGTCCAGGCAGAAACCTTATATTTATCTCTGACTTCTCCCTTTTTTTTCACCCCACATCCAATTTATCAGGAAAACCTGTTGGTTCTACCTTCAAAATATAATCCAGAACCTACTTCTTACTGCCTTCACTGCCTCCATCCTAGTCCAAACCACCATCATTTCTCCTGCATTCCTGCAAGAACCTCCTAAATTCTTACTTGTTCACCTGCCCTCTGCCCCTGCCCTACCTCAGTCCATTTTTCAATGCAGTAGCCAATGATCTTGTAAAATGTGAGTCACATCGTGGCTCTCCTCCGTTCAAAACCCTCCAATTGTTCCCCATTCCTCCCAGAATGTAAGCAAAAGTTTTTACAGGGCCAGGAGTGGTGGTGCACACCTGTAGTCCCAGCTACTTGGGAGGCTGAGATGGGAAAACTGCTTGAGCTCAGGAGGTTGAGGCTGCACTGAACCGTGTTTGTTACACTGCACTCCAGCCTGGGTGACAGAGTGAAACCCTGTCTCAAGAAAAAAAAGTCTCTACCATGGCCCACAAGACCTACACCGTCTACTCCCCTCATCCCACTGACTTCATTTTCCTCTTCTCTCCAACTCACTAACTTCACAGGAAAAATAGTCTCCTTGCTGTTCCTTGAACATGCCAGAGACACTGTCACCTCAGAACTTTTGCACTGGCCATTTCCTTTGCCTGGATTGTTCTTCCTCTACTTATCCTTATGGCTCTTCTCCTCATCTCAATAAGACTTATTTTTTTTTTTTTTAAGACAGGGGTCTTGTTCTGTCACCCAGGCTGGAATGCAGTGGGATGATCATAGCTGTCTGCAACCTCGAACTCCTGGGCTCAAACAATTCTCCTGCCCCAGCCTCCTGAGTAGCTGGGACTATAGATGCACATCATCGTTCTGGCTAATTTTTTATTTTCATTTTTGTAGAGACAAGGTCTCGCTATATTGCCTAGGATGGTCTCAAACTCCTGGCCTCAAGTCATCCTCCCTCCTGGTCCCCCAAAGTGCTGGGATGATAGGCATGAGCCACATGGCTCACCAATGAGGCCTCCTTGAACCATCTCATTAATACTGCCACTTATTTTCCCCCGGCACTCTCAATGCCCCTTACCCTGCTCTGTCTTTTTTAAAATTTAGCACATTTTAATATATTATATTATTTATTTTCTTAAACCCTCTTAATTCACAAGGTAGTCTTATTCTCAGATGTATTCTCAGCACAACGTCTAGAACATAGTAGTTGCTCAATAAATATTTGTTGATTGGATCAAACCTTCAGGATCTAACCAAAGATCCATATGACTTGGAATACCTTCATTGATTAACATTTTACTGTTTTGTTGGATGTGGAGAGTGTAGTAATTCTCATTTCTCATATCAAAGTTAAAAGATCTTGAGAATATTTCCTGAACCTCCTTAACTTCCCTTTCACAACCCATTATAAAGTGACCACCTATCAAAACCTTGCTAGATCCTATTTGTATTCAAGTTATACAATAATATTCTTGGGGTAATGGGTGTCCCATACTACTTTCCGTTTATGGTATGTTGACACCAGCTAAATCTCAGCTTTTATGGACTTTGAGCTCATCTAATCCTCTTCCTAAGCTACTAAAGAGTATTTTTTTTTCTTTTTTCTTTTTTTTTTTGTTTGAGACTGGGTCTTGCCCTGTCACCCAAGTTGGTGTGCAGAAGAAGCACAATTGTAGTCTACTGTAACCTAGAACACCTGGACTCAAGCAATCCTCCCACTTCAGCCTCCTGAGTAGCTGGGACTACAGGCGTGTGCCACCACATCTGGCTAATTAAAAGAAATTTTTGTAGAGACGGGGGTCTCACTGTGTTGTCCAAGCTGCTCTTGAACTCTAGAACCCAAGGGATCCTCCCACCTTGGCCTCCCAAAGTGTTGGGATTACAGGCATGAGCCACCATGCTCAGCCCCAAGCTAAAGAGAATTAGTCACAGTTTATCCTCATGGAAAAATACCTCTGCTATTTTAATTCTTTAGTTGCTCTTATTTAAATCTTTCCAAATTTGTATGCCTTTCTGAGTTTCTGGTAACTGATATTTTAAGTGTAGCAACATGCTTCTAGCTCTCTCTTTCTATGTTTTGTTTTGTTTTCCCCTGAGCAATCTTGACCCAAGCCCAGAGTCCATGGAAGTTCAAGGGTGGGCATCAGGGAGTATATTTGTTAGGGTGGACAAAACTGAAATAAAAAATAAGTAAACCTGCTGGCGCGGTGGCTCATGCCTATAATCCCAGCTGTTTGGGAGGCCAAGGTGGGTGGATCACTTGAGGCCAGGAGTTCAAGACCAGCCTGGGCAACATGGTGAAACCCCGTCTCTACTAAAAATACAAAAATTAGCCAGGTGCAGCGGTGAGCCCCTGTAATCCCAGTTATTCAAGAGACTGAAGCATAAGATTTGCTTGAACCTGGGAGGCAGAGGTTGCAGTGAGCCAAAATGTGACACTGCACTCCAGCTTGGGTGACAGAGAAAGACTCTGTCTTAAAAAAATAAATAAAACCTAAAATGTCATGCCACAACACAGCAGTTTGTTTGTTTTTTGAGACAGAGTATTTTTTTATATTTTATATATTTTATATATATATATATATATATATATATATATATATATATATATATATATATATATATTTTGAGATGGAGTTTCACTCTGTCGCCCAGGCTGGAGTGCAGTGGTGCAATTTCGGCTCACTGCAACTTCTGCCTCTGGGTTCAAGCAATTCTCGTGCCTCAGCTTCCTGAGTAGCTGGGATTACAGGCACCTGCCACCACACCCAGCTAATTTTTTGTATTTTTAGTAGAGATGGGGTTTCACCCTGTTGGTTAGTCTGGCTCGAACTCCTGACCTCAGGTGATCCACCTGCCTCGGCCTCCCAAAGTGCTGGGATTACAGGTGTGAGCCACCACGCCTGGCCAAAATATCTACTTTTATTCAATTTATTTTATGTTATTCTGAAAATGTTTTGTAAAGAAAAAGCTTTATCAGTTCAAATTACAAGATTATGGTTTTAGCTCACTTTATGTTTCACTTGGAAGCATGAGATTTTATGATTGGCCCAGCTGGGTCATGGCTGTTGGGACTAAAGTTTAGGGCCTGTTACCAAAAGAAGATGCCACTACATATGGTCAGGCAAGGTACAAGAATTATCACACCATGTTATGACATCTGAAAGAATTATTTGATAAGAACTGGGAAAAACCTATTGTAGGGGACAGTGCTGGGGCTCTGCCCATATCCCCCACAGCCTTACAGCTGTAGTGGAGCCAGCACCAGCTGCCAGCATGCTGTCCTAATCCTCTGGCTACTGAAGCCTGCTCTGCTCGATGCAGTGGGTTGGAAGTTATGGGGAATTGAAGATCTTCCAGAAGTCCCTGTTCCTTTGTCTCTTCGGGCAGTGTACGTTCTCTGCTGGCTTCCAGACTTCCTTCAAGTGATTGGGCTCCAGTTATTTTTGCTTGATAAAGCACCCTTCATCAGCAGCTACCTTCCTTTCCTGTCTCAATTCTCTGTCCCCCTGCCGGTGTTTCCTGGGATCACTTCCAGATAAATTGCATATCTCAGGGGCTACTTTAGGGGGAACCCAAACTAAGACACTTCTCTTACTGTTACTGTTTTGCATTTGGTCAGAGTTTAGCACAAGGCCTATGTGTTGGCAACTGTTAAAGTAAGCACAGATCCTCCAAGGAAACTTCTTAGACACTGTGATGATGCCACATTGGGCGATGAGGTGAGGAGTGGCAGGGTCAGCTGTTTCTGTGCTGCAAGTACTGTGAGAAGAAAACAAAAGTAACAACCATGCACTGCTCAGCACTAGCTAGTAGAATGTTTTCCTCCTGGTGTTACTAAATTTAACACATTTAACAAAATCATGCAGTCGACCCATATGAATAGATTCCTGTTGCTCTGACTGGGCCTTAGATATAAATAAGCCCCAAAGAAATGACCTCCAAGTAGATTGTAAGAACTTGGCAAAGATGAAGCTAACTTAGCTAAGGGCAAGTATCAGGGAGAATATATTTATTCTTCCAAAACTCATGCCACATAGACCAATTAAATTGAGGACTCAGCAGCAGCAGGCTCTTAAAGGAAGGTACCAGGCTTGTCACTTTAATCGACCAAGAAGGACTTTCAGGAATAGAAATGAGGAGTGTTTATGCCTTTCATTTTATTTGAATCACTGAATGTAACAGGACACAAAAACTACCCCAACCCATGTGGGATGGTTTTTGCAACAGAAGCACAAAACCAAGACCAAAATGCAGGAACATCTATGGCTGATCATCTTGGACATTGCTGCAGAGAGGGTGGGTATTTCTTTTGACAAGAACTCAAATTTGTGTTTGCTTCCATTTAGAAGCCTTGTCCAAAGCATCCTTCAAGGTTGCCCATCCCAGGGGCACGCAGAAGAAATAACACACAATTTGAAGAAACTTGAAGTCATTGTTTCCTTTACCACCCTCCTCCCATTTCAAAACTCTGTTGGATAGAGCACATTTTATTGGTTCTTTTTCTGCCCATCTCAACTGTTTTGAAAGTTTTACAGCGTGTTTCTATTTCTTTAATATATTTATTTTTAAATGTTTAACAATTTTATATTTATCAAAATATGACATTAATTTTTTTCTTGCATCAGCCTACATCATGCTTTGAGACATTAATCTTACTTAAGAATACACAGTAGGAGCCAGGTGCGGTGGCTCACACCTGTAATCCCAACACTCTAGGAGGCCAAAGGGGAAGGATCACTTGAGTCCAGGAGTTCAAGACCAGCCTCTGCAACATAGGGAGACCCCCTGTCTCTACAAATAATAATAAAAAAATTAGCTGGGCATGGTGGTGCGTGCCTGTGGTCCCAGCTACTTAGGAGGATTAGGCAGGTGGGAGGTCAGGGCTGCAGTGAGTAGTGATCATGGCACTGCACTCCGGCCTGGGTGACAGAGTGAGACCCTGTCTCAAAAACAAACAAAAGGCCAGGGCGCGGTGGCTCATGCCTGTAATCCCAGCACTTTGGGAGGCCAAGGTGGGCGGATCACCTGAGATCGGGAGTTTGAGACTAGCCTGACCAACATGGAGAAAACCCATCTCTACTAAAACAGCAACAACAACAAAATACAAAATTAGCTGGATGTGGTGGCACATGCCTGTAATCCCAGCTACTCAGGAGGCTGAGGTGGGAGAATCGCTTGAACCCAGAAGGCTGAGGTTGCAATAAGCCGAGATCGCACCACTGCACTCCAGCCTGGGCAACAAGAGCAAAACTCTGTCTCAAAAAAAAAAAAAAAAAAAATGCTGGCACGGTGGCTCATGCCTGTAATCCCAGCACTTTGGGAAGCCAAGGTGGGCAAATCGCGAGGTCAGGAGTTTGAGACCAGCCTGACCAACATGGTGAAACCCTGTCTCTACTAAAAATACAAAAAAATTAGCTGGGCGTGGAGGCAGGCGCCTGCAATCCCAGCTACTTGGGAGGCTGAGGCAGGAGAATCGCTTGCACCCGGGAGGCAGAGGTTGCAGTGAGCCGAGATAGCACCACTGCACTCCAGCCCAGGTGACAGTGCGAGACCCTGTCTCAAAATAATAATAATAATAGGGCTGGGTGTGGTGGCTCACACCTGTAATCCCAGCACTTTGGGAGGCCAAGGTGGGCAGATCACGAGGTCAAGAGGTAGAGACCATCCTGGCTAACATGGTGAAACCCCGTCTTTACTAAAAATACGAAAATTAGCCAGGCATGGTGGCATGCGCCTATAGTCCCAGCTACTCAGGAGGCTGAGACAGGAGAATCACTTGAACTCAGGAGGCAGAGGTTGCAGTGAGCTGAGATCGTGTCACTGCACTCCAGCCTGGGTGACCAAGTGAGACTCCGACTCAAAAAAAAATGAATAAAAATTAATAATAATAATAATCCGAATAAAAAGGCTAAAAGACCACATGCAAAACACAGTGATGCAAGATGAACCTGGAGTATCTTGTAATGCCAGGAAGTAAAGACATACTAAAACAAAAACTAAACCCACAATCATGGGGTTTATGTCAAAGGGGCATGGGAGTCAACTGAAAAAGTTTCCAGTGGCCAAAGCTGGAAGAATTTGAGCAACAAAATAAATAAAGTAGTATTGGATTATAACTCAAAGTACAAAATAAATATCCATGAATCCATGTTGACATAAATACATAAATGAATAAATACATGGGGAAGAAGAAAAAAAATCTCCCATACAGAAGAATTCCAAATAAAGTATGTAGAACTCCACTTCTAACAGATGGAGCATAACTCCCACTCTGTCTGTGTGGGCTGTGCTTAGTGACTTCCTTCAAAAGAGTACAGTATGGCTTGGGCATCGTGGCTCATGCCTGTAATCCCAGCACTTTGGGAGGCCAAGGTGGGCAGATCACCTGAGGTCAGGCGTTCGAGACCAGCCTGGCCAACATGGCAAAACCCTGTCTCTGCTAAAAATACAAAAATTAGCCGGGTATGGTGGTGCACACCTGTAGTCCCAGCTACTCGGGAGGCTGAGGCAGAAGACAGGAGAATCACTTGATCCCGGGAGATGAAGGTTGCAGTGAGCTGGGATTGCGCCACTGCACTCCAGAGTGAGACTCTGTTTCAAAAACAAACAAACAAAAAAAGAGTACCTTCACAGTGGAGACAGTTGACAAACACTTCCTCAGGCAGTGAGGTGATCAAGATTGACTCAACAGTAATAAGTCATGCCAATAGTATGTTCCCTTAGTAGTATGTGATGGGAATGGCACTTTATCTCCTTTATCTCCATGCTCCTCCTCCCCAAAACCAATAGCCCCAGTCTGGTTATGAGAAAAAGATCAGACAAATACCAATTAAGTGACAGTCTAAAAATACCTGATCAGCAATTCTCAAAATTGAAAGGTCATCAGAAACTAGGAAAGTATGAAAGACTGTCAGAGGCAGAACCCAAAGAGACAAGATGATTAAATGTAATGGGGTATCCTGGATGGGATCCTGGAACAGAAAAAGGACATTCAGTAACAACTAAGTAAATATGAACAAAATGAGGACTATCATTAATAACAAGCATCAGTATATGTTCATTAATTATGACAAATGTACCATACTAATGTAAGAGGTTAATAGTAGGGGAAACTGGGCGTGGGGCATATGGAGACAATTTGTATTATCTTTTTAATTTTTCTGTGAATCTAAAATTATTCTAATATAAAAGGTTTATTTTAAAAATAGTGATAAACATTGAAACCAGTATGATTTAAAGTTTAAATAATTTGGCCAGGCATGGTGGCTCACACCTGTAATCCCAGCACTTTGGGAGGTCAAGGCTGATGGATCACTTGAGGTCAGGGGTTTGAGACCAGCCTGACCAACATGGTGAAACTCTGTCTCTACTAAAAATGTAAAAATTAGCTGGGCGTGGTGGCACATGCCTGTAGTACCAGCTACTCCAGAGGCAGAGGTGAGAGAATCACTTGAACCCGGGAGGCAGAGGCTGCAGTGAGCCAAGATCATGCCATTGCACTCCAGCCTGGGCAACAGAAGGAGACTCCATCTCAAAAAATAAAATAAAATAAAATAAAATAAAGTTTAAATAATTTGTTCCTCATAGTATAGTGGTTAAATATTTTTAAAAGAAAAAGTTTAAATAATTTGTAATATGATGAAGATAGTTAATGAATTGGTTACTAAAGAAATGTTTAAGTATAAAAAGTAAATATAATTTCAAGTTAAAATATGCTATTTCTACAAAATCTGGGAAGTCATAGGAGAAGGAAGAGGATGGAGAAACGAGGTAAATTGAGAGGTTTCACCCGGGCGTGGAGGCTCATGCTTGCAATCCCAGCACTTTGGGAGGCCAAGGCGGACAGATCACTTGAGGCCAGGAGTTCGAGACCGGCCTGGGCAACATGGCAAAACCCTGTCTCTACCAAAAATACAAAAATTAGCCAGGTGTGGTGGTGCGTACCTATAGTCCCAGCTACTCGGGAGGCCGAGATGGGAGGATCGATTGAGGCCTGGAGGTCGAGGCTACAGTGAGCTATGATTGTGCCACTGAACTCCAGCCTGGGTAACAGAGCAAGAACCTCTATAACTAACTAACTAACTAACTAACTAACTAACTAAATAAATAAATAAATAAATAAATAAATGTAGGTTTCATCCTGTGCTGTGTATAGTTTTTATGGAGAAATATAATTTTTTTAGATATTAGGTGTTAACTGAAATTGTTATAGGACACCTAAATCAATAGAGGAGAAACTGATAAAGCATAATATAGTCAAAACATGAAATATGACAAGAATAAGGCCAATGAGTTATCAATGGTTATAGTAAATATTAAAAGGTTAAATTCTCCTTTAGAAAGAGAAGGCTTGAGACCGGGAGTGGTGGATCACACCTGTAATCCCAGCATTTTGGGAGGCCGAGGCAGGTGGATCACAAGGTCAGGAGATCAAGACCATCCTGGCTATCACACTGAAACCCCATCTCTACTAAAAATACAAAACAATTAGCCGGGCATGGTGGCGGGTGCATGTAGTCCCAGCCACTTGGGAGGCTGAGGCAGGAGAATGGTGTGAACCCGGGAGATGGAGCTTGCAGTGAGCCGAGATCACGCCACTGCATTCCAGCCTGGGCGATAGAGCGAAACTCCGTCTCAAAAAAAAAAAAAATTAAATTAAATTTAAAAAAAAAGAAAGAGAAGGCCTCGCTGGGCACTGTGGCACATGCCTGTAATCCCAGCAGTCTGGCAGGCTGAGGCGGGTGGATCAGTTGAGCTCAGGAGCTTGAGACCGGCCTGAACAACATGGAGAGACCCCCCATCTCCACAAAAAATACAAAAACTAGCCAGGCGTGGTGACAATTGCCTGTAGTCCCGGCCACTCAGGAGCCTGAGGTGGAAGAATTGCTTGAGCCCAGGCGTTAGAGGCTGCAGGTGAGCCGTGATCGTGCCACTCCACTCCAGCCTGGGTGACAGAGTGAGACCCTGGTCAAAATAGAGAGAGGGAGAAGGCTCTCAGAGTGTGGGGGTGGGGGTAGGGGAAGAAAGAAAATGTAGCTCCATAGAATTTTTTTTTATTTTTTATTTATTTTTATTTTTATTTTTTATTTATTTATTTTTGAGACGGAGTCTCGCTCGTCGCCCAGGCCGGAGTGCAGTGGCGCACTGCAAGCTCCGCCTCCCGGGTTCACGCCATTCTCCTGCCTCAGCCTCCCGAGTAGCTGAGACTATAGGCGCCCGCCACCACGCCCGGCTAATTTTTTGTATTTTTAGTAGAGACGGGGTTTCACTGTGTTAGCCAGGATGGTCTCGGTCTCCTGACCTTGTGATCCGCCCGCTTCGGCCTCCCAAAGTGCTGGGATTACAGGCGTGAGCCACCGCGCCCGGCTATTTTTTATTTTTTTGAAATGGAGTCTTGCTCTGTCGCCCTGGCTGGAGAGCCGTGGCGCGATCTCGGCTCAGTGCAGCCTCAGCCTCCGCGTCCCAGGCTTAAGCAATTCTCTGCCTCAGCCTCCCAAGTAGCTGGGATTACAGGCGACCGCCGCCACGCCCGGCTAATTTTTTTGTATTTTTAGTAGAGACGGGGGTTTCACCATCTTGTCCAGGCTGATCTTGAGCTCCTGACCCCAGGTGATCCATCCACCTTGGCCCCCCAAAGTGCCGGGATTACAGGCATGAGCCACGGCGTGCCCGGCCACTCCACAGAATTAATTTACAAAAACACATCAGAAAGAACGTGATTTTTTGAAATTTGAAAATTGTGGGAAGGGCAAAAATATAACAAAAGAATGCACAGTAAATAAAGGCAAAAAAGAAAAAGAAAGCATAGGTGACTCTATTACTAAAGCATGTTATCCTTAACATCTCTATTCTTGTGTTTCTCAGTCAGCTCACACACAACCTGGGTCCTTATCAGGCCTGATTGCAGTTCATTCCACCCTTTGCCCCAGTAAATCTGAGGATTTTGAAAAATGTTTACGTTTTCCAAAAATCCATTCCCTTATTCTTGTCACCTCTTGCCTCGGGCCACTAAATGACTCATTGCAGGTTTCTTGCCTCTGCACATCTTTTCAATCTATGCCACTTCAAGGCCCCACAACTGTCTACCCAAGCACAGCTAATATCAGGCTGTCATGTTTAATTAGAATTGACTAAGACCTGAGGATAGTAATTACAAGTTCACCAGATAGAAAGACTCGATGTTGTGATATGTCATTTACCCCCAAATTAATCAGTGAATTTTATGTAATTCCAACCAAATGAAAAAGAAATTTTATTTTAAGGAAATGACAATGTATTCTAAAATTGCTGTGGAAGAATTCATACATACGAATATCTAAGACTATTTTTAAAAATCAACTGGTACCACTCCTGACCAGAAAGCAAAATGTAACATAAAGTCACAGTAATTAAAGGATTATTTCTGTCATAGGAATAGACAACTACAACAACTGCACAGAACTGAGAGTTGAAAACAGAATAATATATCTGTGAGAATTTAGTTTTATATCTAGCAGGGCACTATTTTCTCTACTTCTTAGTAGTCCAGATTCTTTGGGTTCCTAAATAATTCAAATAGAAACTGTTTTACTGGAAGAAAACCTTAAGAAGTTGTATTAATCATATGGTGTCTACCGTAACATGGGTTCTCGGGAAAATCCTGGGAAGTATGTAGTCCACAGAAAAGATTCTCTAAGTGTTCCTTTTTTTTATTTTTATTTTTTGGTTAGGGGGTGTGGGGACAGAGTCTTGCTCTGTCTCCCAGGCTGGAGTGCAATGGCAAGATCTCTGCTCACTGCAGCCACGCCTCCTGGGTTCAAGCGATTCTTGTGCTTCAGCCATCCGAATAGCCAGGACTAAAGATGAGCACCACCACACCCAGCTAATTTTTGTATTTTTAGTAGAGATGGAGTTTCATCAGGTTGGCTGGGCTGGTCTTGAAATCCTGGCCCTAAGTGATCCGCCTGCCTTGGCTTCCCAAAGTGCGTGAGCGACTGTGCCTGACCTTCTTCCTTTTTTTTTTGGCAGAGTCTCGCTCTGTTGCTCAGGCTAAAGTGCAGTGGCCCAATCTCGGCTCTTTCCAACTTCTGCCTCCTGGGCTCAAAGGATCTTCCCACCTCAGCCTCTAAATAGCTGGGACTACAGGTGTGCACCACCATGCCTGGCTAATTTTTGTATTTTTAGTAGAGATGGGGTTTCCCCATGTTGCCTAGGCTGCTCTCGAACTGGTGAACTCAAGGGATCCGCCTGCCTCAACCTCCCAAAGTACTAGGATAACAGGCATGAGCCACCGTGCCCAGCCTTCTACCTCTTTTTAAAGAGATGATCCTGATATTGTATCTCTAGGGTCCTTATCTCATCCTTTGATTTTCCAAGATTAACAACCTCACCAATACATTCAGCAGTTTTTTAAAAGCTTTTTATTATGAAAAAAAATTCAAACTTAAAAATAGAATCACAGCCAAGCATGGTGGCTCACACGTGTAATCCCAGCACTTTGGGAGGCCAAGGTGGGAGGATTGCTTAAGGCCAGGAGTTCAAGACCAGCTTGGTCAACATGGCGAGACCCCCATCTCTACAAAAAAAAGAAAAAGAAAAAAAAAGAAAGAAGAAAGGAAAGAAAGAAAAGAAAGAAAAGAAAGAAAGAAAGAAAGAAATTAACCAGGCATGATGGTACACGTAGTCCCAGCTCCTCCAGGAGACTGAGTAGAAGAATTCCTTGAGCCCAGGGTTTGGAGGCTGCAGAGAGCTATGATCATGCCACTGCATTAGCACTACAGCCTGGGCAACAGACCAAGACCTCCATCTCAAGGGAAAAAAAAATATACACACACACACAAGCACACACATATGTGTATATTTGTATATTATATATACATTATATATAATATTTATATATTATATAAACATTATATATAATACCTATATACATTATATATACATTCATATATAATATATAATTTATATATTATATAAATTATTATATTAAATTAAATGTAAATACATATTATATATAATTACATAGCTAGACATGGTGGCCTGTGCCTGTAGTTCCAGCTACTTGGAAGGCTGAGGCAGGAGGATCGCATGAGCTCAGGCATTCCAGGCTGTAGTCACTACGATTGCGCTTGTGAATAGCCGCTGCACTCTACCCTGGGCAATGTAACAAGACCTCTTCTCTAAATTTCTTTAAAAAAGGGCTGGGCGCGGTAGCTCACACCTGTAATCCCAGCACTTTGGGAGGCCAAGGCAGGAGAATCACCTGAGGTCAGGAGTTCAACACCAACCTGACCAATATGCAGAAATCCCGTCTCTACTAAAAATACAAAATTAGCCAGACATGGTGGTGTGTGCCTGTAATCCCAGTTACTCGGGAGGCTGAGGCAGGAGAATCATTTGAACCTGGGAGGCAGAGGTTGCAGTGAGCCGAGATCACCCCATTGCACTGGGTAACAAGAGCGAAACTCCCTCTCAAAAAAAAAAAGGGCTGGGTGCAGTGGCTCACACCTGTAATCTCAGCACTTTGGAGGCAAGGTGGGAGAATCACTTGAATCTAGGAGTTCTAGACCAGCCTAGGCAATGTGCGGAAACTCCGTCCCTACAAAGAATTAAAAAAAAAAAAATTAGCCAGGTTTGGTAGCATAGCCTGTAGTCCCAGCTACCCAGATACCCAGAGGCTGAGGTGGGAGGATCACCTGACCCTGGGAGGTCACACCACTGCACTCTTAGCCTGGGTGACAGAGTGAGACTCTTGTCTCAAAAACCAAAAACAAATTATATAAGGAGCCCTCATGTATTCATCACTAGCTTCAAGAATTATCAACGCAAAGTCAGTCTATCTCAATCCTCACTCAAGTCCCTCATCCCTTGGATTGTTTGGAAGTAAATCCCAATCCCAGACATCATATTTTATTCATAAATATATCAATGCAGCCAGGAGCGGTATCCCATGCCTGTAATCCCAGAACTTTGGGAGGCCAAGGCAGGTGGATCACTTGAGGTCAGTAGTTCAAGACCAGCCTGATCAACATGGTGAAACCCCATCTCTACTAAAAATACAAAAATTAGCCGGATATGGTGGCGCGTGCCTGCAATTCCAGCTACTTGGGAGGCTGAGGCGGGAGAATCACTTAAACCTGGGAGGCAGAGGTTGCAGTGAGCCAAGATCATGCCAGCACACTCCAGCCTGGGCAATAGAGTGGTAGAGTGAGACTTTGTCTCCAAAAAAAAAAAAAAAAAAAAAAGTAAATATTTCAATGTGTATCTCTAAAAGATAAGAAGACTTTTATGACAAGTTAGCTAAAATGTACATATTATTAGTGAAACTGTGTTGACAAAACTCCCCCTGACATGGCTTTCTATCTTGATATGGCTTTTTTGTGGGGCTGGAGATCTTTCACAGATTTTTCAGTTTCTTCTATGGGTATTGTTTTATTTTTGATTTCCTATCTCTTTTTGTGTCCATTTTGTTAATTTGAATTTTGCTAAAAATAGATCCATTTCATCAAATTTTCTAATTTATTTTTATGAAATTACATCTAACAAAAGACAATTTAAGATACATCAGGTTAATGCCAAAGGAACCATTGATGACTCAAGAGGGGCATTGGAACAACAAAGGTCATGTGCGGATGAAAGGGGATGGATCCAGGGAACAAGTGGAGGGGCTACCCTTAAATAGGAGCAGACCATCCATCGTATCTGAGGAAAGACAGTTTGTGGGTTCAGATGCATGTAAATGGATTGACTTAATAATCCTGGGGAGAATGGGGGAAGGGATGAGACTACCAGAGGTTAAAGGAGAGAGAAGTTGTGAAATAGTCAGCTCAGACCGGAAGAAAGTAAATTGTCTAAGAAAATGTGGAGGCCTGAGAAGCCATTTGCGAGCTGTGGGTTACAAATCTAAGGAAGGCCTAGGTCAGCAGGGCTGTGTGTTTTCCTCCAGCCGCCATCTTCTGCTCCTATGTTGGCACAGAAGGGAGGAGAGGAGTGGAGTTTAACCAACATTGTGTTTGATCAGACGAGTTTAATGAAGAATGAGAAGGGGAAGGTAGTATACAGAGGAGAGCGATTTTAGTGCTATGGGGAAGTAAAAACGAGGGAGTGATGGAGAGTGAAAAAAATCATTTGTGGTGTAGGTGAAAAAATAGCCATGGCATGAGAGAGTTGTAGGAGAAGCAGTGTCTTCAGTGAATGTCCAGTAGATTTGTCTCATGACAGACTGAGTCCAGAGGGCATGGTGGAAGGGAGACACAGTGGAAGGGTGTGTGGGAGAGTGCTGTACAGACTGTTTCAGGATAGAAATACAAGAGAGGAATAATGGCCTAGAGGCTTCCATTTCTTCTGGATGTTAGTCCCTGCCTATAAATCATGCTGCTCTTTACCTCAGACCTTCTCTCATCCAGGAAAGTGGATTTGCTATTCAAAATCCCCTCACTGAAAGGATTTTCTTTCCTTTAGTCTTCAATGGCCATCTCATTCGCTCTCTCTCTTTTTTTTTTTTTTTTTTTTTTTTTTGAGACAGGATCTCACTGGGTCACCCAGGCTGAAGTGCACTGGTGTGATCTCAGCTCCCTGCAGCCTCCACCTCCTGGGGTCAAGTGATCCTCCCACCTCAGCCTCCCAAATAGCTGGGACTACAGGTGCACGCTACCATGCCAGGCTAATTTTTCGTATTTTTTGTAGAGACGGGGTTTCATCATGTTGCCCAGGCTGTCTCTTTCTCTTCTGTGCTTGCAATGGTAACGCAGTACACTTCTGGTTGGTTCCAAGAAACATTGCAGAGTGAGTTACAAGCCAGGCTTAAATTTTTCTTCCTTTAGTCAAGTGGTCAAAGGGAACTCCCCATGAGGGAAAAGCTGTAGGTTAGGAAGGGGTGGATGTGCATCAAGAGCAGGCATGCTGGAAATGTAAACAACCTGCTCCGGCAACTTACCAGTACCTGTAGGGCCTGCAATTAATGATGTGGTAACATTGGGCTCACCCATCTTTATGGCTTGGTGGCTCTTTTAACTCAGTTCATGATAAGCAGCTCATATCCCAAGGGCACTTGATGTCTATGGTATCTACCAGGCCCCTCTAACAAGGCAAGCACTGTTCCTCAAGTTGAATATAGAAGCAGAGAGTAGAATGGTAGTTACTAGCATCTGGGGTGCTGGAATGGGAGATTGGTGACATAGGCAAAAGATACAAAATTTCAGTTAGGCAGGGGGAATAAGTTAAAAGATCTTTGTACAACATGGTAAGAATAGTTAATAACAATGTATTGTAGTCCTCCTCTTATCCATCAGGAATATGTTCCAAGACCCCCAGTGGATACTTGAAACCACAGGTAGTACTGAACTCTATATATACTATGTTCTTTCCTATACATACATACCTATGAAAAATTTAATTTTATAAATTAGGCACAGTAAGAGATTAACAACAATAATGAATAATAAAATAGAACAATTATAACAACAACAAAACTGTTTCTCAAAGGAAGTTACTTGATGAAGACAGCCTTCTCCACTCAAAATCACAGAGGCCACTCTTGTGATAGTGCCATCAGGGTAGGCCACAGGATCTACGTGGATCTGATATGGACACCTAATTACCAGAGCCTCCACTGGAGCATGTGGACCAAATCACAGAGCTATTTGCTCATTAGTTTGGGAAAGCTGAAGAATCTCTCTGGTTCAGGGACCTATGAACATTTGGCATTCTTTCTTTCTTTCTTTTTTTTTTTTGTTGACACAGAGTCTCGCTCTGTTGCCCAGACTGGAGTGCAGTGGCACAATCTCGGCTCACTGCGACCTCCACCTCCCGGATTCAAGCAATTCTCCTGCCTCAGCCTCTGGACTATCTGGGATTACAGGTGCCCACCACTATGCCCAGCTAATTTTGTTTTGTATTTTTAGTAGAGATGGGGTTTCATCATGTTAGTGAGGCTGGTCTCGAACTCCTGACCTCAAGTGATCCACCTGCCTAGGCCTCCCAAAGTGCTGGGATTACAAACACGAACCACCACGCCCAGGCAAATTTGGCATTCTTTTCACATCACTTAGTAAATTCAGAGTAGCACATCTCAATATGGTATATGTTGTCTCACAAATCCAAAGAGGTCCACCAAACATTGTTCATTTTTCTTAGTGGTAGAAATATAAGATGTGGCAATTTCTTCTTTGCTTTGAAGGGAATATCCCTATGTATATGAACCACTGGGTAGTCAGAAAATTCAACCAGATAAAAAGCCTTCTGAATTTTATTAGGATTTATTTCCTACCCTCAGAGAATAAATATGCATATTATCAGGAACTCTAGGAGACCTCCTGCTTCCATCTTTCCTGATTCTGTCAGCATACTGGCCTCAATATAGTGAAGCCATGTGATGTTTTGCAGGATGAGAAGTTGGTCATCGTCTCTGTGGCCTAAACTATGGCACAGAACCAGAGTGGACATAACTCTGGGCAAAATGTAAAAGTATACTACTTACCCTGTCAGGCAAAAGCAAATGCCCTCCTATGTTCTCTACATACAAAGATACAGAAAAATACATTTGCCAAATAACAAATTACATATCAGATGCTAGGAAGGTTGATTTACTCCAGTAAGAAAACCATGCCTGGTAGAGTGACTGCCATTTAAGTCACCAACTGATGAGCCTTATGGTAATCCATTGTCATTTTTCAAGAACTTTTGTCCTTGTCAATTTTGCTAATTAAATAGGAATGTGTGGTCTGGTGTGGTGGCTCATTGCCTGTAATCCCAGCACTTTGGGAGGTCAAGGTAGGTGGATTGCATGAGTGCAGGAGTTTAAGATCAGCCTGGGAAACATGAGGGAGCCCCATTTCTACAAAAAATACAAAAATTAGCTGGGTGTGGTGGCACATGCTTATATTTCCAGCTACTAGGATGCTGAGGTAGAAGGATCACTTGAACCCAGGAGACTGAGGCTGGAGTGAGCCATGACTGTGCCACTGCACTCCAGCCTGGGTGACAGAGCGAGACCCTGTCTCAAAAAACTAAAAAATAAAGAAATAGGATGCTAGGAAATTTGATTTACTCCAGTAAGAAGACCACATCTAGAAGAGTGACTGTTATTTAAGTCACCAGTTGAAGAACCCTATGGTAATCCATAAGGTCACTCTTATTACCCATGCCTCTTTCAACTTTTGATGTTGGGAAATCTCATGTGGATATAGTGTTTGCCATTTCAGTGGGTAGAAGTAGCTACGAAAGTGTTTACTCAGTCCTTTAAACCATAATATTCTTCATTTCACAAGTCAAGGAATACATATTATGAAATTGTTGAATATATATATTCCAAATCACACTCAGAGCTGGGGAAAAAAACTCCTAGAATACGTTTGGAGTTCTTCTGGGCCTACTGTAAGATGGCTGGAGTGCAGTGGCAAGATTTTGGCTCACTGCAACCTCTGCCTCCTGGGTTCAAGCGATTCTCCTGCCTCAGCCTCCAGAGTATCTGGGATTACAGGCGCTCATCATCACACCTGGCTAATTTTTTCTATTTTTAGTAAAGATGGGGTTTCACCATGTTGGCCAGGCTGGTCTCAAATACTTGGCCTCAAGTAATCTACCCGCCTTGGCCTCCCAAAGTGCTGGAATTACAGGTGTGAGCCACTGTGCCTGGCTGAATCTTCTTATATTTGGACTGTTACTCACTGTGTTAGGCCGTTCTTGCATTACTAAAAATAAATATCTGAGGCTGCATAATATATAAGAAAGAGGTTTAATTGGCTCACAGTTCTACAGGCTGTACAGGAAGCATAGTGCCAGCATCTGTTTCTCCGTGGTGGCCGGCCTAGTCTCCAGCTCCTAACCGGGAGTGATCTGCCAGCCTCGGCCTCCCGAGGTGCCGGGATTGCAGACGGAGTCTCGTTCACTCAGTGCTCAATGTTGCCCAGGCTGGAGTGCAGTGGCGTGATCTCGGCTAGCTACAACCTCCACCTCCCAGCCGCCTGCCTTGGCCTTCCAAAGTGCCGAGATTGCAGCCTCTGCCCGGCCGCCACCCCGTCTGGGAAGTGAGGAGCGTCTCTGCCTGGCCGCCCATCGTCTGGGATGTGAGGAGCTCCTCTGCCCGGCTGCCCAGTCTGGGAAGTGAGGAGCGCCTCTTCCCGGCCGCCATCCCGTCTAGGAAGTGAGGAGTGTCTCTGTCCGGCCGCCCATCGTCTGAGATGTGGGGAGCGCCTCTGCCCCGCCGCCCCGTCTGGGATGTGAGGAGCGCCTCTGCCCGGCCGCGACCCCGTCTGGGAGGTGAGGAGCGTCTCTGCCTGGCCACCCCATCTGAGAAGTGAGGAGCCCCTCCGCCCCGCCACGACCCCGTCTGACAAGTGAGAAGCCCCTCCTCCCAGCAGCCGCCCTGTCTGAGAAGTGAGGAGCCCCTCCGCCCGGCAGCCGCCCCATCTGGGAAGTGAGGAGCGTCTCCGCCCGGCAGCCACCCCGTCCGGGAACGGGGGTCAGCCCCCGCCCGGCCAGCCACCCCATCCGGGAGGTGGGGGGCGCCTCTGCCCGGCCGCCACCCCGTCTGGGAGGTGTACCCAACAGCTCATTGAGAATGGGCCATGATGACGATGGCGGTTGTGTCGAATAGAAAAGGGGGAAATGTGGGGAAAAGATAGAGAAATCAGATTGTTGCTGTGTCTGTGTAGAAAGAAGTAGACATAGGAGACTCCATTTTGATCTGGACTAAGAAAAATTCTTCTACCTTGGGATGCTGTTGATCTATGACCTTATCCCCAACCCGGTGCTCTCTGAAACATGTGCTGTGTCCACTCAGGGTTAAATGGATTAAGGGCGGTGCAAGATGTGCTTTGTTAAACAGATGCTTGAAGGCAGCATGCTCGTTAAGAGTCATCACCACTCCCTAATCTCAAGTACCCAGGGACACAAACACTGCAGAAGGCCCCAGGGTCCTTTGCCTAGGAAAACCAGAGACCTTTGTTCACTTGTTTATCTGCTGACCTTCCCTCCACTATTGTCCTATGACCCTGCCAAATCCCCCTCTGCAAGAAACACCCAAAAATGATCAATAAAAATAAATAAATAAATAAATAAATAAATAAACAAAATATGATAAATGTTAAAAAAAAAAAAGAAAGAAAATACACAGTCAGTCAGGTGTGCTGGCTCATGCCTGTAATCACAGTATTTTTGGAGGCCAAGGTGGGAGGATCACTTGAGTCTGGTAGTTCAAAACCAGCCCAGTAGTTTGAGACAAGTAGTTGTAAGACTCTGTCTCTACAAAAAATTCAAAAATTAGCTGAGTGTGGCAGTGTGCACCTGTGGTCCCAGCCACACAGAAGGCTGAGGTGGGAAGATTGCTTGATCCTGGGATGTCAAGGCTGCAGTGAGCCATGTCTGTACCACTGCAGTCTAGCCTGGGCAACAGAGTGAGAATCAGTCTAAAAATTTTTTTTAATTTTTTAAAAATTAAAAAAACACACAGAGGAGGCAAAAGAAAAAAGAATACAAAAGAATGAAGCATGCCTACACAATCCAGAAAATAAATTCAAAAGGGCAATTCTAAGGGCTATTGGCCTTAAACAGAAGGTAGAGAAAAAGATAGGGGTAGAAAGTTTATTCAATGGGATAATAACAGAGAACTTCCCATATCTAAAGAAAGATATCTATGTCCAAGTACAAGAAGGTTATAGAACACCAAGCAGATTTAACCCAAAGAAGCCTACCTCAAGGCATTTAATAATCAAACTCCCAAATGTCAAGGATAAAGAAAGGATTCTAAAGGCAAGAGAAAAAAAACAAATAATACAATAGAGTTCCAATATGTCTGGCAGTGGACTTTTCAGTGGAAACCTTACAAACCTGGAGATGGCATAACATATTTAAAGTGCTGAAGGAAAAAAACTTTTACCCTAGAATAACATATCTGCTGAAACTATCCTTCAAATATGATGGAGAAATAAAGACTTTCTGGCCAGAAGCAGTGGCTCATGCCTGTAATCGCAGCACTTTGGGAGGCTGAAGCGGGCAGATCACCTGAGGTCAAGATTTCAAGACCAGCCTGGCCAACATGGTGAATCCCCATCTCTACTAAAAATACAAAGATTAGCTGGGCGTGGTGGCGGGCACCTGTAGTCCCAGCTACTCTGGAGGCTGAGGCAGGAGAATCGCTTGAACCCAGGAAGCGGAGGTTGCAGTGAGCTGAGATTGCACCAGTGCACTTCCGCCTGGGCAGTAGAGTCAGACTCCGTCTCAACAACAACAAGAAGAAGGAAAGAAGGAAGGAAGGAAGGAAGGAAGGAAGGAAGGAAAGAGAGAGAGAGAGAAAGAAAGAAACAGATTTTCCAAGACAAACAAAAATTGAGGGATTACATCAACACCAGACCTGTCCTACAAAAAATGCTAAAGGGTGTTCTTCAATCTGAAAGAAAACAACGTTAATGAGCAATAAGAGATCACCTGAAGACAAGACTTACTGGTAATAGTAAGTATACAGAAAAACACAGAATATTATAATACTGTGACTGTGATGTGTAAACTACTCGTCTTGAGTAGAAAGATAAAAAGATGAACTGATCTAAAACAACAACGGTGACACCTTTTTAAGACACAGACAGTACAATAAGATATAAATAGAAACAACAAAAAGTTTAAAAGCAGGAGAACACAGTTAAACTGTAGAGTTTTTATTAGTTTTCTTTTTGCTTGTTTGATTGTGAAATAAGTATGAAATTGGCGTCAGTTTGTAATAATGGGTTATAAGACATTATTTGCAAGCCTCATGGTAACTGAGATGTAAAAAACATACAATGGATACTCAAAATATAAAAAAGCAAGAAATTAAAACATGCCACCAGAGAAAATCACCTTCACTAAAAGGAAGACAGGAAAGATGGGAAAAAGGAGAAGAAGACCATAAAACAATCAGAAAACAAGCAACAAAATGGCAGGAATAAGTCCTTACTTATCAATAATAACATTAAATGTAAATAAACTAAACTTTCCAGGCTGGGTGGGGTGGCTCATGCCTGTAATCCCAGCACTTTGGGAGGCTGAGGTGGGTGGATCACCTGAGGTCAAGAATTCCAGAGCAGCCTGACAAATATGGAGAAACCCCATCTCTACTAAAAATACAAAATTAGCCAGGTGTTGTGGCGCATGCCTGTAATCCCAGCTACTTGGGAGGCTGAGGCAGGAAAATCACTTGAACCCAGGAGGCGGAGGTTGCAGTAAGCCGAGATCGAGCCATTGCACTCCAGCCTGGGCAACAAGAGCAAAACTCCGTCTCAAAATAAATAAATAAAAATAAAATAAAATAAAATAAACTTTCCAATTAAAAGACACAGAGTGTGCTTGTAATCCCAGCATTTTGGGAGGCCAAGGTGGGTTGATCACCTGAGGTCAGGAGTTCAAGACCACCTGGCCAAACATGGTGAAATCCCGTCTCTACTAAAAATACAAAAAATAGCTGGGCATGGTGAAAGGCACCTTTAATCCCAGCCTCTTAGGAGGCTGAGACAGGAGAATCGCTTGAACCCGGCAGACAGAGGTTGCAGTGATCCAAGATTGCGCCACTGCACTCCAGCCTGGGCGACAGAGCGAGACTCCAACCCTGGTTACAAGCCAGGCTTGAATTTTGCTTCCTTTGCTCTCCTCTTCCTAAGAGCATTTCCTCTATAAATCACATGCACAGGAATCCTTCTCTCAGGTTCTAGTTTTAGGCAATTCAACCTAAGACAATAATAGGGTTTGGATCTGTGTCCCTACCAAATCTCATGTGAAAATCTAATCCCTGCTTAACTATGGGGAGACATAAAACAAGAAAACAGAAAAAACAAACAAACAAAAGACATGTAATCCCTAGTATTGAAGGTGGGGCCTGGTGGGAAGTGCTTGAATCATGGGGGCCTATCCCTCATGAATGACTTAGCCCCATTCCCTTGGTGATGAGTGAGTGAGTTTTTGTGAGATCTGGTTTCATAAAAGCGTGTGGCACCTCCTCATCAACTCTCTCTCCCTTGCTCCTGCTCTGCCGTGTGAGATACCTGCTCCCCCTTCATCTTCTATTACACTTGTAAGCTTCCTGAGGCCTTCCCAGAAGCAGATGCTGGCACTATGCTTCCTGTACAGCCTGTAGAACTGTGAGCCAATTAAACCTCTTTCTTATATATTATGCAGCCTCAGATATTTATTTTTAGTAATGCAAGAAAGGCCTAACACAGTGAGTAACAGTCCAAATATAAGAAGATTCAGCCAGGCACAGTGGCTCACACCTGTAATTCCAGCACTTTGGGAGGCCAAGGCGGGTAGATTACTTGAGGCCAAGAATTTGAGACCAGCCTGGCCAACATGGTGAAACCCCGTCTTTACTAAAAATAGGAAAAATTAGCCAGGTGTGATGATGAGCGCCTGTAATCCCAGATACTCTGGAGGCTGAGGCAGGAGAATCGCTTGAACCCAGGAGGCAGAGGTTGCAGTGAGCCAAAATCTTGCCACTGCACTCCAGCCTGGGTGACAGAGCAAAACTACATCACAAAAAAAAACAAAAATTAAAAAAAAGAAGATTTATGTTCTGACTGCCCAAATTGAGAAACATCTAGAATGCCTATCTTTATTACAAAAGAAAACAGAATGTGGCTGGGTGCGGTGGCTCATGCCTGTAATCCCAGTACTTTGGAAGGCCGAGGTGGGTGGATCACGAGGAGATGGAGACCATCCTGGCTAACATGGTGAAACCCCGTCTCTACTAAAAAATACAAAAATTTAGCCAGGTGTGGTGGCAGGCGCCTATAGTCCCAGCTACTCAGGAGACTGAGGCAGGAGAATGGCGTGAACCCTGGGAGGCGGAGCTTGCAGTGAACCGAGATTGCGCCACTGCACTGCAGCCTGGGCGACAGAGCGAGACTCCTTCTCAAAAAAAAAAAAAAGAAAAGAAAACAGAATGCATACCCACAATGACTGACTACATATCCTACTCCAGGAACTGTTTCTGTATTTTCAGGACGTTCCAGGAGGGTGGATCTTTTTTTTTTTTTTTTTTTTTAATTTTTGGGACAGGGTCTTGCTATGTTGCTCAGGCTGGTCTCAAACTCTTGAGCTCGGGCAATTCTTCTGCCTCAGCCTCCCAAAGTGCTGAGATTAAGAGTGTGAGCCACCACACCCAGCCAATCCTATCTTTTTTTTTTTAATGCTTGATTAATTTTATTGCTGTGAATGCATTTGTTATTTACTCTACATTATTTTAATTCTGATGCTAAGGCCATCCATTGTCTTTTGTTAAGAGTCAAACAAAATTTTAGTAACCAAAACATATTTTCAATAAAATTTTATATGTACATATGTAGATAAACAACAAAACAGTACCAATAACCTATGTAAGATTTCATCATACAATTTCTATGCAAGCTGCTTGATTACAGAAAACTGTTCAAACTGTTCATCAAAAACTGGGGGGTGATTTTTCATTGATATTTCAGACATTCAATCAATACAACCTATATTCTGAGTATCAACCTGAACAGCACAGGTTAAGATGTGAACTCCTGACATCGTGTTGAAGTTGTGTTGCAATCTGTACTTGAATTGGCATTGCATTTCCTCAGAGTTAAGGTGCCTTCGTGAGAAATATCTTCTATTCCTGAGAGATCACTACATAAAGATGGCTCATCAACTAAATCACATTGGTCAAAATACCTGCTAAGCAAGCAAAGTAATAAATTCAAAGCAGGAACCTTCTCATCATCTTTGCTCTCCCCTAAGAGCCTCACTTCAGAACACCTTGCAAGCTGCCGAATCAATGAATGAGCCTGAGGTAATAAAGGCTTTTCCAGACAAGTCAATAAAGCATAAAGCATCTTCCTTGTGCAGAATCTACTCCGGGACTTTCAACTGTGGCTGATCCAACAGCCCCGTCAGCACATAACTTTTCACCCAGAGAAAATTTCTTCCAGCCTTCTTCATCTTCAGATTCTGGCATAGTCACATTACTATCCAACTGTTGTGATTTCCAGTGACTTCTATGTTTGTTCACATTCTGTCGAACAGTTGAAAACAGTGCCACTTGTTGCTGTTGCCACCGAAGTGTTGGGGAATAACCTTCAGTGGCTGGTTGGCATCCTGAAAGAAAAATATTAACACTTTGCTTCCTTTTCAACTTCCTTTTTTTTTTTTTTTGAGACGGAGTTTGGCTCTTGTTGCCCAGGCTGGAGTGCAATGGCACAATCTCAGCTCACTGCAACCTCCACCTCCCAGGTTCAAGCAATTGTCCTGCCTCAGCCTCCCGAGAAGCTGGGATTACAGGTGCACACCACCATGGCAGGCTAATTTTTTGTATTTTTAGTAGAGATGGGGTTTCACCACGTTGGCCAGGCTGGTCTCGAACTCCTGACCTCGTGATCTGCCCACCTCGGCCTCCCAAAGTGCTGGGATTACAGGCATGAGCCACTGCTCCCGGCCTTGCTTTTCAATTCTTTGGGTCAATTTGTGCTACCACAACATCTGGACATTGAGCTGCTTGGATCTGGACCCACCTCAGGCATTCCTGAGGGGTCCTCAGGGGTACTGAGGGATCAAAACCTTCCATCAAGTTGCAGAGCTCTACCGGCAATAGCCAAGGCATCAACTCTTCCATTGCAGACTCCGCTGGTATCCAAACCATGGTTTTCAAACCACCCGATCCTATCTTTTTGATCACTGATTTAGATTCAGGCTAATATAGTGTCCAACACATAGTAGATCCTCAATATATATTTGTTGAATAAAGGGATGGAGAATACATAGGAATCCTTACATTCTACTTTTAATTTTTTCTTTCTTTTTTTTTTTTTAAGACAGACTCTGGCTCTGTTGCTCAGGCCAGAGTGCAGTTGCACGATCTCAGTTCATTGCAACCTCCACCTCCTGGGTTCAAGCGATTCTCTTGCCTCAGCCTCCTAAGTAGCTGGGATTATAGGCATGCGCCACCACGCCCGGCTAATTTTTGTATTTTTAGTAGAGCCTGGGTTTCACCAAGCTGACAACGCTGGTCTTGAATTGCTGACCTCAGGTGATCTGCCCAAAGTGCTGGGATTACAAGTGTGAGCCACTGTGCCCGGCCAGATTCTGCTTTTAAATTGATGTGGATTCCAGAGAGTACTGATGGAAGACTTTTTCTCTAATCATAACCTGATTTTCTCCACCCATAGCCAGGCCATTAGAGCAGCCCAGTGCCTCAGTTATTCAACTCTAAATGACTCCTCATTACACACACTACACTGTCTTGTCTTAACCATTTCCCCCTTTTATGTCTTCATTATCATCTCTGTCCCCTCATTCTCTGCGGATAATTTTTCTTCCTTCTTTGTTATAAAAATTTAAAACAAAATTATTAAGAACCATCTCCAACTAGTGCAAAAATAGAGCTCCATGGAGCAAAATTAATAAGCTAGAAACAGACCTTAATGCATATATCAAAAAGTCGGTCTATAATGAGGAAGGCATCACAAGTTTCTGAGGAAAGGGAGAATTTTAGTGCTGGGATAATTGGCTAAGTATTCTAAGGGGTAATAAAATTATGTCCTAATTTCCCAATGTTCACCAAAATAAATTCCAGATGGATTAAATAATCTTATGTAAAAATTGAAAGAATAAAAGTAGAAAAATAAGCAAATATCTACTCTCCAAATGAAAAATGCCATTCTAAGCTTAATAATTTTTTTTTTTTTTTTTAGACAGTGTCTTGCTGTGTTGCCCAGGCTGGAGTGCAGTGGCGCAATCTCAGCTCACTGCAACCTCTGTCTCCCGGGCTCAAGGAATCCTCCTGCCTCAGCCTGTTGAGTAACTGGACTATAGGCTTGCACCAACACACCCGGGTTTTTCTTTGTATTTTTGGTAGAGATGGGCTTTTGCTATATTGCCCAGGCTGGTCTCGAACTCCTGAGCTCAAGCGATCTGCCCACTTCAGCCTCTCAAAGTGCTGGGATTAGAGGCGCAAGCCACTGTGCCTGACCAATAATAATGTTTTTAAAGCCACAGAGGAAATGTTAAACTGTTGGCACCACCCTATCACATAGGAATTTATCCTCAGACAAAAAACCTGACATGCTTGCCAAGATTGATGTATAAGAATGTTCTTTTCAGTGTTAACTCTGTACCAGGAAAGAGGAAAGGAAACTAGCTTTTATTCTGGACAAGGAGAGAGCACCTCTCCCTTGTCCTATTGGAGATTGTTCAGGGAGGCTGACCTAATAGTTTGGCCTGAATTTGTAAGAGAAAACTTTAAATTATAATAATCTGCAAATTCTTTGAATTGCTGAAGGTAAATATCAGGGATGGGAGACATTTGTTTAGGAAAACTCTTTAATGATGTTTGCAGATAACAGATTAGGTCAGTTTCATCTAGAGGGAAGTGATTAATAGAGATTTCAAATGCTGCCCCAGACTACATAATAGGACTTATAAATAATTTTTCCCTGAAGACAAGGAAGAAAGAGGGGGAAGTCCAAGACTGGGTAGAAGAGGTGAGAAGGGAAAATAGAAAGAGCTTCAGGCAGAGCCCTAGGTTACCTGTGAGTGTGAGGCATCACGCTTACATGTATATATATGTGTATACCTATATACATATACAAATGTATATGCAAACAGTTCTTTTAAAAGAACTATTGAAGAAAATCAGAATATATGTATTCATATGTGTATAATGCATATATGTGTATATATATGTACACATTTACATATCTGTAATGTATAGGTATATACACATATATACACATGTATACATTATAGATATTTTATATATTACATGTGTATATACACACATATAATTGTATACACACATATATAATTTTAAAATAAGCATTTAAATCATATGATGTACAGGCCGAGTGTGGTGGCTCACACCTGTAATCCCAGCATTTTGGGAGACCAAGGCAGGCAGATCACTTGAGGTCAGCAGTTGGAGACAAGCCTGACTAACATGGTAAAACTCCGTATCTACTAAAAAATACAAAAATTAGCCAGGTGTGGGTGGTGCGTGCTTGTAGTCCCAACTACTTGGGAGACTGCAGCAGGAGAATCACTTGAACCCGGGAGGTGGAGGTTGCAGTGACCCGAGATCATATCACTTCCTAGAAGTGGAATTGCTGGATTGAATGGGGATGTGCATTTGCCATTTTCATGAATACTGCCAAATTGCTCTCCCATCAGCACTGTGCAAGTGCCTGCTTTCTACTACCCTTACCATCACCATGTTTAATACTCAATTTTAAGTTGTTTTCTTTCTATGCTGCAACTTCTCTCTGTTATTGCCACACATTCAGTAAAAGTATGTGTCACAGAGTAACATGGGCTTTGGGGAATGAAGAAGGAGAAGGAAAGTACTTTTAAAGGTGCTGTTGAAGAAGATCAGAACATGCCATCCCAAAACATGCCACTTAGACATATCGACTATTTTGAACTGAAGGCAACTGAGAGACAGCTGATTTCAGGGTCATGCTTGTTAATACTTGGATGAGAGAAACAGCAGATGCAGGAAGTGTTCCCTAACCTCCTCTTTCTACCTAAAAGGAGGGCATAAATTTCCTGCCAGAAAGTTACCCTCTCTGCACCAGGAAAAAGAGAACATTCTTATCAATGGTGGTGGGGAATTGACACCAACATGAATCTGTTGAAACAAACCTTACTAAAATAATACATCTGGCTGGGTGCAGTGGCTCATACCTGTAATCCCAACACTTTAGGAGGCTGAGATGGGTTGATCACTTGAGGCTAGGAGTTCAGGACCACCCTGGTCAACATGCGGAAACCCTATCTCTACCAAAAATACAGAAATTATTCAGGTGTGGTGGCACACATGTGTAGGCCCAGCTACTCGAGAAGCTGAGGCAGGAGAATTGCTTGAACCCGGGAGGCAGAGGTTGCAGGGAGCTCAGATTATGCCACTGCACTCCAGCCTGTGTGACAGAGTGAGACTGCCCCTTAGCTCAAATCTCTTTTTCCATTGCCTCTTCATGTTTCTACATTTTATTGCTCTTTGTTAAAATGATATATAAGCCCCTGGGTCTAGTCATTTATTTGAGTCTTCCTTTCTTTTCTACGAAGGCCTCCATGTGCACATAAAATTTAGAATATTATCAAACAAAATTTGTATGCTTTTCTCCTGTTAATCTGTCTTTGGTCAGTGAAAGTCACAGGTCTCAGTCACAGAACTTATAAGAATAGAGGAAAAAAAGGTCCCCTTCTACACTGTCAAATGTGTGAGGGGAAGCAGGGTCAGATGAGACTAGCATGTGCTAGAGATAAGATGATGAGAAGGAAGCAAGACTTAAGGAATTTGTTGTGAGAAAAGACCAAAAAATATTATTTCCCTGAAAATCCAGTCTACTCTGGAGTTGCCAAGTATGTGCAATGGATGCTGGAATCATTAATATGGTTATTAAAGGAAAAAGACATCCCAGAAGGCCACAGATTTTAAGGACTCTTAGGTTGTTATTATAAGGGTGAAAATCTCCCATCCAAGAGGGAGACGGTGTCTGGCTCTTCCAGTGTATTCACTAATACACTAGTGCTGGAAGAATTATCGTGCTACTTCCCAGGTCTTCCAGAGTAAACGGGAGCATCAGTCTTGAAGCTCCCAGCCTCCAGTTTCTGTCTTTAGGAGAATCCATTCCCTGAGTTGGTAATCTGAGAGTGGAGCACGCTATATCCTAAAGAGGACTGGAGACCCCATGACATCATAGCCAGCTTTACAACCTGGAAGAGCACCATGGAAACCATCTCCTGCCTTCTAAATTTATGCCCCTGGCTAGTGGATTTTTGCCTTCTATTTCATTAATTTCTGCTTTTATCTTTGGTAATGCTTTTCTTCCGTTTCCACTGTGATCATTTTTGTTGTTATTTTTCTTTTTCTCTTTTTCTTTTTTTTTGTTTTTGTTTGTTTGTTTGTTTGTTTTTGAGATGGAGTCTCACTCTGTTGCCTAGGCTGGAGTGCAGTGGCATTATCTCGGCTCACTGCAACCTCCGCCTCCTAGGTTCAAGTGATTCTCTTGCCTCAGCCTCCAGAGTAGCTGGGATCACAGGCACCTGCAACCACACCTAGCTAATTTTTATATTTTTAGTAGAGAGATGGTTTCAGCATGTTGGCCAGGCTGGTCTCCAACTCCTGACCTCAAGTGATCTGCCGCCTCAGCCTTCCAAAGTGTTGGGATTACAGGCATGAGCGACCGCGTCCAGCCTTGTTGTTATTTTTCTAAGCTCACTGTCTTGAAACTAAATCCAATATGTAATTGGCAAATTCATAACCATAATGAGCAACTTCAAAACACCTTTCTCAGGAACTGACAGAGTAAGTAGGACAATGCCACATAAAAAGAGGGTTTAGAAGATTTGTACATGTCAGTTAATAAGCTTGAAAATATGCATATGATATTTGGAACTCAACAAATAAGAAATACTTCTTCTTTCCAAACTCTTGTGGTACATTAAAAAAAATAGTAGCCATTCGTTAGACCACAAAGAGAATTTCAGTAAATTCCAAAACCCAAATAACATATAGGCTAATAACAAAATCTATTTGACTGCTAATTAAAAAAAAAAAAGACTTTTAAATGTCTTGATCAAAAATAAAACGTGGCCGGGTGTGGTGGCTCATGCCTGTAATCCCAGCACTTTGGGAGGCCAAGGCGGGCAGATAGCGAGGTCAGGAGTTTGAGACCAGCCTGGCCAAGGTGGTGAAACCCCGTCTCTACTAAAAATACAAAAATTAGCTGGGTGTGGTGGTGGGCGCTTGTAATCCCAGCTACTTGGGAGGCTGAGGCAGGAGAATCACTTGAACCTGGGAGGCGGAGGTTGCGGTAAGCCGAGATTGTGCTATTGCACTTCCGCCTGGGCAACAAGAGTGAAACTTCATCTAAAATAAAATAAAATAAAATAAAATGAAATGCAAGCTCTGGTAAACAAGAATTTGGTAAAAAGTAAAATAAAAATATGCAAACTATGGGTACCATGCCTTTTCACTTGCTTTTGGTGATATTAATTATAATTGTTAAAGTTTTTCACTTGCTTTCTTCATTGATTTTTTAGTTATCTGAGTTACTGGTTTGCTTATTTTAATGGCTTTCATGTTAGAGTCTTTCCTCACATATCTTGATATTTCTCTCTTTTTTTATTTTTTCTTGAGACGGAGTTTCACTCTTGTTGCCCAGGCTGGAGTGCAATGGGGCGATCTCGGCTCACTGCAACCTCTGCCTTCTGGGTTCAAGCGATTCTCCTGCCTCAGCCTCCTGAGTAGCTGGGATTACAGGCATACGCCATCATTCCTGGCTAATTTTGCATTTTTAGTAGAGACAGGGTTTCACCATGCTGGCCAGGCTGGTCTTGAACTCTCGACCTCAGGTGATCTGCCTGCCTTGGCCTCCCAAAGTGCTGGGATTACAGACATGAGCTACCATGCCCAGCCACATATCTTGATATTTCTGACTATGTGTTCACATATATAATAGTAAGGCACTAAAAGGCTCATTCAGTGTTTGCTGCACATTTGGGGGGTTTATTGATTGGTAAACTTCATTTTATGATGATGAGGTAGTGAATTTTTTTTTAAATGACTTCTAGAAGCATAGTTTGTTTTTTTTGTTTGCTTGTTTGTTTTTTTGAGACGGAGTTTCGCTCTTGTTGCCCAGGCCGGAGTGCAATGGCGCGATCTCGGCTCACCGCAAACTCTGCCTCTCGGGTTCAAGCGATTCTCCTGCCTCAGCCTCCCAAGTAGCTGGGATTATGGGCATGTGCCACCACACCTGGCTAATTTTGTATTTTTTGTAGAGACGGGGTTTCTCCATGTTGGTCAGGCTGGTCTTGAACTCCCGACCTCAGGTGATCAGCCCGCCTTTGCCTCCCAAAGTGCTGGGATTACACGCATGAGCCACTGTGCCCAGTCCTGTTTTTTTTGTTTGTTTGTTTTTGTTTTATTTTTAAATTAGGAAACGTGGCTGGATGCTGTGGAGGCTCAAGCCTGTAATCCCAGCACTTTGGGAGGCCTAGGCGGGTGAATCACTTGAGCTCATGAATTCAAGAACAGACTGGGCAACATGGCAAAAACCCATCTCTCCAAAAAATACAAAAATTAGCTGGGCATCGTGGCATACACCGGTAGTCCCAGCTATTTGGGACACTGAGATGGAAGGATCACTTGAGCACAGTAGGCAGAGGTTGCAGCCAGCTGAGATCACGCCATGCACTCCAGCCTGGTCGACAGAGCCAGACCTTGTCTCAAAAAAACAAAACAAAACAAAACAAAAAATAGGAAATATTCTCTTTTGCCAGATGTCAGTATTTCTTGTACAAGTCTCTTTCTCACTAAATAATATTACAATTTTTAATTGAAGATTAGAAGACTAATTGCCATTATGTTTGCAGGAAAGGGGGCTAAGGAAAGGCTCTGTGGTTCAAAAGGCAGATTTTCACTCATTCTCCACTGTCCCAAGCCTTTTGTTCATATTGTTTAGAAAGTATTTCCATGTTTTACCTTGAAGGCAAATGTTACTACATGGAGAAACTTGCCTTGGGTGATGAGGTCTGCTGGTATTAAAGGTGGAATTCTTTTCATCCATTAACAAGATGAGGATAAATGCTCCAGGACTAACATGTTAGTGGCTGAGTTGCAGTTGCTGTGAATCCTCTGTCTAAAGTCAAGTGCTTTTTCTGTGTTCCAAAAAATGCTTAAGAACTTCCACCTAATGATGGTTCCCTTGCTTGTTCTTAAGTGCCCTTATGGTTTCAATCCCAATTCAGTCATTTTAGTGAGCTTTTAGGAGTCTTTGTGGTAAATTCACGTGTTCAGTTCTTCACCTTGAATCTTAAGTCTACACATTATTTCGTGAGGACAATTGTAGCCTTTCCCAAGTGTCTTATTTTTGTTCCCTTCTAAGTAGAGGTGGAGAGTCTGTCTTAGGGGCCACCCTGAGCACCTGTGAAGTCCTTTAGAGCCTTCAAAATAAGTATTCTTTGTTCTAACTGCTCTCCAGTATTCAAGTGGATTTTCTTAATTTGTTTTCCTTTTCCCTCATTTATTTTTTCTATAATGAAATAATGTCATTTGCAGCCACATGGATGGAACTGGAGGCCATTATTTTGTGTGAAATAAGCCAGGCACAAAAACACAAATAATTCATGCTCTCACTTATATGTGGAAGCTAAAAACATTGATCACATGGAGGGACGAATTGAAAAGATAAACTACAGAGAATGGGAAAGGTGAGTGGGAGGAGAGGGGATAATGAAGTAAAGTGTGTTAAATTGTACAAAAATATAATAAGATAGAAGGAAGAAATTCAATGTTTAATAGCAGAGTAGGGTGATAATACTTAACAAAAAGATATGGAACTTGAGTGATGGACACCCTAAATACCCTGACTTGATCACTATGAATTATATATGTGTAACAAAATTTCACACTTACCCCATGAATTTGTAGAAATAAAATAATTTAAAACTAAACATGAGAAAACATTTTTTTCTCCTTTTTAGGTGCCTTTAGAACTTGAGGGTAAAGCATACTTCAGATAATAAACATTTTTGGGTGTGGTGGCTCACGCCTGTAATCCTAGCATTTTGGGAGTCCGAGACGGTAGGATTGCTTGAGACCAGGTTGGGCAACATAGTGAGACCCCAGGCACCATCTACACACACATACACAATTAGCCGGGCATGGTGGTGTGCATCTGGAGTCCTAGCTACTAGGGAGGCTGACATGGGAGAATCTCTTGAGCCCAGGAGTCTGAGGCTACAGTAAGCTATTATCATGCCACTGCACTGTAGCCTAGGCAACAGAAGGAGGCCCTGTCTCTAAAAAAGAAATTTAGGCCAGGCACAGTGGCTCATGCCTGTAATGCCAACATTTTGGGAGGCCGAGGCAGGCGGTTCACCTGAGGTCAGGAGTCCAGCCTAGTCAACATGGTGAAACCCCGTCTCTACTAAAAAATACAAAAATTAGCTGGGTGTGGTGGCAGACAGCTGTAATCCCAGCTACTCAGGAGGCTGAGGCAGGAGAATTGCTTGAACTCGGGAGGTGGAGGTTGTGGTGAGCCAAGATCATGCCACTGTACTCCAGCCTGGGAGACTCTATCACAAAAAGAAAAGAAATTTAAAAAGGAACTTTGTATTTTGCTAACTTAAATGCACTATTATTATTCTTATACTTCTTTGTACGAATAAAATATTTTTTTCTCTCCTGCAATATCTAATGCAATGCTTTGCCTAAAAAAGAAAGTTTCTTTCTTTTTCTTTTCTTTCTTTCTTTTTTTTTTGAGCATCTTGTTCTGTTGCCCAGGCTGGAGTGCAGTGGCACGATCTATGCTCACTGCAACCTCTGCCTCCCAGGTTCAAGAGATCCTCCTGCCTCAGCCTCCTGAGTAGCTAGGATTATAGGCACCTGCCACCACGCCTGGCTAATTTTTGTATTTTAAGTAGAGACAGGGTTTCACCATGTTGGCCAGGCTGATCTTCAACTCCTGACCTCAGTTGATTCACCTGCCTCGGCTTCCCAAAGTGCTGGGATTACAGGCATGAGACACCGCGCCCGGCCTTAAAAAAAGGAAGTTTCTATGTGCTCGAATGAAGAGTTTTTTGTTTTTAATTTTTTTTGAGACAAGGTCTCACTCTGTCGCCCAGGCTGGAGGGCAGTGGTGCGATCACAGCTCACTGCAGCCTTGATCTTCTAGGCTCAGGTGATCCTCTCACCTCAGCCTCCCAAAGTACTGGGATTACAGGTGTGACCCACTGGGTCTGGCAAGAGGTTCTTTATGATCATCTAGAAGTGAGGAAGATGAGACATTAGTTGTTTCTGGGAGGAAGAATTTGCCCAAATAAACTCCGCATTGATATTTTCCATGTCAGATTCACTCTTACCAATTATAATGAGAATGAAAATCTAAAATTGAGATGAAAGCAAAGGTCACTCTGAAAGCACTTAGGAATTTAAGCAATTCAAAACCTGGCATTTCAGCTCTCAGTCCTACTTAAGAATCTAAATAGCACTCAGCTGTTTTATACTTTTTGAAATTTAACTAATGTCTGTCAAGGTCTAATCTTTGGACCAGTAGTGGTCACTGAGTAGGTAGGTTCCATGCTTTCTCTGGTTTGTCTTTTTTTTTTTTTTGAGATAGAGTCTCACTCTGTCACCCAGGCTGGAGTGCAGTGGCGTGATCTCAGCTGACTGCAAGCTCCGCCTCCCAGGGTCACACCATTCTCCTGCCTCAGCCTCCCGAGGAGCTGGGACTACAGGCACCCGCCACCATGCCCAGCTAATTTTTTGTATTTTTAGTAGAGATGGGGTTTCACCATGTTAGCCAGGATGGTCTCGATCTCCTGACCTCATGATCCGCCCGCCTTGGCCTCCCAAAGTGCTGGGATTACAGGTGTGAGCCACCGCGCCCAGCCTCTCTGGTTTGTCTTTTGTGATACTGTCTTAAAATGGTCCATGCTTTCTCTAGTTTGTCTTTTGTGATATTGTCTTAAAATTATCTATAGCAGGAGTTCTTAAACTTTTCTGAGTCATTGGCACCTTTGAGAATCTGACCAAACTCACAAACCCTCTAGCCAGAAAAAAATGCACATGCATACAAAAATTTAATTGTCTTTGTAGGTTCACGTATTGCCTGGAAGTGTTACCAGAAAGGGGTCCCAATTCAGACCCCAAAAGAGGGTTCTTGGATCGCAAGCAAGAAAGAATTCGAGGTGAATCCATAGAGTAAAGTGAAAGTAAGTTCATTAAGAAAGTAAAGGAATAAAAGAATGGCTACTCCATAGGCAGAGCAGCAGCTTGGGCTGCTGGACTGATAATTGCCCACCCTCCCTTCCTTCCTTCCTTCCTTTTTTTTTGAGGCAGAGTATCACTCTGTTATCCAGGCTGGAGTGCTGTGGTGCCATCTTGGCTCACTGCAACCTCAGCCCCCCACCCAGTCCGGGTTCAAGCAGTTCTCCCACCTCACCTTCCCAAGTAGCTGGGATTACAGGTGCATGCCACCGTGCCCGGCTAATTTTTGTATTTTTAGTCGAGACGGAGTTTCACCATTTTGGCCATTCTGGTCTTAAACTCCTGATCTCAAGTGATCTGCCCGCCTTGGCCTCTCAAAGTCCTGGGATTACAGGCGTCAGCCACCATGCCTAGCCTATTTCTTGACATATGCTATACAAGGGGTGGATTATTCCTAAGTTTTCCGCAAAAGGGGTGGGCAATTCCCAGAACTGAGGGTACCTCCCGCTTCTAGACCATATAGGGTAACTTCCTGATGTTGCCATGGCATTTGTAAATTGTCATGGCACTGGTGGGAGTGTCTCTTATCATGCTAATGCATTTAATTAGCATATAATGGGCAGTGAGGATGACCAGAGGCCACTTTTGTCACCATCTTGGTTTTGGTGGGTTTTGGCTGGCTTCTTTACTGCAACCTGTTTTATCAGCAAGGTCTTTTGACCTCTAGCTTGTGCCGACCTCCTCTCTCATCCCGTGATTAAGAATGTCTATCCACCTGGGAATGCAGCCCAGAAGGTCTCAGCCTTATTTTACCCAGCCCCTATTCGAGATGGAGTCACTCTGGTTCGCATTTCTCTGACAGAAGCATCCAAGGAACTTAGGCTAAGAAGACCCAGGATCTGATATTGCTTCTGACATGAACTTTTAGGTTATTTATAAAAACTCAGAATAAACAAAATATTTCAAAGTTTTAATCTTCATTAATTTGACAGTAGTCCAGGAGGAGACGTTTTCCCTACCAAACCTGTTAAATACACAGAACTGACAATAATGGATGCTGAGACTCTTGAGAAGGCAGGAAGGGTCAGAAGTAAAAGGAGATGTGATTTACCTGAGATCAGAACAGTTTTTCTAGATGGTTGTTTGAAAAGTGTGGTGCTCAACTTGCAACATTGACATCACCTGGTAAGTTGATAGAAATGCAAAATTTTAGGCCCCATTGAGATACAGAATCAGAAGTTTTGTAGGTGGAGCCAGAAATCTATGTTTTAACAAGAGCTCCAGGTGATTCTGATGGTAAAGTTTGCAAACCACTTTTGCATTGAAGGATGCTGAAGAGGGGAGCTGGTTCATTTTCTCACCTCTGGATGATCATAAAGAATCTGTCAGCCGGGCGCGGTGGCTCACACCTGTAATCTCAGCACTTTGGGAGGCCGAGGCGGGCAGATCACCTGAGGTCGGGAGTTCAAGACCAGCCTGACTAACATGGAGAAACCCCTGTCTCTAGAGTGTAGCTAGGTTAGCACTCTAGCCTGCGCAACAAGAGCTAAACTCTGTCTCCAAAAAAAAAGAATCTCTCATTCAAGCACATAGAAACTTCCTTCTTTAGGCAAAGCATTGCATTAAATGCTGCAGAAAAGAAATTTATTTTTTACTTCATACAAAGAGGCATTAAATAATAACAATGCATGTAAAGTTAGCAAAAAATAAAATTTCTTTTTAAATTTCCTTTTTACAGACAGGATTTTGCGCTGTTGCTCGGGCTGGAGTACAGGCTCCAGTGTATCTGGTGGTTGAAACTTGCAAGTGTGGAGCTTTGAAAGCCGTAAGTGATGGTTGACAAAAAGAGTTAAACTCTGTAAAATATTTAAAGAGATTTATTCTGAGCCAAATCTGAGTGACCATGGCTCGAGGCACAGTCTCAAGAGGCCCTAGGAACATATGGCTAATGTCTCACGTGTCCGTGTGAAGAGACCACCAAACAGGCTTCGTGTGAGCAACAAGGCTGTTTATTTCACCTGGGTGCAGGTGGGCTGAGTTTGAAAAGAGAGTCAGCAGCGGGTGGTGGGATTATCGTCAGTTCTTATAGGTTTTGGGATAGGCGGTGGAGTCAGGAACAATGTTTTGCGGGCAGAGGATGGATCTCACAAAGTACATTTTCAAGGGTGGGGAGAATTACAAAGAACCTTCTTAAGGGTGGGGGAGATTACAAAGTAAATTGATCAGGTAGGGTGGGGCAGAAACAAATCACAATGGTGGAATGTCATCAGTTAAGGCTATTTTCACATCTTTTGTGGATCTTCAGTTGCTTCATGCCATCTGGATGTATACGTGCAGGTCACAGGGGATATGATGGCTTAGCTTAGGCTCAGAGGCCTGACAGCTAAGGTGACTGAGCTGCAGCTCGGTTTTACATGTTTTACGGAGAAATAAGACATCAATCAATACATGACATAAGGTATTGGTTGGGTCAGGAAAGGTGGGACAACTCGAAGCTGGAAAGAGCTTCTACATCATAGGGTGGATTTAATAGGTGATTGGTGTTATGCCACGACTACGCCAATTGTCAGGTTCCAGCCCCCAGCTGAGGTCCAAGGGGAGTGGGTGGATGGGCGAATAACTGAAAGAACACAAGGAGGGTTGGGGGCGTGTAGGCAAGTGAAATGTAGTTTTATTCAGCGGCTGTGTCATCAGCAGCTTAATCACACTAGCTCTCTCACACTGTCCACCTTTATCTCGGCTGTCTGTTCTGGCTCTGTGGCTCCTGTTGCCCCCATGCCTGCAGCTGCACACCCTGGCCTGCAAAGCCAGCTCTGTCAGGGTCAGCAGCTTAACTCTCCCTCTGGGCACAAGCTGGTTCCTGGCTCGGCTCCCCTCTGCCCACCTTAAGGGCAACCGCTCTCCCTTAGAGGGGTTAGTAGCATTACTCTGGGCACCAGTGCACGAACCGGGTCGTGTCGTGCTGAACTCAGACCTGGGCACAGTGTCAGCAGGGCAGTTATACCTTCTACAGACAATAGTGGCTCAGATCCAAGTATGAACTTACATAAACGGGTTACATAACAAGTGGAATATGCGCCTGTGTCCTAAACTCGCTGAGCCACTCTGGCCCGGATGTCCACCTTGGCCTATTCCTTGACCAAAGCACATCCATATACCCTACAATTGGCAATTGGTTAAAAGAGTTATTATATAAAGACCTGGAGCCAATAGAAGGCAGTGTCTGGGTTGAGATAAGAGGTTGCAGAGACCAGGGTTCTTGTTCTGCAGATGAAGCCTCTATGTAGCAGGTTTCAGAGAGAATAGATTGTAAATGTTTCTTATCAGACTTAAAACAGGTGTCAGGTTCTCAGTTAATTCTCTCCAGCATCAGGGAAAAGACCTGGAAAGACAAGGGGATTCTTTACAGAATGTAGATTCCCCCCAGAAGAGATAGCTCTGCAAGGCCATTTCAAAATATGTCAAATAAATATATTTGGCCAGGCACGGTGGCTCACACCTGTAATCCCAGCACTTTGGGAGGCCAAGGCGGGTGGATCACCTGAGGTCAGGAGTTCAAGATGAGCTTGGCCAACACAGTGAAACCCTGTCTCTACTAAAAATACAAAAATTAGCTGGTGTGGTGGCACACGCCTGTAATCCCAGCTACTTGGGAGGCTGAGGCAGGAGAATCACTTGAACCCAGGAGGTGGAGGTTGCAGTGAGCCGAGATTGCGCCACTGCCCTCTAGTCTGTGTGATGCAGCGAGACTGTCTCAAAAAAAATATATATATATATACGTATATGAGTATATATGTATACATAAGAGTATATGTGTGTGTGTGTTTGTCTATGTGTGTGTATATATATATCAGGATAAAATACTTCAATGTCTTTTGGGGCCTGCTGCCATGTTGGTATCTTATTGCTGCAAAAAAGTCTGTTTTGTCAGTCTTAAGGTCTCTGTTTAATGTTAACGCTGGTCAGCTGTGCCTGTATTCCAACGGGAGGAGGGTATAATGAGGCCTGTCCCACCCCATCTTCCCATCATTGCCTGAGCTAGTTCTTCAGGTTAACTTTGGCGTGCCTTTGGCCCAGAGGAGGGATCCACTCAGTTGGTAGGGGGGCTTGGAACTTTTATTTTTAGTTTACACAATCAACTTGAGATCAGAGTGTCTCATCTGTTTCCTCCATCTCCAAAAAGGAAGGTAATTCACAGCCTTCTCTTTTCTAAATGGTGAGGACCCCGGGGCCCCTGCTTCTGAGGCGTTGGTTATCCAGACTATGCCACCATGTCTACCTGAGCTCCCAGAAGAAGCCAGAAAGAAAAGAATGGAAGGAAACAGAAGGACAGTGGGAACGGGAAGAGAAGAAATGACGAGGTCTCAGTTCTCCACACTCTAGCCTCAGCACCCACTTAAGATTGAAGAGTAGTCCCTCACGGGCTCCCACTTCGGACTCTGGCCAATAGGAACTGAGACTCTTAACCAATCAGCGCTTTGCGTTTTTCCAGCGTTCTGCGTGCTGCCATGGAGATGGAATGAGCAAATCCAAACATAGAGGGATGGTGGGCCGACCACTATGACTGTTACTCCAGCACTTCCCGCCCCAGTCTCTGGCCTGTGGGCTCGTCCAAAGGCAGGGCGTGATGCCCTTTGGGTGGAGGGAGGGGCCCTCGTGGTCTCTCACTTCCGGGCCCCAGCCAACAGGAACGGAAACTGCACAGCCAGTCGGCTTCCTGAGCTTCTTCCGGCGTTCTGTGTGCTGCCGTGGAAACCGTATGGACGAATCCAAACCTGGAGGGGCGTCGCCTCCGTAAGGCTGGTCGGCTTCTTCCGCGCGTTCCGCTTTGCTTCACTGCTTTCTCCCCCATTCTTGGGCCTGTGGACCTGTCCTGAGGCAGAGGCCGAGATGCGCGCAACCGCGGGAGCAGCCAAGTGGACTGGACTCTTTTCTTGACTTAGCTACCAGGTGCGTGGCAGTGGCGGTTTTAGTAGCTACGAGTCTGAGTTCGTGTCTGCCTAAGCGGTCGCGGAAGAGCGCGCAGGCCTGCCGGGGCGGGTGGGTGGTGGCGCCTGGCCGCCCTCTCTCCTTCTGCCAGTGGACCCCGTACCCCCTGCGCTCCCCTGCTTTGCGCTCGTGTTAAAAAAGCCGCCCGTTTTTATCCGGGCGTTAGTTAAGGGCACACGGGACGCCTCTTCTAGGACCTGGGTGCAGCGGGGAGAGAGAGTGCTTGTGTGTTTCGGCTTGGGAGATGTGCTTTATGGACGCCATCTCTTAACTTCCCAGAGCGGACCGCGTCTTCACCGCCCTGCAGCGCTTCCTAGGCTCCCAGCCGGTCTCGCGGACTGATGCCTACGGACGTAGCGAGGCCGCGAAAGCCGCCGATTCGCCCGCCGCGAGTTGCCTGGGGAGCGGGGGGGGGGGGGGGGGGGGTGAGTGACTACGTAGCGCCCCTGAGTCTGTGATAATTGAGTCTGTGAAGTGCGGCGAGGAGGAGCACCTATGGAGTGCTTAGTGTGGCGCGCGCCATCGGTTACATCTCGGGGTTGATTTGGCTGGCATTTCGCAGACTTGAGCGCATCCCAGTCACCCCAGGGCGTGTAGTAACACAGAAGGCCAGGCCCTACCGCCGTAGTGTATGATTCCGTAAATTTGGGGCAGGGCCGATAACTTTTTCTTTTGTATTAAGTCCCAGGTGATGCTCATGCTTCTGGTGCGGGAGTCATGATTGTGCTGAAAGTGGGCACCTGTGCGCTCTTATCACCTGTTCGCTCTCAGCGTTCCTTGAATGTAGGACCTGCCCCCGACTCTTAAATGCCTCATTTGCACCTGTATGTGATTTGCTCTGCCTTCTGGCTTCTTAGATGCTTCTTAGGTGAACTTGTGAATTAAGAGAGACTTCCTTAGGAGCACTATAGGTTAAGAGACTAAACTGTGGTTTCTGGGAAAGCACACTCGAGTGAGAAAACCATGAAGAAACCTAAGGAAGTGATGACTACGAAAGTCAGGGGGTGGTTAACTTTTGGGGATCAGGAGGGGTGGTGATTGAGACAGGCTCACAGAGGGGCTGCTTGTGTGGCTGGCAAAGTCCTATTTCCTGACTTTGGGTGGTGATTAGAAGGGTGTCCCTCTTTAGTAATTCATTAAACTATGTATTCTGTGGAGTTTTCTGTACTTGTGTTTTATTTTATAATTAAGAGGTTACAGCTTTAAAAATGAATATTAGGAAGTCTGTAATGGGGAACGTGTTTGGACTGAGTCAAAGAATCTTAAAGTCATGGAATTTCAACTATTAATAAGTTATTGAAAGATAACTTAGTGCCAGGCGCGGTGGCTCACACCTGTAATCCTAGCACTTTGGAAGGCCGAGGCAGGCGGATCACTTGAGGCCAGGAGTTCTAGACCAGCCTGGGCAACATAGTGAAACTCCATATCTACCAAAAACACAAAAAATTAACTGGGTGTGGTGGTGTGCCAGAGGCTGAGGTGGCTACTCTGGAGGCTGAGGCACGAGAATCGTTTGAACCCTGGAGGTGGAGGTTGCAGTGAGCCTAGATCTTGCCCCTGCACACCAGCCTGGGCCACTGAGTGAGACCCTGTCCAAAAAAAAAAAAGAAAATCATTTGATCCAATTCTTATTTTACTCTAAGGAAACAGCCTTAGAGAGGAGAAATGCTTGAAAGTAACAAACCACCCTATCTAAGCAGATTTATAACTAATGTGTTTTGTTAATTTCAGACTGAAATTGTCCACATGTGACTTGATGGTCAGATGTGACTAAAGATTAAGGAAATGAATTTGGCCTAAATCAAATTCAAAATTTCAAGATGGGCTGGATGGTGGCTTGCACCTGTAATTCCAGAATTTTGGGAGGCTGAGGCAGGAGGATTGCTTGAGCCCAGGGGTTCAAGACCTAGCCTCCTTTAAAAAAAAAAAAAATCAAGATTTTACTTAATTTTTTCCCTTGTAGCCTAAAACCTTATTTTCAAGAAATCAGTTATACATACTGTATGAAAACTTATTTTATCATCTTATCCTGAGATATCCTAATGTAGACAATTTGTGAACACTTAAGGTTTCTGATTATATTTTTTCTGGCTTAGTAACTTCCCATCTTAACATACTGTCAGTTTAATCTTATTTTGGTTATAATACATACCATATAGCTGGGACTACAGGCATGCACCACCATGCCAGGCTATTTTATTTGTGTAGAGTCGGGATCTCACCATGTTGCCCAGGCTGGTCTTGAACTCTTGGCTTCAGACAATCCTGCCTCCACCTCCGAAAGCGTTGGGATTACAGACATGAGGCACTGTGCTAGGCCAGGATTGGTTCTTTTTAATGAATGGGTTTTAGAACGAAGAGGGATGTAAAAAGGACTTAGGGAAACCGTCATTAAAAGAAAGATACTAACCAGTGCCTTTTTGTTTTTAATTAATTAATTATTATTATTTTTTTTGATATGGAGTCTCTTGTCACCCAGGCTGGAGTGCAGTGGCGCAATCGGCTCACTGCAACCTGTGCCTCCTGGGTTCAAGCCATTCTCTTGCTTCAGCCTCCGGAATAGCTGGGATTACAGGCGCCCGCCACCATGCCTGGCTAATTTTTTTTTTTTTTGAGATGGAATCTTGTTCTGTTCCTCAGGCTGGAGTGCAGTGGCGCGATCTTGGCTCACTGCAGCCTCCGCCTCCCGGGTCCAAGCAATTCTCTGCCTCAGCCTCCCGAGTAGGTGGGACTACAGGCGCGTGCCACCATGCCTGGCTAATTTTTTGTATTTTTAGTAGAGATGGGGTTTCACTGTGTTAGCCAGGATGGTCTTGATCTCCTGACCTCAGGTGATCCACCCTCCTCGGCCCCCCAAAGTGCTGGGATTACAGGCGTAAGCCACTGCACCTGGCCTAATTTTTGTATTTTTAGTAGAGATGGGGTTTCGCCATGTTGGCCAGGCTGGTCTTGAACTCCTGACTTCAGGTGACCTACCTGCCTTGGCCTCCCAAATTGCTGGGATTATAGACGTGAGTCATTGCACCCTGCCCATAAATAAAAGTTTTAATGGAACTCAGCCATATCCATCCCTTTGCTTATTGTCTCTGGTTGCTTTTGTAGTTCAAGAGCAAAGGTGAGTAGCTGTGACAGAAACCATAAGGTCTGTAAAATCTAAAATGTTTACCCGCTAACATTTTGTAGAAAAAAGCTTTCCTCTCCTAGAACAATCTTGGATTTTTTTTTCATCTGTAAAATGAGTTTCCTTAATTTTTTTTTTTTTGAGACAGTTTCACTCTTGTCACCCAGGCTGGAGTGCAATGGTGCAATCTCAGTTCACTGCAACCTCCCTCTGCCTTCTGGGTTCAAGCCATTCGCCTACCTCACCTTCTTGAGTAGCTGGGATTACAGGTGCGCGCCACCATTCCTGGATAATTTTTTTTTTTTTTTGTATTTTTAGTAGAGATGAGGTTTCACCATGTTGGCCAGCCTGGTCCTGAACTTGTGACCTCAGGCGATCCGTCCGACTCGACCTCCCAAAGTGCTGGGATTACAGGCGTGAGCCACCGCATCTGCCAATATATTCACCAGTTTTGTTATTAATTTTTGAAGTCTTAAAAAATTTTTAATTGTAAAATACACATAAAATTTACCATCTTAACCCTTTTTAAGGGTACAAGTTTAGTAGAGCTTAAGAACAGTTACATTGTTGTGCACCAGTCTCTAAAACTTCATTTTTGCAAAAGCAAAATATATTACATTTTGCTTATCCATGTATCAGCGGACACAAGTTGCTTCCATGTTTTAACTATTGTGAATAATGCTGCTGTGAATATGTGGGGTACAAATATCTCTGAGACCCTGCTTTTAATTCTTTAATATACCCATATTGAGGTATGATCTACCAGTAATTGTATGTATTTGAGGTGTACAAGGTTTTTTTTTTTTTTTTTTGAGAAAGGGTCTCACTTCGTTGCCCAGGCTAGAGTGCAGTGGTGAGATCTTGGCTCACTGCAACCTCTGCCTCCCGGGTTCAAGCTATCCTCCTGCCTCAGTCTCCCAAGTAGCTGGGACTACATGCACAGGCTACCACTGCTGGCTAATTTTTAAAAATTTTTAAATATCTTGTAGAGATGATGTGTTGCCATGTTTCCCAGGTTGGTGTCAAACTCCCGGCGTCAATTGAACCTCCCTCCTTGGCCTCCCAAAGTGGTGGAATTACAGGCATGAGCTACTGAGTTCAGCCCAATGTGCTTTTTTAATTTTTAATTTTTTTTTTTTTTCTGAGACATGGTCTCACCCTGTTGTCCAGGCTGGAGTACCATGGTGCAGTTGTAGCTCACTGCAGCCTCAATCTCCTGGGCTCAAGCAGTTCTTTTGTCTTGGCCTCCCAAAGGGGTGAGATTATAGGTGCGAGCAACCGTGCCTGGCCAATGTGCTGTTTTGATATGTAGATATGTTGTGAATTTCTGGAAAGTTTAATATAGTCTAACATATCTTTCCAGAGAGATGCCAGGTTATGAAAGATTGATTTTTTTTTTTTTTTTTTGAGTGGTGCTCTGTCTCCCAGGCTGGAGTACAGTGGCACCATCTTAGCTCACTGCAACCTCTGCCTCCTGCGTTCAAGTGATTCTCCTACCTTCAGCCTCCCGAGTAGCTGGGATTACAAGCGTGTGCCACCATGCCTGGCTAATTTTTGTATTTTTAGTAGAGATAGGATTTTGCCATGTTGGTCAGGCTGGTCTCAAACTCCTGACCTCAGGCGATCAGCCCACCTCGGCCTCCCAAAGTGCTGGGATTACAGGTGTGAGCCACTGCACCCAGCCTGAAAGAATGATTTTAATGAATTACTTAGATTAAATTGTCATATATTGTTTATGACTAATTCCACTTTAACTGAAATTCTAAATAAGATGTAGTCTGATAAGAGTTTACATCAAGTCCTTATTTACTTATGAAAACTAAAGAGTTATGTTGGCCAAGAAAACGAACTCATTTAACTACTTATACCTTAGGTGAAGGATGAAGTCCTTGGTTAAAACAACAACAACATCACTTGATTTAGAGCAGGGGTTGGCAAACTTTTTTAAATAAAGGGACAAATAGTAAATATTTTAGGGTTTGTGCAGGCTGTAGAGTCAACTCTGTCATAGGCAATATATAGCAGTTTGAAAGCAGCCATAAGCAATATATAAATGAATGGGTGTGGCTATGTTCCAATTAAACTTTATTTACAAAAGCAGGCAGCACACCCAATTTGGCCTATGAGCCAGTAGTATTCATGATACTTGGATTGACTCCTGCAGTCTAGGGATTACATGGAAATATCATTCCATATTTGTTTATACTGTATTTTCACTTGTTTTCTCTTTTACTTCTCATAATTAATAAGGTCTAGGTGGGGCATATGTTTCTCTTTTGCTTCTCAAAATTTATAAGGTTTAGGTGGGGCATACCAGTCAAGACCAGTAGAGGGTCTTGACCGCAAGTTGTCCAGGTTCTTGGCATTTTGAGCAAAGAACTGGACAAAATGCCCAGCACAGCAAGGAAAGAATGAAGCAACAAAAGCATGAAAGCAGGGATTTATTGAAAACGAAAGTACACTCCACAGTGTGGGAGCCACCTGAGCAGCACTGGAGGGCAGGGATACAGATACCCGGTCCAAATACCCCCTAGAGCTTTCCCACTGGCCTCTTCACGCTCACCTCCGGTAAATCAAGTGGTGGCCTGCAATCGGTCTATTGGTTGCAGTCAGCCAATTTCATTGATTCCATTTCATTCATTCATTCATTCCATTCTCTGCAACCAGTCAGATGCTAAGGTGAAGTTACAAAGTTGCAAACCAAGACTACGCCCCAATCAGTCTGATTGGTTGTGGTCATCTGCTGCATAGAAAAGGTGGGGGATTTGCAAAGGGAATAGCCTCTGGTCCTTTTGTTACTTAGGCGTGGAAAGTTAGGGTTTTCCTTTCAATTTAGTTACAGGAAGTCAGTGTGAAACAGCCTTAGGTTCCCTGCCTCCAGACCCTGTTCTCCTGCCTCACATATATTATCCCACTGTGCAGATGTTGTTTTCCCTTGTACCAGGTTTCCATTGTAACGGAGAAAGTAAGATGGAGACACATTGGATAAAATCTAATTCATACCCTGATTTTGTTACCGTTTTTCGAAATAGCTGTTATTTTCACTTTTTTTTTTTTTTTCTGTGAAGGTTTTATGGATAGGGTATGGGGCCTCAGTCCTTCTTTGTGGCCACTTTCTTCATGGCGGGCAGGGCGTTGCTTAGCTCTTCTCTCTTCATCTTGGTGCGGACGTGTCCCCCACTCTCTTCTTGATGAACCTGAGGGCCGTTTGTCCTTGGAAACCTTGAGCAACTCCATGGCGCGCCAGCTCGTAGGGAGTAAAGCCATACATCTTTGGAATAATGTCCCGCATGAACTTGGTGTGCTTGGTCAGTTGCCCACTTTGGCGGTGGCTGGGCCAGGCTTGCTCCCATTTTTGGTAACTCTGTGGCCCTCATCGAGGCCCACGGCCACAGGGTCGCGCAGAGCCATGGCTGCTGGTCTCCAATGGCGGCAGCGGCTGAAGGGCCGACCGCACGGAATGCTGGGATATCTACCCACCCTAGAGGCACGGGCAGCCACTGTGTTTTTAAAACATCTTGTTGATGGGAACTTGAATATTGGTTTGTGAATATTTATTGATTTTTGAGTTGGAGTCTCTCCTTGTCGCCCTGGTTGGAGTGCAGTGGTGCGATCTCGGCTCACTGCAGCCTCCGCCTCCCGGGTTCAAGCGATTCCCCTGCCTCAGCCTCCCGCGTAGCTGGGATTACAGGCGCGCATCACAACACCTGGCCAATTTTTGTATTTTTAGTAGAGACAGGGTTCACCATGTTGGCCAGGCTGGTCTCAAACTCCTGACCTCAGGTGATCCCCCTGCCTCGGCCTCCCAAAGTGCTGGGATTACAGGCGTGAGCCACTGCGCCGGCTGTGAAGTTTTATTTATTTGCCCCGTAGTTTCGTTCATCCTGCAAAAATATCAGCATTAGTATTTAACATTTGTAAGTGAATTTTCTGAATTTGTCGATTTGCTAGATTTTTTACACATATAATATCCTAGGCTAATTATCCTAGGCTAATTAATTATGCAACTAACTTGCATTTATCAATGTCATTTTTGTTTACTTCTTAGGAGCTAGAGATGCTGTTATTCTATTGTATGTGAGAAGTCGGCCCAGAGATGGAAAACTTTATTCTGTATGAGGAGATCGGAAGAGGAAGCAAGACTGTTGTCTATAAAGGGCGACGGAAGGGAACAATCAATTTTGTAGCCATTCTTTGTACTGATAAGTGCAAAAGGCCTGAAATAACCAACTGGGTAAGTCAGTGTATTTCCATTGGCATGGGGAAAGAGAGAGCTACAATAGGTAGAAGGGGGTAGCATTTTCACAGTAGTCATTGAATTTGATATATCAAATGCCACATTTTCAGTCTGGAATGGATGACCTTCATCTGTTCAGTGCCACCAGTCCTGAATAATGAGTAATAAACATATCCAAGTAATGACTAACTTAATTTTCTTTTTTGTTTCTTTTTTTTGGGGGTGGGTATAAATTGGGGAAACTATACTCTTTTTTTTTCTTTCCCTTAGAAACAGGGTCTCTCTCTGTTGCCCAGACTGGAGTGCACTGGGCTCACTATAGCCTCAACTTCCTGGGCTCAGATGATCCTCCCACCTCAGTCTCCAGAGTAGCTGGGACTACAGGCACATACCACCACGCCTGGCTAATTTTTTGTATTTTTCTTTTTTTTTTTTTTTTTTTAAGACGGAGTCTCACTCTGTCGCCCAGGCTAGAGTGCAGTGGCACGGTCTCAGCTTCACTGCACTGTGCCTCCCGGGTTCACGCCATTCTCCTGCTTCAGCCTCCCGAGTAGCTGTAGTGGTGCCCGACACCACACCCAGCTAATTTTTGTATTTTTAGTAAAGACGGGGTTTCACTGTGTTAGCCAGGATGGTCTCGATCTCCTGACCTTGTGATCCGCCCACCTTGGCCTCCCAAAGTGCTGGGATTACAGGTGTGAGCCACCGCGCCCGGCCAATTTTTTGTATTTTTCATGGAGTCGGGGTTTGGCTATGTTGCCCAGGCTGGTCTCAAACTCCTGAGCTCAAGCAGTCTGCCTGCCTCAGCCTCCCGAAGTGTTGGGATTACAGGCAGGAGCCACTGAGCCCAGCCTGGAAACTATATTCTATATTAGATAATTTACTTTTTGAATTTGGTGTATTTAGGAAACAAGCAGGTTCCCCCAACCTCTGCAATTTACTGTCAAGGAAGGACACTGGGTGATAATGACTTGGGTTTGAAATAGCTGTGTCACTTTATAGCGTAGGCTTCTTGGACCATACCTAGCTTAAAAAATATATATATTTTTAAGCTGGGTGTGGTGGCTCACACCTGTAATCCCAGCACTTTGGGTTCGAGACCAGCCTGACCAACATGGGGAAACCCCGTCTCTACTAAAAATACTAAAATTAGCTGGGCGTGGTAGTGCACACCTGTAATTCCAGCTACTCAGGAGGCTGAGGCAGGAGAACCGCTTGAACCGGGGAGGCAGAGGTTGCAGTAAGCCGGGATCATGCCATTGCACCCCAGCCTGGGTGACAAGAGTGGGACTCCATCTCAAAAAAAAAAAAAAATATATATATATATATATATGTGTATATATGTATATATGTGTATATATATGTATGTGTATATATATGTGTGTGTATATATATGTATATAGTAGTAAAATACAATTTAACAAATTTGCACCTTAGTGATTTTTAATTGTACAGTTTAGGGATAATAAGTACATTCATATTGCTGTGCAGCTATCACCTCCATCTATCCCCATAACTGTTTTCATCTTGTAAAACTGAAGCTCTGTACCCATTAAACTGTAATTCTTCATTTCTCCTTCTCCAGCTTTTGGCAACTATCATTCTACTTTTTGTCTCTGTGGTTTTGACTACTCTATATAAATGGTATCATACAGCATTTTTTGTCTGGCTTATTTCACCCAGTGTAATGTCCTCAAGGTTTATCCACGTTGTAGCATGTGTTAGAATTTCCTCCTTTTTAAGACTGAATCATATTTCATTGTACATATATAAAGCGCATTTTGCTTATTTATGTAACAGTGGACACAAGTTGCTTCCGTGTTTTAACTATTGTGAACAATGGTGCTATGAATATGTGGATACAAATATCTCTTTGAGATCTTGCTTTATTTTGTGTATATACTCAGAAGTGGAATTGCTGGTCCTATGGTAATTCTATTTTTAATTATTTTAAGACTTGCCATACTGTTTTCCTCAGCAGCTCTGCCATCTTCTCATTCCAGACCATCAGTGCACAAGGGTTCGGTTTCTCTGCATCCTTATCAGTACTTTTTGTCTTTTTTTTTGACAGTAACCATCCTAATGGGTGTGAGGTGGTATCTCATTGTTGTTTTGATTTGCATTTCCCTAATGACTAGTGATGCTGAGCAGCATCTTTTCATATGCTTATAGACAATTTGTATATCTCCTTTGGAGAAATGTCTATTCTTTTTGTCCATTTCTGTAAGTCCTCTGCCCATTCTCTAATCTGGTTGGTTGTTTTCTTGCTGAGTTTTACGACTTCTCTATATATTCTAGATATTAATCTGTTATCAGATATATGATATGCAAATATATTTTCATATTCTATAGGTTGCCTTTTCACTTTGTTGATAGTGCCTTTTGATGTACTAAAGTTTAAAATTTTTGCAGAGTCACATTTGTCTTTTTTTTTGTTATCTGTGTCTTTGGTGTCTTACGCAAATATCCAAAAATCATTGCCAAGCCCAGTGTCATGAAGCTTTTGTCCTATTTGTTCTTCTGATAGTTATGTATTTTTACCTCAGTGATATTTGACTCATTTTGAGTTAAATTTTCTATGTGGTGTTCCGTAAATGTCTCTGTTTGGGCTGCTAAGACAAAATACCTTAGACTGGATAGCTTATAAATAACAGAAATTTATTGGTCACAGTTCTTGGGGCTGGGAAGTCCAGGATTAAGGTGCCAGCAGTTTTGGTGTCTTGTAAGGGCTTGCTCTGTTTCTCAAAGATGGTGCCTTTTATGTGTTCCCACATGGCAGAAGAGGAAAACAGGCCCCCTTATGGCTGTATTCTAAGGACACTAATTTTATTTATGAGGGCAGAGCCCTGATGACCTAATCGCCTCCTAAAGGTTCCACCTCCTAATACCACCACAGTGGACATTAGGTTTCAATGTGAATTTTAGAGGGACACATTCAGACCACAACAGTAAAGGTCCAACTTCTCTCTTTTACATGTGGATATCCAGTTTTCTCAGCACCATTTGTTGAAAAGACTGCCCTTTCCTCATTGAATAGTTTTGGAATACTTATTGGAAGTCATTTGACCATATGTGTGAGGGTTTATTTCTGGGCTCCTTATTCTATACTGTTGGTCTATATTTCCATCTTTATGCCAGTACTATACTGTTTTTATTATTGTAGCTTTGTAGTAAGCTTTGGAATCAGGAAGTGTGTGTTTTCCAGCTTTTTTTTTTTTTTCTTTTAAGATTGTTTTGGCCGTTTGACATACCTTGAGATTCTATATGAATTTTCGGATAGATTTTTCTAGTCCCACAAAAATAGTTGTTGGGATTTTGATAAGAATTGCATTGAATGCATACATTGCTTTGGATAGATTGATTTTGGGTAGTATTTGAATGTTAATTATTAATATCTGAAAATTGCCTTCTAATTCATAAACACGTGATATTTTCCCACTTATTTGTGTCTTTTTTTTTTTTTTTTTTTTTTTTGAGACGAAGCCTCGCTCTGTCCTCCAGGCTGGAGTGCAGTGACACAATCTCGGCTTACTGTAAGCTCCGCCTCCCGGGGTTCACGCCATTCTCCTGCCTCAGCCTCTTGAGTAGCTGGGACTACAGGCGCCCGCCACCATGCCCAGCTAATTTTTTGTATTTTTAGTAGAGATGAGGTTTCACCGTGTTAGCCAGGATGGTCTCCATCTCCTGACCTCGTGATCTGCCCGCTTCGGCCTCCCAAAGTGCTGGGATTACAGGTGTGAGCCACCGTGCCCAGCCTATTTATGTCTTTTAAAAATTTCTTTCAGAAGTTTTTTGTAGTTTTTGTTGTGTAAGTCTTTCCACCTGTTTGGTTAATTCCTATGTGTTTTATTCTTTTTGCTGCTATTATAAATGAAGTTGTTTTCTTGATTTCCTTTTTCGATTGTACATTTGTTAATGTATAGAAATTCCCCCTGGACATTGTGGCTCACACCTGTAATCCCAGCACTTGGAGAGACCGAGGCAGGCGAATTGCTTGAGCTCAGGAGTTTGAGACCAGCCTGGGCAACATGGTGAAAATGTGTCCCTGCAAAAGATACAAAAATTAGCTGGGAGTGGGCCAGGCGCGGTGGCTCATGTCTGTAATCCCAGTACTTTTGGAGGCTGAGGTGGGCGGATCACTTGAGGCCTGGAGTTCAAGACCAGCCTGTCCAACACGGTGAAACCCTGTCTCTACTAAAAATACAAAAAAATCAGCCGGGCATGGTGGCACATGCCTGTAGTCACAGCTACTTGGGAGGCTGAGGCAGGAGAATCACTTGAACTCAGGAGGTGGAGGTTGCAGTGAGCCAAGATTGCACCACTGCACTCCAGCCTGGGCAACAAGGCGAGACTCCGTCTCAAAAATTAGCCGGGGGTGGTGGCATGCACCTGAGGTCCCAGCTGCTTGGGAAGGTGAGGTGGGAGGATTGTTTGAGCCTGGATGGCAGGGGTCGCAGTGAGCCATGATTGTGCCACTGTGCTCCAACCTGAGTGACAGACTGAGACCTTGTCTCAAAAAAAAAAAAAGAAAAATAAAAATAGAGTTTTGCCAGTACCTGCATCAATCAAAACTCATCAGACCGTGCCAGGTGTGGTGGCTCATGCCTATAATCCCAGCACTTTGAGAGACCAAGGTGGGTAGATCACTTGAGCCCAGAAGTTCAGGACCAGCCTGGGCAACATGGTGAAACCTTGTCTCTAGAAAAAATAGAAAAATTAGCCAGGCATAGTGGTGTGTGCTTTACTCTCAGCTACTTGGGAGGTTGAGACAGGAGGATTGCTTCAGCCCTGGAGGTCGAGGTTGCAGTGAGCCGCGATCATGCCACTGCACTCCCGCCTGGGCGACAGAGACACTGTCTCAAAAAAAAAGAAAGAAAAAAAAAAAGGCAGGTGTGGTGGCTCACACTTGTAATCCCAGCACTTTGAGTGGCCGAGGAGGGGGCAGATCACTTGAGGTCAGGAGTTCGAGACCAGCCTGGCCAACATGGTGAAACCCTGTCTCTACTAAAAATATAAAAATTAGCCAGGTGTGGTGGTGGGCATCTGTAATCCCAGCTACTTGGGAGGCTGAGGCAGGAGAATCGCATGAACCTGGAAGGCAGAGGTTGCAGTGAGCTGAGATCGTGTAATTGCGCTCCAGCCTGGGCAACAAGAGTGAAATGCTGTCTCAAAAAAAAAAAAAAAAATTCCGCTAATCTTTAAGTGTTGGACCTGGACTTTGTATTTTACTTTGCAAAATTTGTTTTTGTTTTGACAGTTTATTTTATGGAAACTTTACTTTTTGTGTGTGTGTGTGTGTGTGTCTGTGTGTGTGACAGAGTCTCAAAGTCTATCCAGGCAGGAGTTCAGTGGTGTGATCTTGGCACACTGCAACCTTTGCCTCCCAGGTTCAAACGATTCTCCTGCCTCAGCCTCCCGAGTAGCTGCGATTTCAGGTGCCTGCCACCACGCCTGGCTAATTTTTTTGTATTTTTAGTAGAGACGGGGTTTCACCATGTTGGCCAGGCTGGTCTCGAACTCCTGACCTCAGGTGATTTGCCCACCTTGGCCTCCAAAAGTGCTGGGATTACGGGCCTGAACCACCACGCCTGGCCTTAGGGTTTTCTACATATAAAATCAATCACATCATTTGCAAACAGAGTTAATTTTACTTTTTTCCTTTCCAATTTGGATGCCTTTTTTTTTCTTGTGTAATTGCTCTGGCTAGGACTTTTTATACCTTCTTGACTAGAAGTGGAGAAAGCAGACATTCTTGCCTACTTCTTAATGTTAGAGGAAAAGCTTTACTCTTTCACCATTGAGTATGTTGTTTGCTTTGGGTTTTTCATATATGACTTTTATTATGTTGAGATAGTTTCCTTCTATTCCTAGCTTTTGGAGTTTTTTTTTTTTTTTTAAAGGTTGTTGAATTTTGCCAAGTGCATTTTCTGTATTAATTGAGATGATCATGCGTTTTTTTCCCCTTCATAATGTGGTATATTACATTTTCGTATGTTCAACCATCTTTTGTTTTCCAGGAATAAACCCACTTGGTTATCGTGCATAATCCTTTTAATATACTGCTGAATTCAATTTGCTTGCATTTTGTTGACATATCTAGCTTTTACTAAGATAATAAGATATTTAGCATAGTGCCTGACACTTAATAAACACTCTTTCTTTTTTTTGAGACAGAGTCCAGACTCTTTCGTCCAGGCTGGAGTGCAGTGGTGCGATCTTGGCTCACTGCAACCTCTGCCTCCCCTGTTCAAGCGATTCTCCTGCCCCAGCCTCCTGAGTTGCTGGGATTACAGGTGCACATTACCATGCCCAGTGAATCTTTGTATTTTTAGTAGAGATGGGGTTTCACCATGTTGGCCAGGCTGCCCTCAAACTCCTGACCTCAAGTGATCCGCCCACCTCGACCTCCCGAAATGCCGGGATTACAGGTATGAGCCACTGCGCCTGGCTTAAATATTCTTTCATGATGTCTCTTACGTCACAGTCACTAATGGAACAAGAAATACATAGAGAACACATAGATGGAGAGGGAAATACCCAGAACTGGAAGAGAGTTGAGAAGAGGGATGTGGGGTCGGTCACGTGTGGGAAAGAAGGATGAGGGCAGGTTCAGCATGTGCAAGAGTTTTAATGGATATAGAAAGGCCACTGTTTTCTGTTTGCCTTATTCCTGATTTATAGAGCCTGGGGAAGCCTCTCTTTTTTCCAAGATTCATTCACTCACTTCAACACCAAAAGCGTATTGTTGAGTGTCTGCTGTGTTAGAGGGCGAAATGATCCTGTACTTTTGAGCTTATGATCTGGTAAGAAAGGTGAGATAGAGGAATCAAGGCATGTATAAACACTCCATTCAAATGGTTGTCCAAGTCCCTGCTTTTTAGGGGTCTTAGCTCTTGGAAACTCCTGTGTCCCATACCTTGCAGAAGCATTTCTACTCTTTTCCTTTGCAGAAGTTCATCATATGCTACCATTTATTGAGTATATCTAATATGTTCCAGCCAGTGTGCTGGGTGCATTCACTTCTCACAATTGCCTATGATGTCAGTATCATCCTGATCTATAGTTGGTTCAGATCTGTTGGATCATGGTACCAATGCCCCCTCTCCAGTTGAGGAGGCCAGCAGGGTAAGCCGAGAAAATAATTACATGTAAGGAAGAGTTTGACTTCATGGCCTTTTTTCTCCTCTTCTCCATATAGCATTTACCATCATGCTCCCCACTGGCTGTTCTCAGCTGTCGCGTTGACAGTCCTCCTCAGTACTTTCCCTTGCTTTTGACCTTTTCATAACCACACTTTCAGGTGTCATAATTTACCTGTCTCGCTCTGTCGCCCGGGCTGGAGTGCAGTGGCACAGTCTCGGCTCACCGCAAGCTCCGTCTCCTGGGTTCACGCCATTCTCCTGCCTGAGCCTCCCGAGTAGCTGGGACTATGCCCGGCTAATTTTTTGTATTTTTAGTAGAGACGGGGTTTCACCGTTTTAGCCAGGATGGTCTCGATCTCCCGACCTTGTGATCCTCCCGCCTCGGCCTCCCAAAGTGCTGGGATTACAGGCATGAGCCACTGCGCCCAGCCCTCTTGTTCCTTCATTTTAGGACACTGCTGGATAATGTAACAAATTCATTTTCCTTGAAGTATCATCCCCTTCTGTGATCATATTTTGATAGCATTTTGGAGTCCGTCAAAGGCTTAATTCAGGGGGGTGACTAATAGAGATTTTTCAAAGACCACAGTAGGGCCACTGTGGGAGAAATTTTCAGACAAGAAGCTTTGTGATACTTTTTAGGCTTATCAGGATCCAGAACAAATGCCACCCTCTCCTGTAAAACTTAACCCAATTAAATCTCTTGGCCCTTTGACCGCAACATGGAAACCTGATCACAACAGAGAAACTATCTCACCATGAGAATACAACTTGTGACACACACTACAAATGCTGGATATAAGGGTGGATAGCACAACCCCAGGGAAAATTTCACTACGTTGGTAAACTGATGCCTTTCCAAGTAGAACAAGTACTATTGGGAAATGTACTGGATTCCAAGAGAATAAGGAATATTTAGTGCAGGTGTTAGTGTGATTAGGGGATCTTTGGGGTCTTAAGGCACACCCGAGTAGTGTAGTGTGTAGTTCAATGACTTTTAACAAACGTATGCAGTCATGTAATATCCAAATCAAGAAACAGTCTGTCTATTCCTCCAGAAAGTGCCTCCTGCCCTCTCCAGATGTCATCTTCAACACTGCCCCCAGCACTGTTCTTACTTCTATCATTGTAGATTATTTTGCCTGTTCTTGAACCTCAAGTAAATGGGTTCCTATGGTATGTACTTTTTTGTGTCACACTTCTTTTCCTTAAGATGTTTTTGAGATTCACCTGTGTTATTGCAAGTATTGTAGTTATTCCTTTATTACTAAAATGCATTCCATTTTGAGTGAATCTTTTTATTGAAGTAAAATATACATACGGGAGAGTATACAAACCATAATTGTATGCTTAAATTTTCATAAAATAAATACACCCATGTAACCAGCACACAATCAAGAAATAACATGAGCAGTAGTTTAGATGCCCTTCCCGCCCCCTGCCCGTCTCTTTCTTCCCACTCAAGGGTAATCATGATCTTGACTTCTAACTCCACAGATTAATTTTGCTAGTTTTGACTTTCTATGAATGAAGAGTCTGAATACATATTTAAAGTACAGATGATCGTTTTTGGTCATGGATTGGGTATGAGGTGTGAAAGAGAAGTCAATGATTATCCTAGGGTTTTGGCCTACATGACTAAGAAGGATGGTGATAACACTGAGGGAAAAAAGACTAGGAAAAGAATGGATTCGGGCATTTTAATTTTGGGTGCCCACTGGAAGACACTGGGTCTTTGAGTCTGCAGTTTAGGCAGTTCATCAGGGTGGAGATGTAAATTTAAGGAAGACATCTGGAAATGGGCACAAAGTGCTTTCTGGAGGGATGGAAATGCTGTGTATCTTTATATGTCAAATTCATATGTCATCAGCATATAGACATTAGGCCAACGTGAGGGAAGATAGAAGAGGACTGAGGACCTTCATTGCAACATTTAGCAAGTGTAAGGAGAAGGAGGACCCAGCAAAGGAGAGTGAAAGGGAGCATCCAGTGAGAGAGGGGAGCTGGAGAGTGTGGGTAACTGTGAATTGGTTTGCTTATCACCCATTCTGGCATGTTCTCCTGTTCCTCAGGCTCTGGGGAGCTACAAACTGCAATTCCCAGACTCTTTGCAGCCAGAGTTCTAGGTGGGATTGTGATTAAATTAATTAGATGCACTAGAAGGACATTTGGATTCCAAACTGATGTAAGTGGTAAAGGCCCCAAGGCATCCATCCATTTGCCGGCACATCTTGAGGCAGAGGCAGTATGGTTTGGATGTGGTGGCTTCCTACTGGTGGCAGAGGCAGCACTTTGGTGCTGACAGCTGTGATAGCTGTGATGGCAGAGTCTTGATTCCTTAATGTTCTGATGGAGACAGGGGCCAGTGCTCCTCTGGCGGCTCAGTTTTATGGTGTGGTTTTGGGAATTCTTTCCAGAAATTGAGCCTAGATTCTGTTTCAGGAACTTCCCATAATCAATTCTGGAATTATGTAGGCCCCTTAGAAGTCCTTTTGTTAGCCAGAATATATTCTGTTCTCTGTAACTAAAAATATTGGCCAAATCATGGGATGTCATAGAGGTCAAATAACGTCAGTGGTATATGGTGATGAGAGAAACCACTTGTGTGAGATGCTGCTAATAAGGTGAGGACTGAGGATTTGGCAATGGAGAGGCCACTGATAACCTTGAAGAGAGTGGTTTCAGAAAGTGGTGGGGATGAAAGCTGGAACTGAAATATGTTTAAGGGGGAGTGAGCCGGGCTTACTGGCTCATTCCTGTAATCCTGGTGTTTTGGGAGGCTGAGGTGGGAGGATTGCTTGAGGCCAGGAGTTTGAAACCAGCCTGGGCAACATAGCAAGACCCTATCTCTACAAAAATAAATAAGTACACTTCTTATAAAAAGAGGGAGTGGGAGAAGGTAGAGGCCATCCTTAAGGAGTTTTGCTGTATCAAGGAGCAGAGAAATGGGATGATAACTGGATGGAGACAGGAGGTTGAGATGGAAAGAATTATCAGGAGTTACTTCTGACTCCTGACATCTGAAATTACGTTTTTTTAGACAGGATCTCACTCTGTAGCCCAGACTGGAGTACAGTGGCATGATTTCAGCTCACTGCAACCTCCACCTCTTGGATTCAGGCAATTCTCCTGCCTCATCCTCCCGTGAAATTACACGTCTTAAAGCAGGTGGTTTATTTTCTCTCATGTAAAGGAAACTGCACTTGCAAACTGATTCTACCATGTCATCAATTCCCTGTCATTCTTCTCTGCTATCCTTATTGAACTTGGCTTATGTGCAAGGCCATTTCACAGTTGCTGGATGGCCACTGTCACTTTAGTTATCATGTCAGCTTTCCAGGGAGGAAGGGGAAGAAAGAGGGTGCCACGGGGTTACGTTGAATAAACCCCATTAAGTGTTTTCCAGGAAACCTGAGCTACTGACCCTGTTAACATCTTGTTGGTGTCCCCTTTCTGGGCAGGAGGGGCGGAAATCTTTTTCTGGACAGGCACAAGGCTGTTCTGTCATAGAGGAATTCTGTTATTAAAGATTTAGGTAAGCAGCTAGCAGCTTTTCCATAAGGATAATAATTTCAGCATGTTTGTATGCTGATGGAAATGGTCTATTAGCAAGGGAAAAATACTCAGCATAATGTGGCGAGGAGACAGTTGTATAATGTAAGTGAAGTTTGAGGGGGGTTGGGATCATGTATACAAGGGGAGGTTTTGGCTTTTGGAAGGAGCATGGATAGTTGAGGTAAGGCAGGGTATGGTACAAGATGCAAGTTGGTGGATTCCATGCCAGGAGCCTGAGAAAGTTCTCTTCTGTTTGGTTCTATCTTCCCTGAAATAAGCAAAGTCATCAGTTAGGAGGTAGGAGAGGAGAGGAAAGAGGAGGTGTGAATGGTCACTTGAAAAGCAGGTTGTCTTGGGCCATTTGAGATTTGTGATCATAAATTTAAAGTAAATCAGGCAGCATGGTTTGTTTCTGCTTTACCTGCTTGAGTAGCTGCAGAGTATGTGGAGGGTTGGTTGAGTTTAACCAGAATTGGAATGGTTGTGGGAGCGGGCTGGAAAGTGCGTGTATATGGTCACAGGCTAGGATGTGTAACAGAGATTTTGGTGGTAATGCAGTTTTAGTAAAAGTCTAGCAACACCATCTAATAAAAATATAATGGGGGCCACAAATCTAATTTTGAATTTTTTAGTAGCCACATTGAAAAATGAAAAACAAATGGGTGAAATTAACTTTGGTAATATATTTCTTTCTTTTTTTTTTTTTTTTGAGATGGAGTCTCGCTCTGTCGCCCAGGCTGGAGTGCGGTGGCACGATCTTGGCTCACTGCAAGCTCCGCCTGCCGGGTTCACGCCATTCTGCTGCCTCAGCCTCCCGAGTAGCTGGGACTACAGGTGCCCACCACCATGCCCGGCTAATTTTTTGTATTTTTAGTAGAGATGGGGTTTCACCATATTAGCCAGGATGGTCTTGATCTCCTTACCTCGTGATCCACCCGCCTCGGCCTCCCAAAGTGCTGGGATTACAGGCCTGAGCCACCGTGCCCAGCCTAACTTTGGTAATATATTTCTAAAGCCAGTATACACAATGTATGATCACTTCAACATATAATTGGTTAAAACTATTTATTTATTTAATTTAATGAAATTAATTAATTTATTTTTTGAGATGGAGTTTCACTCTTGTTGCCCAGACTGGAGTGCAATGGCACCATCTTGGCTCACTGCAGCCTCACCTCCCGGGTTCAAGCGATTCTCCTGCCTCAGCCTCCTGAGTAGCTGGGGTTACAGGCATGCGCCTCCATGCCCAGCTAATTTTGTAGTTTTAGTAGAGATGGGGTTTCTCCATGTTGGTCAGGCTGGTTTTGAACTCCTGACCTCAGGTGATCCACCTGCCTTGGCCTCCCAAAGTGCTGGCATTACAGGCGTGAGCCACCGCGCCCGGCCTATTTATTTATTTTTTTGAGATGAAGTCTTAATCTGCCACCCAGGCTGGAGTGCAATGGCGTGATCTAGGCTCACTGCAACCTCTGCCTTCTGGGTTCAAGTGATTCTGCTGCCTCAGACCCCTGAGTTCCTGGAATTTCAGGCATGCACCACCATGCCTGCCTAATTTTTGTATTTTTTATAGAGATAGGGTTTCATCATGTTGGCCAGGCTGGTCTTAAACTTCTGACCTCAAGTCATACGCCCACCTTGGCCTCCCAAAGTGTTGGGTTTACAGGTGTTAGCCACTGCACCTGGCTGGTAAAAACTATTATTGAGATATTATTATTTTTTGGTATGAAGTCTTCAGAATACTGTGTGTATTTCACATCTGTAGCACATCCCAGTTCAGACAAGCCACTTTTCGAGTTCTCAGTAGCCCTGTGTGGCACATCGCTCCCACATTGAACACCGCAGGTCTGTGGAGTAACCGTGGATAGGTGGTTGAGGTGAAGGTGGAGGGCAGGACTTTGAGAGGCAGTTTGGCCCAGCATTTGGAAGAGTAGGCGTGGGGCGTATGTTGAATGATGAGGAGTGCTGGAAGGAATTGCTGGGGCCCAGATTCTGTTGGTGATTCTGTTGGAATTGCCATGCTCCCTTTATTTTTCATCAGGACCTCCCCCTTCCTGTGCCTGAATCAGTGGGAGTCCTTAAACATGGTCACCAGGTGGTCTTCCTTATTCTTTGGTGGCTTATTAGTTTTACAGTTTCTTTCTCTTTTTTTTTTTTTTTTTTTTTTTTGAGACAGAGTCTCACTCTGTCACTCAGGCTGGAGTGCAGTGATGTGATCACGGCTCACTGTGCCTTGACTTCCCGGGCTCAATGGATCCTCCTGCCGCAGCCTCCCTAGTAGCTGGGACCACAGGCATGTGCCACCATGCCTGGCTAATTTTTTAATTTTAGTTTTGTAGTTTCTTACAAGTTGCTCCTTAAATTTTCTCTTGGTCGCTCTGCTTTTTGCTTTTTAACTCCTCTGTCGTCTAAGTTATGTGGATCCATTTTCCTCTAATTGTGCTACGGTATGAGCCCACCTAGTTGTTCACAGAGTGTTTCATTTTTAAAATGGGGAGCTCTGCATATATGGGCTCATTTGTTTGTGTTAAGTGGTAGTAGAGTTTGGATGTGACTTTAAAAAAAAAGGTTTTTTTTTTTTTTTTCAAGCTGGGCACAGTGACTCATGCCTGTAATCCCAGCACTTTGGGAGGCTGAGGTGGGAGGATCGTTTGAACCCAGGAGTTCAAGACCAACTTGGGCAACAAAGTGAGACCTTGTCTCTACAAAAAATCAAAAAAGTCAGCCGAATGTAGTGGTGCAAGCCTGTGGTCCCCACTACTCTGGAGGCTGAGAGAGGAGGAGGATCCCTTGAGCCCAGTAGATGAAGGCTGCAGTGAGCCATGACTGTGCCACTGTGCTCCAGCCTGGGTATAGAGTGAGACCTTGTTTCAAAAAAAAAAAAAAAAGGTTAAGAACAGGATTGAAAGCACTTTGGTAGTTGTCAGCAATTTTGGATCTTGATGGTTTGCTAGTAATGCACACATTTTTGTGGTCTTATTTTTCATATTTAGTGGAATTTTAAAAGGCGAAAGCAAAACCTCCGAAACAACTTAGTATTTTTTAACAGATAGGCTTTTGCATCTTTATCATTTGTTTTTTATGCACAAGTATTCTTATGATCCATAACAGAAATGTACATTTTTAAGATCAATGTGTTTATTGTAAAGATTCCTTTTGCAATAGGGTGAATTGATGACATTAGGATTCACTGAGGGTATCTTTATTTTATTTTTTATATTTATTGAATAGAAAATAAGTAAGAATGTTTCTATTTTTATTTTTTTTGGAGGTGGGGTCTTGCTGTCTTGCCCAGGCTGGAGTGCAGTGGTGCAACACAGTTCACTGCAGCCTTGAACTCCTGGGCTCCAGCTATCCTCCTGCCTCAGTGTCCTGAGTAGCATCCCAGGTATGCATCACCATGCCTGGCTAATTAAAAATTTTTTTTTTTAGTGAAGATGAGGTCTTACTATATTGTCCAGGCTTGTGTTAAAACTGTTACTGAAACACCAGAGGTTTGGTCCAGGTCCTGCTGTTTTCCACTCAGAAAACCAATCACTGAGGTGACACGTATTGCCAGGGAAGAAGGCTTTAATCAGGTGCTGCAGCCAAGGAGGTGGGAGCTCAGTCTCAAATCCAATCTCCCTGACTGACTAAAATTAGGGGTTCATATAACAGGAAAGAAACGTAGCAATGTGTGGGAAAACAGACCTCTGGAGGTGAAAGGAAGCAGTCATGATGAATGAGGGGCCTGGCGCTTCGTGTCTGGATGTGGTGATCTGGTGAGGTTCAGATCTTTGATACTTTTTGAGAGGCTTGGGGGTCCTTTCCTGAGGAAGGAGCTCAAATAAAACAGGTGTAAGTTTCAAGCTTTAAGACTAGAAGTGTCAATTTCTATGTTTATTAAAAAAAAAAACAACAAAAACTATGGCACCGGTACCCAACTTGTTTTGACACCAGGGACTGGTTTTGTGGAAGACAGTTTTTCCATGGGGTGGGGATGGTTTCGGGATGAAATGTTCCACCTCAGATCATCAGGCATTAGATTCTCATAAGGAGTGCGCAGCCTAGATCCCTCCTATGCACAGTTCACAATAGGGTTTGTGCTTCTGTGAGAATCTAATGCCACTGCTGATCTGACAGGAGGCGAGCTCAAGCGGTAATGCTTGCTTGCTGACTGCTCACCTGCTGCTGTCTGGCCTGGTTCCGAACAGGCCATGGACCTGGACTGGTCCATGGCCCAGGAGTTGGGGACCCCCCTGGCTCAAGTGGTCCTCCTGCCTTGGCCTCCTAAAGTGTTGGGATTACAGGCATGAGCCACTGCCAGTGACCAGGAATATTTTTAAAAGTAGATTGTAGAATCCTTCTGAGAGTTCTTTTAAATATAAAAATAATACAAGTTCACTGTAGAAACTTGGACAATAGGGAAAAATGAATAGAAGAAAAAAAGGATAATTGTCCTATCACCTACAGATAATCATTGCTTGACCAGGCACAGTGGCTCATGCCTGTATTCCCAGCACTTTGGGAGGCCAAGGCGGGTGGATCACTTGAGGTCAGGAGTTCAAGACCAGCCTGGCCAACATGATGAAACCCCATCTCTACTAAAAATACAAAAATTAGCTGGGTGTGGTGGTGTGTACCTGTAATCCCAGCTACTTGGGAGGCTGAGGCAGGGAATTGCTTGAACCTGGGAGGCAGAGGGTGCAGTGAGCCGAGATTGCACCACTGTACTCCAGCCTGGGTGACAGAGCGAGACTCCTCCTCAAAAAAAAAAAAAAAGGGTAATCATTGCTCATGTCTTGCTTTGTTTCCTTCTAGTTTTTGAGTTTGTTCTTTAATGGTTTAGTCGTGGTATAAGTTTGTTTCTTGCCCTTTTCAATTAACATAACACTCGTTCCTCTATGTTGTAAAATTAAGTATACATTTTAATGTTGACGATATTTTGTCAGTTGATAATACAACTTAGTGACCTATTGTGTTATTGAGTAGTTAGGTTATGTTTACTTAGCAGAAAATTTTTACCCTTTAAAATTGTTTTTTTCTTTCTTGGCCATAAAAGTAGTGTGTCTTAGTGTAGCCAATAGAAAATGAGAGAAAAGTAGAATTAAAAAACGCCAGCAGTTTCACCAATAACGGTAGCTATGTTGGTGAATATCCTCTGGTCGTTTTTCTATAAATAATTCTTTTGCAAATTTGTATTTACACAGACACACATAAGAGTATTACACAAGTTTAAAAAAATTTATTTATTTATTTATTGAGAGATGGAGTCTTGCTCTGTCACCCAGGCTGGAGTGCAGTGGCGCAGTCTCAGCACCCTGCAACTTCTGCCTCCTGAGTTCAAGCAATTCTCCTGCCTTAGTCTCCTGAGTAGCTCGAATTTCAGGCGCGTGCCACCACGCCCCGCTAATTTTTATATTTTTAGTAGAGACGGGGTTTCACCGCGTTGGTCAGGCTGCTCTTGTACTCCTGACCTCAAGTGATCCAACCCACCTCGGCCTCCCAAAGTGCTGGGATTGTTACAGGTGTGAGCCATCTTGCACCGCCAGAAAAGTTTATTTTTAAGTTAATGTTTTTCTGTGTAACTAGCCCTCATAACCATGATTTCTAATGTCTGTATAGAATTCCACCAAATAAATGTCACCATTTTCTTATCCATTTACCAATTGTATATTTAGGTTTTTCTCAGTAGATGTAAGAGTTTTAGGAATTTCTTTTTAGAGTGATTGCTCTGTGTTTTTATAGGTCCGTCTCACCCGTGAAATAAAACACAAGAATATTGTAACTTTTCATGAATGGTATGAAACAAGCAACCACCTCTGGCTAGTGGTGGAACTCTGCACAGGTAAGAAAGAGTATGTAAAAAGTGCTATGAATATAGTATTGAAAAAAAACATGCTGTTAAGTTTTGTTACTTTTGATGTTATTTACTATGTTAACTTGAAAATCTATTGCTCTGTGGATATTAGGGAAGGGTGAAGAGCAAAGACATTTGGGAAAAAGAAGAATTATGTAAATTCAATTCCGGGTTGGATTTACTTTCGTGTATTATTACGTTATATACATAAAAATTTAGAAATGTTTTAAAGTGATGATTAATTTATCAAAAACGTTTTCCCAATAAATAAAAACAAACATTTTAAGTTGACTAGCTATTAATTAGCTAATAAATTTATAAAGTATCTTTGTTTTTATGAAAAGCATACTGTACCTCATAAAATTTTCAGCAATGTGAAAAAGTACAAAGATGAACCAACAAATAATTAGAGATAACAAGTTATAGCTATTGCTTCATATAGCTTTCTAGGACCATATACAGGGAGAAAGGTGACTAAATACATATTATCTGGGCTTTTAGTTTCAAAATTTTTAACAGGGAAAAAATGTAATAACCACTGCTAAGTACTACTATTAACTATTAATAGGTATTACTGTTAGTGTACTTCTGTTTATACATTGAGTAACAATAAAGGATAATTGAATATTGATATAATTATTACTAGCTTTATGCATCTAACTTATATTGATACTTAGAATTTATAAAACTTAAAGAAGTAATTTGGATTAATAACTTATTTGATTTTATTTTTCTGAATCAATAGGACAGGATTATGGTTGATTACTTCCATGGATGTACACATGGACAAGGTTATCAAGACACAGTCCTGGAATTAGTTTTTTGCTTCAGCTGTTGTTTCTGATCTCTGACCAGATGTAATATCCTAACTGTAAAACATGCCTACGTTTGTAACTGCACGTCACCCACCAAAACAAAATAAAACCCCAAATACCTCTTCCCTTCATCATAGTAATTCATATTCAACTTTTCAATGCCAGCAGAAACTTTACTTTTACTGAATTTGGCTGTTGTATTAATATTTAATTTTTGTAGGTATATAGTATGTGTGTGTATTAATATTTATGGGGCACATGAGATAGTTGGTACAGGCATGCAGTGTGTAATAAGCACATCAGGGTAAATGGGGTATCCATTTCCTCAAGCGTTTATCCTTTGTGTTACAATCCAATTATATTCTTTTAGTTATTTTAAAATGTACAGTTATTATTGACTTTAGCTACTTGTTGTACTATCAAATACTAGTTTTTATTCATTCTTACTATTTATTTGTACCCATTAACCATCCCCACTCCCCCACCACCTCCCCACTATCCTTCCCAACCTCTGGTAGCCATTCTTCTGTTCTCTATCTCCATGATTCCAATTGTTTTAATTTTCAGCTCCCACAAATGAGTGAGGACATGCGATGTTTGTCTTTCTGTGCCTGGCTTATTTCACTTAACATAATGACCTCCAGTTCCAACTGTGTTGTTGCAAATGACAAAATCTCTTTTTTATGGCTGAATAGTACTCCATTGTGTATATGTATCATATTTTCTTTATCCATTCATCTGTTGATGGATTGGCTGTTGTAATCTTGACCCTTTAAAAAAAAGTTTATTTCTGGCACTTAGATGGTAGAGAAGTAACTGGGACCTTGGAAGAATATAGCAATGGGATTCTCAATGTGCCTGACTTTGGCCTTTTATTTCATCAATGGCGCGTGCTAAGGGTTGTGATTATCTGTTAAGGAAAGGCATAGTCTTTTTTGCCATGCAGTACTTTGCAGAATGTGACCTGACTGCACAACAGTAAACGATACTATACTTTGCATAATGTGATTTAAGTGCACAGTTTTGGGGTATTTACCATTAGTATTTATAGCTGTTAGGGTTATTATCCTTTCATCTTACCTGCTTGCTTCTCACCATTCATCCATAGGGAGCAGGCACTTTCCTGAATCTGTCTCTGGTGCTTGGGCATAGACTTCTGTTGCAGTGCTCGGGCCACTGTATTTACTCACATGTGTGTTCCTTGACCAGGCTGTCAGCGTTTACTGTCTTGATCATTTTTTAATGTTCGTATCTGTCAGCGTGGAACCTCTCAGGGGCACTCTGTGATGGTAGGGGGTTGAAATGGGTGATTTTAATCAACCTCTTGCAGGTGGTTCCTTAAAAACAGTTATTGCTCAAGATGAAAACCTCCCAGAAGATGTTGTGAGAGAATTTGGAATTGACCTGATTAGTGGATTACATCATCTTCATAAACTTGGCATTCTCTTTTGTGACATTTCTCCTAGGAAGGTAATTCATGAAAGTTTTTGATTTTCTAACTGCTTCTGTCTCAAATTAGAGTGCTTTCTCAAAGATGTTGTTATTTTTGGATAAAATTTTGGTATAGAATATCTTGAAATTTTAGTTAATCTTTTTTTAAAATAAAAGGAGGCAGGGCACGGTGGCTCATGCCTGTAATCCTAGCACTTTGGGAGGCTGAGGCGGGCGGATCACTTGAGGTCAGGAGTTCGAGACCAGCCTGGCCAACATGATGAAACCCCATCTTTACTAAAAACATAAAAGGCTAGGCGCGGTGGCTCACGCCTATAATCCCATCACATTGGGAGGCTGAGGCGGGCGGATCACGAGGTCAAGAGATGGAGACCATCCTGGCCAACATGGTGAAACCCCATCTCAACTAAAAAAAAAATACAAATTTAGCTGGGCGTGGTGGTGCGCTCCTGTAGTCCCAACTATCTGAGAGGCTGAGGCAGGAGAATTGCTTCAGCCTGGGAGGCAGAGGCTGCAGTGAGCTGAGTTCGTGCCACTGCACTCCAGCCTAGCAACAGAGCAAGACTCCGTCTCAAAAAAAAAAAAAAAAAAAAAAAAAAAAAAAAAAAATAAATAAATAAATAAAAACACAAAAAATAGCTGGGCATGGTGGTGAGCGCCTGTAATTCCATCTACTTGGGAGGCCGAGGCAGGGAGAATTGCTTGAATCCGGGAGGCAGAGGTTGCAGTGAGCTGATGCCACTGCACTCCAGCCTGGGTGACAGAGCGAGACTCCATTTCAAAAAAAAAAAAAAAAAAAAATTAATAAATAAAAGGAAATATATGGTACAGTATTTTAGCTGCCTAAGTTGCTTTTTGAATGTGAAGTCTCCCTTTCAGAGCTCTTTGAGTAATTACTTAATGCACTAACCTATATTGTAAATGATGAACCCAATATGTCTATAAGATAAGGCCCTCTTAGCTCTTAAGTCATTGTACACATTTATGAACCATTATTTTAGTTTGATAGTGGCATTCTTGGCTATATGTGTATGATTCCTGATATTATGGATCAAATATTTTCTCTTTTGGTAAAATTAATTATCCATAACTAAATGTGCTTCAGTATAGTAGAGTCATGAAACCTACTTGGTTTCTGAGTTGCAATCAACACTAACACTTAGAAGCCATGTGAACCCGGACAAATTACCCTGCTTCTCTTTGCCTTAGTTTCTTTGTCACATGGAGATAGATTTTTCAAGATATTTGTGAGGATTACCTATTATATTTAGGTTAAGTTTCTAGGATACTTTTTGGTAAGTAGTGTGCTCACAGTGATGTCAGTTATTGTGTTTATAAGTACATCCTCTGAGGAATTGTACATATTACTGGTCTGAGTTTTTACTTTTTCTTTAATATGTGCCAAGGAAAGAAAAAGCTGGATATTTCATTTAAGAATTTTATTTTTGCAGGCCATCTGTATGAGAATATAATTAAACCTAAAAAAGAAAACTCCATAAAATCCTGTATAATGAATTGTAGTTCTTGTTTGAAATTATCATGTATGTGCCTCAAGTCTGCAGCTACTCAACTGTCATTGTAGTGCTGAAAGCAGCTGTAGACAATTTGTAAATACCTGGATGTGGCTGTATTTCAGTAACTTCATTTATGGATATGGAAATGTGGATTTCATGTAATTCATTGTTACATGTCTAGAAATATTATTTTGATTTGTTTCTCAGCCATTTAGAAATATAAAAACCACATTTTTAAAATTTTTTTATTTTATTATTATTTTTTTTGAGACACAGTTTCACTCTGTTGCCCAGGCTGGAGTGCAGTGGTGTGATCTCAACTCACTGCAAACTCAGCATGCCAGGTTCAAGCGATTCTCCTGCCTTAGCCTCCCAAGTAGCTGGGACTACAGGTGTGTGGCAAATTTTTGTATTTTTAGTAGAGACGGGGTTTTACCGTGTTGGCCAGGCTGGTCTCAAACTCCTGACCTCAGGTGATCCTACTGCCTTGGCTTCCCAAAGTGCTGGGATTACAGGCGTGAGCCACCATGCCTGGCTAAAAACCACATTATTTTTTTTTTATTAATTTTTTGTGTGTGGCAGTTTTCAGATACGGCTTAAAAAAAAAATCCAACACTCTTAGTTCATAGCTGTACAAGGCAGTGGCCAGGGTTTGTCCCAGAGGCTGTAGTTTGCTGATATCTATCCGGGAGTTGTTTAATGAGATTTATTATCAGCTGTTATGATCTGAAAAATTCAGGCTGCTTTGTAACCTAAACTTGTGTTCTAGAACAGGGGTTAGCGAAGGTTGGGCAGGATTCCTATTTTTGTATATAAACTTTCACTGGAACACAGCCACAACCTTTGGTTTATGTAATGTCAGTGGCTACCATTGTGCAACAACATAATTGAAGTATGAGATTCCATTGAAATGAAATGACATTGAAGTACAAAAGACTGTATGGCTCGTAAAGTCTAAAATATTTACTAGCTGGCTCTTTACCAACAACAAAAAAGTTTGCTGATCCCTGCCAGTGGTCCTCTGGACCAGCAGCATTAGGTTGACCTGGCACTTGGTAGAAATGGGCCCCATCCAGACCTGTTGAATCAGAAACTCTGGGGGTAGTGACTGGTAGTCTGTGCTTTAACAAGTCTTCCAGGGGATTCTGATGCTCACACAAGTTTAAAAGCCACTGTTGTAGACCAACAGACATCCTTAGTATGTATTTGTGACTAGAAGTTAAGAGTTAACTTCACATTGCCTTTATTTTATTTATTTTATTTTAGACAGGGTCTCGCTCTCATGCAGGCTGGAGTGCGGTGGCGCAACCTTGGCTCACTGCAACCTCTGCCTCCCAGGTTCAAGCGATTCTCGTGCCTCAGCCTCCTGAGTAGCTGGGATTATAGGTGCCTGCCACCATGCCCAGCTAATTTTTGTATTTTGAGTAGAGATAAGGTTTCACCATGTTGGCCAGGCTGGTCTTGAACTCCTGGCCCTAGGTGATCTGCCTGCCTCAGCCTTCCAAAGTGCTGGGATTACAGGTGTGAGGCACTGCACTTGACCCTACATAGCCTTGAAAAACCACAAAGCCACCTGACCCATTGTACCTATGTAGAAATACTTTTAATACGGGAAATAATAAAAGTAACAGAACATTAGTTACTGGCATGTTTTCAACAATCCATAGATTCTAATCACAAATTATATTAGCAGACTTGAGCACTTGTCACATGCCAGTGACTGTTACAAACCCTTTACTTGCATAACTTCGATTAATCCTTACAGCAGTCTGAAGAGTTAGGTATTATTTTTCCCATTTTACAGGTGAAGAGATTGGGGATTAGAAAGGTTAAATAAATTCTTTAAGGTCAGACAGCAAGTAAATGGTGGACCTGGGTCTAAAATCCAGATCTCCAACTTTAATCTTAATGCTACATTATGCTTCCTCACTTGAATAAACAACACCTCAGGCAGTTGGGTTTTCAAATCCTGTTATAGCTGACACTGAGAGTTGGCAAGGGCAGATTGTTTTATTTTCATCGTTGTTAATCTTTCCCCAAACCTGAAGTTTTCCACTATGGTTATATGATGTGTTCATTATATACATCTGAGAATGAACAATTTAATTTTTTATTTGATTATTAAAAAGTTGGATTTATTTTTCTTTAGCTTTTAAAAAAATTATAAGCATTTATTTTTCTGAGTTCTGATAAAGAATAGCAATGCTGAAAAGTTCTTTAGTACAATTATAAGAGGTACTGATATATGTACAAATTAAGTTGATTTTTTTTCTGAAAACATTTATTTGATCTTCATAGATACTCTTGGAAGGGCCTGGCACACTGAAGTTTAGCAACTTTTGCTTGGCAAAAGTGGAAGGTGAAAATTTGGAAGAGTTCTTTGCTTTGGTGGCAGCAGAGGAAGGAGGAGGTGATAATGGGGAAAATGTCCTGAAGAAAAGCATGAAAAGTAGAGTCAAAGGTATGTGGACCTGGAAAGCTTAAAGATCATAACTCTAGTTGTGGACCATCCAAGTCCTGTGTTTAGGAGACAATGTCAGTCTTTTGTTTTGCCACTCAAATAAGATATTGAAAATGGTAATGACCAGCAGACATAGTCTGGGCATAGGAATGGCTTTGTCCATGGCCTAAAGTATTCAATGTGGATCTACTCTGTAAGGCCTGGGGAACCTTAACAAAACCTGTATTTCGTCCTCAGCTTTATGTTTTACTGAGCACTCATTAGCACATAGGAAGGGAATGGTGCCTGGCACATTAGCGGCTCAATAGAAATTAGTTGAGTGAATGATATTCTGCAGTTGAAACATATTTCTTTCTTTTTTTTTTTTTTTTTTAAGTTCTAGGGTACATGTGCAGAACATACAGGTTTGTTACATAGGTATATATGTGCCATGGTGGTTTGCTGCACCCATCAACCTGTCATCTACATTAGGTATTCCTCCCAATGCTATCCCTCCTTTAGACCCCTACCCCCTGACAGGCCCCGGTGTGTGATGTTCCCCTCCCTGTGTCCATGTGTTCTCATTGTTCAACTCCCACTTACGAGTGAGAATATGTGGTGTTTGGTTTTCTGTTCTTGTGATAGTTTGCTGAGAATGATGGCGTCCAGCTTCATCCATGTCCCTGCAAAGGACATGAACTCATCCTTTTTTATGGCTGCATAGTATTCTGTGGTGTATATGTGCCACATTTTCTTTATCCAGTCTATCATTGATGGGCATTTGGGTTGGTTCCACATCTTTGCTATTGTGAATAGTGCCGCAATAAACATACGTGTGCATATGTCTTTATAGTAGAATGATTTATAATCCTTTGGGTGTATACCCAGTAATGGGATTGCTGGGTCAAGTGGTATTTCTGGTTCTAGATCCCTGAGGAATTGTCCTCCGCAATGGTTGAACCAATCTACATTCCCACCAACAGTCCAAAAGCATTCTTATTTCTCCACAGCCTTGCCAGCATTTTTGTTTCTTGACTTTTTAATAATTGCCATTCTGACTGGTGTGAGACGGTATCTCATTGTGGTTTTGATTTGCATTTCTGTAATGATCAGTGCTGGTGAGCTTTTTTTCATATGTTTGTTGGCCGCATAAATGTCTTATTTTGAGAAGTGTCTGTTCATATCCTTTGCCCACTTTTTGATGGGGTTGTTTGCTTTTTTCTTGTAAATTTGTTTAAATTTCTTGTAGACTCTGGATATTAGAACTTTGTCAGATGGGTAGATTGCAAAAATTTTCTCCCATTCTGTAAGTTGTCTGTTCATTCTGATGCTAGTTTATTTTGCTGTGCAGAAGCTCTTTAGTTTAATTAGATACCATTTGTCAATTTTGGCTTTTGCTGCCATTACTTTTGGTGTTTTAGTCATGAAGTATTTGCCCATGCCTATATCCTGAATGGTATTGCCTAGGTTTTCTTCTAGAGTTTTTATGGTTTTAAGTCTTACATTTAAGTCTTTAATCCATCTTGAATTAATTTTTGTATAGAGTATAAGGAAGGGGTCCAGTTTCATTTTTCTGCATATGGCTAGCCAGTTTTCCCAACACAATAGGATTTCCTATTAAATAGGAAATCCTTTCCCCATTGCTTGTTTTTGTCAGGTTTGTCAAAGATCAGATGGTTGTAGATCTCTATTCCGAGGTCTGTGTGCTGTTCCATTGATCTATATATCTGTTTTTGTACCAGTACCATACTGTTTTGGTTACTGTGGCCTTGTAGTATAGTTTGAGGTTAGGTAGTGCGATGCCTCCAGCTTTGTTCTTTTTGCTTAGGATAGTCTTGGCTATGCGGGCTCTTTTTTGGTTCCATATGAAATTTAAAGTAGTTTTTTCCAATTCTGTGAAGAAAGTCAATGGTAGCTTGATGGGGATAGCTCTGAATCTATAAATTACTTTGGGCAATATGGCCATTTTCATGATTTTGATTCTTTCTATCCATGAGGATAGAATTTTTTTCCATTTGTTTGTGTCCTCTCTTATTTCTTTGAGCAGAGGTTTGTAGTCTCCTTGAAGAGGTCCTTCACATCCCTTGTAAGCTGGATTCCTAGGTATTTTATTCTCTTTGTAGCAGTTGTGAATGGGAGTTCACTCATAATTTGGCTCTCTGTTTGTTTGTTATTGGTGTATAGGAATGCTGGTGATTTTCGCACATTGATGTTGTATCCTGAGACTTTGCTGAAGTTGCTTATCAGCTTTAGGAGATGTTGGGCTGAGACGATGGGGTTTTCTAAATATACAATCATGTCATCTGCAGAGACAATTTGACTTCCTCTCTGCCTATTTGAATACCCTTTATTTCTTTCTCTTGCCTGATTGCCCTGACCAGAACTTCCAATACTATGTTGAATAGGAATGGTGAGAGAGGTTATCCTTGTCTTGTGCCGGATTTCAAAGAGAATGCTTTCCTTTTTTGTCCATTCCGTATGATATTGGCTGTGGGTTTGTCATAAATAGCTCTTATTATTTTGAGATACGTTCCATCAATACCAAGTTTATTGAGAGTTTTTAGCATGAAGCGGTGTTGAATTTTGTTGAAGGCCTTTTCTGCATCTATTGAGATAATCATGTGGTTTTTTGTCATTGGTTTGTTTATGTAATGGATTACATTTATTGATTTGTGTATGTTGAACCAGCCTTGCATCCCAGGGATGAAGCTGACTTGATCATGATGGATAAACTTTTGGATGTGCTGCTGGATTCAGTTTGCCAGTATTTTATTCAGGATTTTCACATCGATGTTTATCGGGGATATTGGCCTGAAATTTTTTTTTTTTTAATATCTCCGTCAGGCTTTGGTATCAGGATGATGCTGGCCTCATAAAATGAGTTAGTAAGCAGGAGTCCCTCTTTTTATATTGTTTGTAATAGTTTCAGAAGGGATGTTATCAGCCCCTCTTTGTACCTCCGGTCGAATTCGGCTGTGAATCTTTCTGGTCCTGGACATTTTTTGATTGGTAGGCTATTAATTACTGCCTCAATTTCAGAACTTGTTACTGGTCTATTCAGGGATTTGACTTCTTCCTGGTTTAGACTTGGGAGCATGTATATGTCCAGGAATTTATCCATTTCTTCGAGATTTTCTAGTTTATTTGTGTAGAGGTGTTTATAGTATTCTCTGATGGTTCCTTTGTATTTCTGTGGGATCAGTGGTAATATCTCCTTTATCATTTTTTATTGTGTTTGTTTCTTTTCTTTGTTAGTCTTGCTAGTGGTCTATGTATTTTGTTGATCATTTAAAAAAAAACAGCTCCTAGATTCATTGATTTTTTTTTTGAAGGGTTTTTCGTGTCTGTATCTCCTTCATTTCTGCTCTGAAATTAGTTATTTCTTGTCTTCTGCTAGTTTTTGAATTTGTTTGCTCTTCTCTTGTTCTTTTAATTGCGATGTTAGGGTGTCAATTTTAGATCTTTCCTACTTTCTCTTGTGGGCATTTAGTGCTGTAAATTTCCCTCTACACACTGCTTTAGCAGTGTCCCAGAGATTCTGGTACATTGTATCTTTGTTCTCATTGGTTTCAAAGAACTTCTTTATTTCTGCCTTCATTTCATTATTTACCCAGTAGTCATTCAGGAGCAGGTTGTTCAGTTTCCATGTAGTTGTGTGGTTTTTGAGTAAGTCTCTTAATCCTGAGTTCTAATTTATTGCACTGTGGTCTGAGAGACTGTTACGATTTCCATTCTTTTGCATTTGCTGAGGAGTGTTTTACTTCCAATTATGTGGTCGATTTTAGAATAAGTGTGATGTGGTGCTGAGAAGAATGTATATTCTGTTGATTTGGGGTGGAGAGTTCTGTAGATGTCTATTAGGTCTGCTTGGTCCAGAGCTGAGTTCAGGTCTGAATATCCTTGTAATTTTCTGTCTCATTGATCTGTCTAATATTGACAGTGGGGTGTTAAAGTCTCCCACTATTATGGTGTGGGAGTCTATGTCTCTTTGTAGATCTCTAAGAACTTGCTTTATGAATCTGAATACTCCTGTATTGGGTGCATATATATTTAGGATAGTCAGCTCTACTTGTTGCATTGATCCCTTTACCATTATGTAATGGCCTTCTTTGTTTCTTTTGATTTTTTGTGTTTAAAGCCTGTTTTATCAGAGATCAGGATTGCAACCCCTGCTTTTTTTTTTTTTTTTGCTTTCCATTTGTGTGGTAAATATTCCTCCATCCCTGTATTTTGAGCTTATGTGTGTCTCTGCACGTGAGATGGGTCTCCTGAATACAGCACACTGATGGGTCTTAACTCTTCATTCAATTTGTCAGTCTATGTCTTTTTAATTGGGGCATTCAGCTTGTTTACCTTTAAGGTTAATATTGTTATGTGTGAATTTGATCCTGTCATTATGATGTTAGCTGGTTATTTTGCCCGTTAGTTGGTGCAGTTTCTTCACAGTGTTGATGGTCTTTACAATTTGGTATGTTTTTGCAGTGGCTGGTACCGGTTTTTCCTTTCCATGTTTAGTGCTTCCTTCAGGAGCTCTTGTAAGGCAGGCCTGGTTGTGAGAAGATCTCTCAGCATTTGTTTTTCTGTAAAGGATTTTATTTCTCCTTCGCTTATGAAGCTTAGTTTGTCTGGATATGAAATTCTGGGTTGAAAATTCTTTTCTTTAAGAATGTTGAATATTGACCCCCACTCTTTTCTGGCTTGTAGAGTTTTTGCAGAGATCCACTGTTAGTCTGATGGGCTTCCCTTTGCGGGTAACCCAACCTTTCTCTCTGGCTGCCCTTAACATTTTTTCCCTCATTTTAACCTTGGTGAATCTGACAATTATGTGTCTTGGGGTTCCTCTTCTCGAGGAGTATATTTGTGGTGTTCTCTTGTATTTCCTGAATTTGAATGTTGGCCTGTCTTGCTAGGTTGGGGAAGTTCTCCTGGATAATATCCTGAAGTGTGTTTTCCAACTTGGTTCCATTCTCTCCATCACTTTCAGGTACATCAATCAAACGTAGATTTGGTCTTTGACAGTCCCATATTTCTTGGAGGCTTTGTTTGTTCCTTTTCATTCTTTTTTTCTCTAACCTTGTCTTTTCGCTTTATTTCATTAAGTTGATCTTCAGTTTCTGATATCCTTTCTTCCACTTGATCTATTTGGCTATTGATACTTGTGTGTGCTTCATGAAGTTCTCGTGCTGTGTTTTTCAGCTCCATCAGGTCATTTATGTTCTTCTCTAAACTGGTTATTCTCGTTAGCAATTCCTCTAACCTTTTTTCAAGGTTCTTAGCTTCCTTGCATTGGGTTAGAACATGCTTCTTTAGCTCGGAGGAGGTTGTTGTTACCCACCCTCTTTAGCCTACTTCTGTCAATTTGGCAAACTCGTTCTCCATCCAGTTTTGTTCCTTTGCTGGCGAGGAGTTGTGATCCTTTGGAGGAGAAGAGGCGTTCTGGTTTTTGGAATTTTCAGCGTTTTTGTGCTGGTTTCTCTCCATCTTTGTGGATTTATCTACCTTTGGTGTTTGATGTTGGTGACCTTCGGATGGGGTTTCTGTGTGGATGTCCTTTTTGTTGATATTGATGCTATTCTTTTCTGTTTGTTAGTTTTCCTTCTAACAGGCCCCTCCGCTTCAGGTCTGCTGGAGTTTGCTGGAGGTGCACTCCAGACCCTGTTTGCCTGGATATCACCAGCAGAGGCTGCAGAACAGCCCATATTGCTGCCTATTCCTTCCTCTGGAAGCTTCGTCCTGGAGGGGCACCTGCCAGATAGCAGCCGGAGCTTTCCTGTATGAGGTGTCTGCTGGCCCCTACTGGGAAGTGTCTCCCAATCAGGAGACACAGGGGTCAGGGACCCACTTGAGAAGGTAGTCTGACCTTCAGCAGAGCTTGAATGCTGTGCTGGGAGATCTGTTGCTCTCTTCAGAGCCATCAGGCAGGGACGTTTAAGTCTGCTGAATCTTCTCCCACAGCCACCCCTTCTCCCAGGTGCTCTGTCCCAGGGAGATGGGGGTTTTATATATAAGCCCCTGACTGGGGCTGCTGCCTTTTTTTTTCAGAGATGCTGCAGTGGGCTCCACCCAGTTCGCTCTTCCATGTGGCTTTGTTTATGCTGTGAGGGTAAAACCGCCTACTCAAGCCTCAGCAATGGTGGATGCCCCTCCCCACACCAAGCTCGAGCGTCCCAGGTCAACTTCAGACTGCTGTGCTGACAGCGAGAATTTCAAGCCAGTGGATCTTAGCTTGCTGGGCTCCGTGGGGGTGGGACCCGCTGAGCCTGACCATGTGACTCCCTGGCTTTGGCCCCCTTTCCAGGGCAGTGAACGGTCCTGTCTCTCTGGCCTTCCAGGTGCCACTGGGGTATGAAAAAAAACTCCTGCACCTAGCTTGGTGTCTGCCCCAACGGCCACCCAGTTTTGTGCTTGAAACCCAGTGCCCTGGTGGCGTAGGCACCAGAGGGAATCTCCTGGTCTGTGGGTTGCAAAGACCGTGGGAAAAATGCAGTATGTGGGCCGGAGTGCACTGTTCCTCACGGCACAGTCCATCATGGCTTCCCTTGGCTAGAAGAGGGAGTTCCCTGACCCCTAGCGCTTCCCGGGTGAGGCAACACCCCACCTTGCTTCTGCCTGCCCTCTGTGGGCTGCACCCGCTGTCCAACCAGTCCCAGTGAGATGAACCTGGTACCTCAGTTGGTAATGCGTAAGTCACCTGCCTTCTTCATTGATCTCACTGAGAGCTGCAGACTGGAGCTGTTCCTATTCGGCCGTCTTGCCAGCATCTCCAAAGCAAATTTCTAGGGTGTATTCTTGGTATGTGAGGTGGGGCCGGGGGTGTTAAAATTGCTATACTTGAGGGGAGAGTATGAAGTGATGTTTCTTATACCTTTTGGGGGAAGTGGTAAAGATCTTCCTCCTCATATACCATGTTCAGGTACTTGAGACTTTGGGCCATTGAAGCTCTGTGATACTCATCATGCTGTCAGCTGAGTTTGGTGGCAGTTGTAGGAAAGGGCACTATGCAAGAGGGTGGCAGGCATCCTTGGACTTGGTAGTCATGTGGCCCAGGGATGAGGGAAGAGGATGGAGAGCAGCAGGTTAATCATAGGCCCCATAAATAGGACTAAAGGAAATTAAACTTTCAGGGCCCAGCTTGTATATGGTAAGATTTCATGCCCAAGAAGAAGGCTTTTAATGTCCTTAAATTGCATTCCATAGAATTATCAGTATTCTTTGAAAATGACTGTTGTGGTCTATGTTAGTAGGATATGAAGTTCTGAATTATTGTGTATAATTTTATAGAAAACAAGGTCAATGGTATATTTCAGTATAAATGCATATTTAGTAAGGGGAAGAGAGCTGTGTTTTGGAAAAATAGGTCAGACATTCTAGCAGTGATGCTTACTTCTGAACTTAATCTAAGAACAGTCTCTATGACAGGGCAGGTTAGTCTGTTTGGCCAGGGGAGAGGACGCTTTCGTAACCAGCAGGGCAGAATCAGCCCTGACCTTTTGGGATCGTGTACTTCATAGGTGGTTAACTTTTACATCCCTGTGGCATTAAGATAAAAATAGAGTGTAAAACCACTTCTGTTTTCCTGGAGACTTTGAGAATTCACTGTCTAAGTATGGCGATGAGCAAGGCACATGAAAAAAATCACCCTACCTTTTGACATATTTGAGTAGGTGGGTACTGGGGTGGGGTTGATGATTGGTCAGTGGTGGTATACAGCCATAAAGAATCTGTTAACATTGATGCTGATTTTAGGGCAAAAATTTTGGTTAGGCTGCATAAAAATAATATCGAAAAGAGCTTCTAATAAGGACATCTGGATTCTGGTTCTGCCTTTGCTTCTTTGTAACCTTCAGAGTAGTGTCACATAGCTGCTAGGAGTTTTAATTTCCTGTGTAAAGATAGGGGTTGGCTGGATCATAGTTCCCAAATTCAGGGACAGAAAAGTTATATAAATCAATAATGTGGCCTAGTGTAAGAGGGATTAATGGGGGTTATGTCAAACTACGCTCAGTTTTGGCCCAGTGTTGTTGATTGATTTAGAGAAATTAGAAATCTGGGCTGATTTATGAAAAGAGTTTCAAATTTAGAATCCTCTACCTACAGGTTAGGGTTCAGGTTCCACGGTCTGGTCCCTGATTGCCTCTCTGTTCTTGTGGCCAGAAGATTGTGCTTCACTGTCCTTCAATTGCAGGTACAACTGACCAAGGCCTCCAACTACTTGAAGAAATTCATCAGTGCTTTTGCTCTGAGGCCATGCTTCTCATGACTGCACCCAGCTAATGACTGAGCTTGGAGGGGATGCTAAGGCAGGCCTGTTCCTAGGAGACACTCTGGTGGCTGACATTGGTTCAGGGATTCTTTTTTGTTTGTTTTGAGATGAGCTCTTGCTCTGTTGCCCAGGCTGGAGTGCAGTGGCGTGATCTCAGCTCACTGCAACCTCTGTCTCCGGGTTCAAGCAATTCTCTGGTCTCAGTCTCCCAAGTAGCTGGAATTACAGGAGCACACCACCATGCCCAGCTAATTTTTGTATTTTTAGTAGAGATGGGGTTTCACCATGTTGGCCAGGCTGGTCTTGAACTCCTGACCTCAAATGATCTGCCCACCTCAGCCTCCCAAAGTGTTGGGATTACAGACATGAGCCACTGTGCCCAGCCTGGTTCAGGGATTCTTATTTTTTTTATTATTTATTTATTTATTTTTTTGAGACAGAGTCTTGCTCTTGTTGCTCAGGGTGGAGTGCAATGGTGTGATCTCGGCTCAGTGCAACCTCTGCCTCCCAGGTTCAAACAATTCTCCTGCCTCCCGAGTAGCTGGGCTTACAGGTGCCTGCCACCATGCCTGACTAATTTTTTTGTATTTTTAATAGAGACGGGGTTTCACTATGTTGGCCAGGCTAGTCTCGAACTCCTGACCTTGGGTGATTTGCCCACCCCGGCCTCCCAAAGTGCTGGCATTACAAGTGTGAGGCACCGCACCTGGCCTGGTTCAGGGATTCTTGATGATCCTGAAGAACCTTTCTTAAGACTGCATGGCATCTATCTAAGGATGCTTTCATCTAATCTTCTTTCCCTTTCTCTTTGCATGGAGTCCATCGTACATTGCAATCTGACCAGATTTTCCCATTTTTTTCTCATAGACGCTTCCTGTAATAAAATCCTTGTGTGGATAATTCTGTCTTGGTGTCTGCTTCTTGGGGGACCCAGACTAACAGTTCTCACCCCATCTCTCCCCTCACCCCCCACCTTGCCACCCCCCTCACCCCTTAACCCCACCTTTGGCTTTGTGTTCCAGCAACACCCTGTCTTCACGATTTCCTGCACTTGTTGTGTAGCTGCTCACACCCATGCCCTTACTCTTTCGGTTCTTGTTTCTTTCTCTTTCCTTCCATACTCTCCCCTCCCTTCCCTTTCCTTCGTCTTGCAGTGGCATGATCATATCTCACTGTAACCTTGAGCTCCTGGACTGAAGCGATTCCCCCACCTCAGTCTCCTGAGTAGCTAGGACTGCAGATGTATACCACCATGCCTGGCAAAGTTTTAAATTTTTTTGTAAACTGGGTTTTGCTGTGCTGTCCAGGCTGGTGTCGAACTCCAGGCCTCAAGTGATCCTCCTGTCTTGGCCCTCCAAGTAGCTAGGAGTACAGGCTTGTGCCACCACACCTAACCCTTTCTTATTTTATTTTTTCAGCTTTCTTATTTTATTTTTAACTATTTTATTTGCGATGGAGTCTTGCTCTGTTGCCTAGGCTGGAGTGCAGTGGTGTGATCTTGGCTCACTGCAAGCTCCGCCTCCTGGGTTCATGCCATTCTCCTGCCTCAGCCTCCGGAGTAGCTGGGATTACAGGCATGCACTACCATGCCTAGCTGATTTTCTGTTTTTAGTAGAGATGGGGTTTGTCCATGTTGGTCAGGCTGGTCTCGAACTCCTGACCTCAGGTGATCCGCCTGCCTCGGCCTCCCAGAATGGTGGGATTACAGGTGTTAGCCACCGCATCTGGCCGGCTCCAACTTTGTTGAGAAAGACTTCCTTACTTCTTTGTCTGGATAGCAGGATTTTATCAGACTGAATACTGAAGTGTTGTTTTCTTTTAAAACTTTCATAATATTTTTTGCATAAACCATTTAACTTACCATGTAATAATATACTGTTTTGTGTATTTGTTTTCCACCCATTTGAGTGTGAACCCAGAGACTTTAATTCCATTGTTTATTAGTGCATTTATTTGTTAATTCCACATTTATTTATTTATTTATTTAGAGACGGAGTCTCGCTCTGTTGTCCAGGCTGGAGTGCAGTGGTGCCATCTCGGCTCACTGCAAACTCCGCCTCCTGGGTTCATGCCATTCTCCTGCCTCAGCCTCCTGAGTAGCTGGGACTACAGGCGCCTGCCACCATGCCTGGCTAATTTTTTGTATTTTTTTTTATGAGAGACGGGGTTTTACCATGTTAGCCAGGCTGGTCTCGATCTCCTGACCTTGTGATCTGCTCGCCTCGGCCTCCCAAAATGCTGGGATTACAGGTGTGAGCCACCGTGCCCGGCCCTCGTTTATTTATTTTTTGAGACAGAGTCTTGCTTTGTTACACAGGCTGGAGAGCAGTGGCGTGATCTTGGTTCACTGCAGCCTTCGCCTACTAGGTTCAAGTGATTCTCATGCCTCAGCCTCCTGTGTAGCCGGGATTACAGGTGCCCTCCACCATGCCCAGCTAATTTTTGTATTTTTGGTAGAGATGGGGTTTCACCAGGTTGGCCAGGCTGGTCTTGAATTCCTGGCCTCCAGTGATCTGCCTGCCTCAGACTCTCAAAGTGCTGGGATTACAAGTGTGAGCCTGGTCCACATTTATTTCTTAATTTGACTAGTTTAGGCAAGTTCTAGGTACTGGAAGTAAGGATGGGAAGACAAACATTCATATTCAACAAATATTAATGAAACATCTATTAAGTGTTGGACAGAGTGCAAGGGTGTTCCATGGGCGTTATTTGTCTTTGTTTCCTCAGCAGCTGGTGCAGGCAAATATACCTTCCATCGATGTGTACAAAATGTGATAGCATAGCAAAAATGCTCCATGGGAGAACTTTACAGTCACGCATCAGGGCACACAAAGCTGCTGATCTCGCTGTAATGGGCTCTGGAGATAGGATTTGCTGGAAGGCTTACCTCAGTGGAATTTTGTTTCCAAATCATTGGAGATTACTTTCTTCCTGGAGAAAAGATTCTCATTGGGAGGCGGGAGTTAGATGGAATGCAGAGAGTGTGCACCAGGGAGAGACAAGGACCCTGGGTCTTGGCAGGTGCTCTGCAACTGCCTAGCTGTGTGATTTACTGGAGGTTAAGTATCCCTCTAAAGCTTCCATTTCTCTTGTCAGTGAATAAGGGAACTTTCTGGCTCTAAAATATGGGATTTCTGTGTAATATTAAACTTTGTATAAAGTATATGGGGCACACAATGGGGCTTTTCACTAAATATTTCCTATTCTCCTGGATAGATGGTAGGATTGCATCCTCTCCCTGGTCAAAGCCAACTAAGTGTGAGCGGAAGTGATGTGAGTAACTTTGAGATGGGAATTTTAGGAGCCAGTGTTCAGTTAGCTACATTCTTTCTCCCTGCCTCCAAGTGAGGAAGCATGAGTGGAGTTGGAGCCTCTATCAGCCTGGGTCTTTGAGTGACTATGAGGATCAGAGCTTCTTGGTAGATTTGTTGTGGACATGTTTAGTGATAGATAAACCTTTGCTGTTAAGCCAGTGGGATGTTGGGGTTGTTATATTGAAGGTTTAACTTAAACTATTCTAATTGAAATTTAAAAGAAGAATGTAGCTGAATGTGCCATACCTCTCAGGTAGATTTTAAACACTTTTTTATATTCACACACATCCTTTGCAAAATGTAACCTTAAAATTAGAAAACATTTAAAAATGTGAAATGCACATGAAGTTTTATTCATGCGCATGTTTTTCTCCTGCCCTTTTTCATCTCATCAGATCTTTCCTAGGTGGGTTCGTGTTGGCAGCAATACAAATGCCTAACCGAGCTGTTCTTCATACTTTGCTTTTAGGATCTCCTGTATATACAGCACCAGAAGTTGTGAGGGGTGCTGACTTTTCCATCTCCAGTGACCTCTGGTCTTTGGGCTGTCTGCTTTATGAAATGTTTTCAGGTAATTGTTTCCTGAATAGGTATAAAATCAGAGCTGGACTAAAAACCAGGTTAAGTCTGTACTTTGCAGATGTTTTACCTATAAGATGTGAAAAAACTAGATTTTTTTTTATTTTGAGACAGAGTCTCGTACTGTCACCCAGTCTGGAGTGCAGTGGCACGATCTCGGCTCACTACAACCTCTGCCTCCTGGGTTCAAGCCATTCCTGTGTCTCAGCTTCCCGAGTAGCTGGGCTTACAGGTGCCCACCACCATGCCTGGCAGTTTTTTCTATTTTTAGTAGAGAGCGGGTCTCACCATGTTGGCCAGGCTGGTCTTGAATGCCTGACCTCAAGTGATCTGCCTGCTTAGGCCTCCCAAAGCTCTGGGATTATAGGCATGAGCCACTGTGCCTGGCCAAAAAAACTGTGACCTTATAAATTTTTATGTATACTGATTTTGGCTGAGTTGCTTGGTATCTAGGCATATGCAGATTCCTAGAAAGTTCTTGATAAATAGGTAATTTTTCATGATAATCTGGAATGCTGAAATGTGCCTAACTCAAAAATTGTGATTATTAGAAATTTTTGTAAAGATGCCTTGCAATTGTGTATTATTCAGATGATTTGAATGGCCCATGCACCCATTGGTTCATAGTAGTGGTCCATATGTGTGTTTGTGTATTTGTTAGGATGATAATACATTTTGAAGTAAGAGAAATATATAGGCAGTGCCTCGTACATACTAGGCATTAAATAGCTATTGCTATATATTTTTTCTATAAGTTGTATAATCTTGAAATATCTGTAGTTGAGATTAGAATTATTGGTGATAGCAAGGCCAGGTGTGGTGGCTCACGCCTGTAATCCCAGCACTTTGGGAGATCGAGGCGGGCGGATCACGAGGTCAGGAGATTGAGACCATCCTGGCTAACACGGTGAAACCCCATCTCTACTAAAAATACAAAAAATTAGCTGGGCGTGGCAGCGTGCGCCTGTGGTCCCAGCTGCTGGGGAGGCTGAAGCAGGAGAGTGGCCTGAACCCAGGAGGCGGAGTGTGCAGTGAGCCGAGATTGCGCCACTGCACTCCAGCCTGGGTGACAGAGCAAGACTCCATCTCAAAAAAAAAAAAAAAAAAAAAAAAGAATTATTGGTGATAGCAGACTTCTTTCATTTTGCAAGTTTTCATGTGATTTCAGGAAAACCTCCATTCTTCTCAGAAAGTATTTCAGAATTAACTGAAAAGATCTTATGTGAAGATCCTTTGCCACCTATTCCGAAAGGTAAGATTTCTTATGATAAATGGAATTAATTTACATTTTACACTGATTAAAGGTGTACCTTTATCCAACGTTTGCTTTTATTGATTCATAACTCCCCAAAGTTATCTTTTATAAATGATCCCAAGTTGATATTTTTAGAAATGTTAGTATTTCTTTTGCCATTTTTTAAAGATGCTGAAACAGAAAACAAAGTACTAATAGATTTCCCTCATTTAAAAACTATTTTGTGCATCTATATCATAAAAAGTATGGCTTAAAGACTTAAAAAACTTAAACCCTTATGTGACATTGCTTTTTGTATGTACCATTTACTTACTTTGTAGTCGTATCCCATGTGGTTATTTCTATCTCCTGTTGGAACAAATTCACCATTTCCTTATCTTGATGAATCAGAATGCTACCCTTATAAGTTTTAAAAATCTTTATTTATTTATTTATTTATTTATTTATTTATTTATTTATTTATTTTTGAGACAGAGTCTTGCTCTGTTGCCCAGGCTGGAGTGCAGTGGCGTGTTCTCGGCTCACTGCAACCTCCGCCTCCCGGGTTCAAGCAGTTCTCCTGCCTCAGCCTCCCGAGTAGCTGGGACTACAGGTGCCCACCACGGCACCCGGCTAATTTTTTGTTTTTTGTTTTTTATTAGAGACGGGGTTTCACCATCTTGGCCAGGCTGGTCTCAAACTCCTGATGTCATGATCCACCCACCTCAGCCTCCCAAAGTGCTGGGATTACAGGCGTGAGCCACTGCGCCCGGCCTAAAAATCTTTAAAATTAGATACAGTTGTATTATTTTTAAAGTGTTGGAACTTTAATCATATAAATTGTGGTTAATATAATGATCTATCAGCAATAATTTTTAAGGAAAGGAAAACAAAAGAAGGCACAAGTGTAGTAAAACATTTTGCTATACATTGTTAAAGTTTATCTTAAGACACATAAATGAAAACAGGATTCTACAAAAATTATTGCTATATATACATATATATATATTTGAGAGACAGGGTTCTGCTGTGCTGCTGTGTCACTCAGGCTGGAGTGCAGTGGTGCAGTCAACCTCCCAAGTAGCCGGGACTATAGGGGCACACCACTGGGAATGGCTAATTTTTTAATTTTTTGGTGGAGACAAGGTCTTGGTATGTAGCCTAGCTTGTCTTGAACTCCTGGCCTCGAGTGATCCGCCTGCCTTGGCCTCTCAAAGTGCTGGGATTTCAAGTATGAGCCACAATGTGTGGCCATTACTACTACTTTTAACCATAGACTGATGACCTGGATATGGTATATAACTAATTTAAAAAGACAAAACATTATGAGATTAGTGGTATTGGACAGTGTCATATTATAATGCTTCTTATTTCTGTTAAAAATCTTAAAAGAGGGATTGCAAATATTCTTAGTTGTTCAAGTTAGGAATACTTAAAAGAATAAGGTATAATTAATAGTTAAGCTGGGGCCGGGCATGGTGGCACACACCTGTAATCCTAGCACTTTGGGAGGCTGAGGTGGGTGGATCACCTGAGGTCAAGAGTTCACGACCAGCCTGACTATCATGGTGAAACCCTGTCTCTACTAAATACAAAAAAATTAGCCAGGCATGGTGGCACATGCCTGTAATCCGAGCTACTTGGGAGGCTGAGACAGGAGAATCGCATATACCTGGGAGGCAGAGGTTGCAGTGAACTGAGATCGCTCCATTGCACTCCAGCCTGGGCAAGAAGAGTGAAACTCATTCTCCAAAAAAAAAAAAAAAAAAATAGTTGGAGCTGAGCATAGTGGCTCACACTTGTAATTGTAATTGCAGCACTTTAGGAGATCCAAGGCAGGTGGATCACTGGAGCCCAGGAGTTGGAGACTAACTTAGGCAGCATAGTGAGACCCCATCTCTATAAAAAATAAACAAAAATTAGTCAGGCATGGTAGTGCATGCCTGTAGTCCCACCTACTCTGGAGGCTGGGGTGAGAGGATCACTTGAGCCTGGGAGGTAGAGGCTGGAGTGAACCATGATGGTGCCACTGCACTCCACCCTGGGTGACAGAGCAAGACTCTATCTCAAAAAACTCCCCCAAAATAGTTGAAGACAAGTGTTTGAGTTTGTTAAGCTGGTGATCCTTATTGGGATTGTTCAGTGAAGAGAAGGCTTAGAGGTTTGTTAAGACTTAGTTTTTGAGATTTACATTTCTTTTTTGTGATCTAGGAAAAAATGTTTTTAATCTTTGTGTTCTGTACCTCCCCATCCTGCCCCATTAAATAGAGGATATAATTGTTGTTAATGGATTTAGTGTTCTCTTAATAATAATGTATGTGTTTAAAATACTATTGCTTTAAATGTTGATGTAAGAGATAAAAATAAAATTGATATGTATTTACTACTTATCATTTTTTCTTGGAAATTAATTCATTTATAGATTCTTCTCGTCCTAAAGCTTCTTCAGATTTTATTAATTTGCTTGATGGGTTACTTCAAAGAGATCCTCAGAAAAGGTAGGGACAGTAGTTCGATCTTTTTTTCTTTTTCTTTTGAGTTCTGCAAATGGAGTAAGGGGCAGTATTTTAATGGGAATAAATAATGAAATCTTTTCCCCCTTTTATGTACTTCTAAAATGGTGCTGTTCTTAATATACAAATAGCTATTCAAATTATTATTTTTTAAAGAAGTCTGACTTCGGATTAAAAGTTTTTCTCTCAGTTTGCAGGTGTTTTTAATCATGAGGAATTTTTGAAGTCAGTTTCTCTTTTCATGTATTAAGTAGTTGACAAATTTTCTTATAACTCCCAAATCCAAGAGGTACCATTTCTTGTATTTTGTATTTCAGGCTAAAACTGTTTGACTATTGACCGAGGGATGATATTGTCAAGTTAAGATGCTGTTAACTGAGTGTCATAAAAACAGGTTTTATGACACTCCTGTCATAATGGGGCTATTAAGTGATAGGATAATAGGCACCTTGTGAATTTTCTGTCAGTGATGGCAATGTTAGAAATCATTGTTGAGGCACAGGGTAGGGGAGGCTAGGAGGTAGACCAGAGTGGGAAAGAGGCCCAAACAACTAGTTTCTAGTTCTGGTTCTGTCACTAGGTAACTGGGATGGGGTGATGGGAGGAGGGTTCCGTTTATAAAATGGAGAATAAATTTAGTGTAGCATATACAAGAATCCATTCTTTTATTAAATATATTTTAAAAACTGCAGAAGGAAATGCTGATTTTTGTATAAGCTGTAGGACAAACATCCTTTACTTATATTAGAATGCTTTCAACATTAGTGTTATTTTGGTGGATAATTTTTCAGACATCTTTTGATAGGATGTAACTATACCTAATTTACTTAAGACGGTGTATCCACATATCCCTACATTTATAACTGTATGCTATATAATTTTTTGCTTACATGGGACCACTCCATAACCTACTTTTTTCTCTCATGGTACATTATGCATATTTTTCCATTTCCATTTCTGAGTCTTGCTCTGTCACCCAGGCTGGAGTGCAGTGGCACAATCTTGGCTCACTGCAACCTGGGTTCAAGTGTTTCTCATGCCTCAGCCTCCCAAGTAGCTGGGATTTCAGGCGCGTGCCACCATCCTCAGCTAATTTTTGTGTTTTTAGTAGAGATGGGGTTTCACCATGTTGGCTATGCTGGTCTCGAGCTCCTGGCCTCAAGCAGTTCCGCCTGCCTCGGCCTCCCAAAGTGCTGGGATTTCAGGTGTGAGCCACTGTACCTGGCTGCCTGGTCATTTTAAATGGCTGTAGAACGTATATACAATTACCTATAAAAAAGTAAACGTTTAGAATGCCTCTTGATTTGGAATATTATATGTGTTGTTACAGTAAATATCCTTTTGTGAATTTTTAAAATTTTTTTGGGTTTACTTGGTTAGTTATCTCTTTGATGTGAATTTCTCAAAATGAAATGGCTGGCCAAAGGCTAAGAGCATTTAAAAAGTTTGATACATTTCCTGCATTCTAGGAACATGTGCTGATTTACACTCCCAGCAACAATATGTTAGAAAGCTCCTTCCCTCCCACTCTCATCTACAGTGTGCCTTGTTGATCTACATTTTTGTCAGTTTGATGGATGAAAATACATTTTACTTTGTTGGCTATTTTTATTTCTCCTTTAGTGAACCATAAGAACCTTTGTGTAAAGGAATATTATATGTGGTTGCAAATTCTATTATTTGTGTTTTACTTTTGATTGAAGTAATTTTATTTAATACAGAAATTTTGAATGATTAGTCGACTATAAATTCTTTTCTTTTTTGTTTTAAAATTTCAGTCAGGCTTAATTTTCCCACTCTGGTGAGTATATCTAGAGGTATACTCTATTAGTAGTGAAACTTAATCTTTTGAAAGTGAGCCTGAGTTTTAAATACAACCTAAAGTCATTTTAATGCAAGTGAACTAGCTAGGTAATATTATTTTGATTCCTAAACAAGGTGTGAATGTATATGGTTATGAAGCTGATATTCTTTCCTCCCACCGCCGCACCCCCTCCCGGAGACGGGGTCTCACTCTGTCACCCAGGCTGGAGTGCAGTGGTGTGATCTTGGCTCACTGCAACCTCTCCCTCCCAGGCTCAAGAGATTCTTCCACCTCAGCCTCCCAAGTAGCTGGGATTATAGGTGTGGGCCCCCACACCCAACTAATTTTTGTATTTTTTGTAGAGATGGGGTTTTGCCACATTGTCCAGGCTGGCCTCAAAATCATGGACTCAAGCAATCTACCCACCTTGGCCTCCCAAAATGCTGGGATTACAGGTGTGAGCCACTACACCTGGGCTGATATTCTTATTTATTCCTGAATGAATTTCCAACAGAATAGTTCCAAAACTTAAATGTGTCAGTTAGGGTAAGTAAAATAATCTTGCCTCTGTTGTGAAATAAAGGATGACAGGATTATAGATATCTGATATATTTACTTTAGAATTTCAAATTACGCTGAGCACGGTGGCTCACGCCAGTAATCCCAGCACTTTGGGAGGCGGAGGCGGGTGGATCACGAGGTGAGGAGATCGAGACCACCCTGGATAACACGGTGAAATCCCGTCTCTACTAAAAATACAAAAAATTATCCAGGCGTGGTGGCGGACGCCTGTAGTCCCAGCCACTCGGGAGGCTGAGGCAGGAGAATGGCGTGAACCCGGGAGGCAGAGTTTGCAGTGAGCCGAGATCGCGCCACTGCACTCCAGCCTGGGTGACAGAGCCAGCCTCCGTCTCAAAAAAAAAAAAAAAAAAAAAAGAATTTCAAATTATTTATCGACTCCGTTTTTCCTAGGCTGGTTGGAGAAACCAGACTCTATGGAATTTGAACCCTGAAACTTCTAATGCTTAGTTATCAGACTGTTTCATTCTGTACCATTTAATGCTTCTGAATTGTTTCTTTTTATCTTGCTGTCTAAAAGAGGTTAATAGCATACAAAAATGAAATAATAAAATATAAAATGATTTCAAAGGTACATGTGTACCTTGTAAAATCTGCTATGTGTAATTGGGACATGTCTTGGGAATTTTTCATGGTAAATCATGTTAAAGTAGAGTTTTAACATTTATGTTTTTTAAAGATTGACTTGGACAAGGCTACTGCAGCATTCATTTTGGAAGAAAGCTTTTGCTGGAGCAGATCAGGAATCAAGCGTCGAAGATCTCAGTCTCAGGTAGTATACACTTACCTTTGTGTATGGGACATAGTTACTGGACACTTAAGCCCATTACTGTTCTAAATATACAACATCAATGACTGGAATTTCTCTGCTTTCGTAGTAGGAGAAAATCCAGCGTTTGTTTAATTAAGGGTTGCTTGAGGAGTTTACTCATGATATTTTTATGTTCTTGATTTTGCATATTTTCTGTTGTTATTCTTCAGTCATTGATATAATATGATAGTCATTAGTTCTGTTACCAAATACATCTGGCTTCCCACCTCCCAAGTAAATGGTAGGATCTTTTTTCTCCTCTTTATGTTAGGTGTGGTCATGTGACTTGTTTCTGGTAACAAAATGTTAGTAAAAGCAATGTGTGTTATTCCCAGATGCAAAGTTGAAGAGCAGTGGTAATTTACTACATGATGAGGTAATTGGGAAGAAAAATGTCAAAATGGAGTTCCAACCTGGATTTTTTTTTTTTTTTTTTTTTGAGACAACGTCTCACTCTGTCACCTAGGCAGGAGTGTAGTGGTACAATCATGGTGCATTGCAGCCTTGACCTCCCTGGGCTCAGGTGATCCTCCTACCTCAGATTCCTGGGTAGCTGAGACTATAGGTGTGTGCCACTACACTCAGCTATTTATTGTATTTTTAGTAGAGACAGGGTTTCACCATGTTGCCCAGGCTGGTTTCAAACTCCTGGCCTCAAGCGATTTGCCCGCTGTGGCCTCCCAAAGTGTTAGGATTATAGGCGTGAGCCACCATGCCTGGTCTGTCAGCCTGGATCTTTTTTTTTTTTAAATTAAAAAAAATTGTTAAAAACAAAAAAGTAGAGACAAGGTCTCACTATGTTGCCCAGGCTGGTCTCAAACTCCTGAGTTCAAGTGATCCGTCTGCCTCGGCCTCCCAAAGTGCGGGGATTACAGGTGTGTACCACCACGCCTGGCCTTAGCCTGGATCTTGAGGGACTACAGTGACGTAGCTTTCCTGCCGGTCTTTGATGGCTATGTGGATGAGGGAGGCATAAAGTTAAGAGATTCTGTAACTTTGCTAAATGTCATGTGTAATTTAATTATCTTCTCCAACCTCTTTTTCTCTAACATAAAACTATAGAGAACTCCAAAGTAAGTTTGATTGTGTTGGTTTTCTCCAATAATAGCAGAAACACTATGGAGTGTTCTGGGCCACAAGATTCCAAGGAGCTTTTGCAGAACTCTCAGAGTAGACAAGCAAAAGGGCACAAGAGTGGTCAACCACTAGGTCACTCTTTCAGACTAGGTAAGTTTTATTTGAGCACATTCATGCTACTTAGAATGTTGTTTGAGAGAGTTCCTAATTTCAGTGTTATGTCCCTTTAAATCTTTGTGTACGTTATGCCTTGCATATGATATTTTTGTTCTTTTCTGGATAACATATTACTTTCCTGCTACAGAAAATCCAACTGAGTTTCGGCCTAAGAGTACTCTTGAGGGTCAATTGAATGAATCCATGTTTCTTCTCAGGTAGGTAAAATGAAAAAAGAGGGATCAGTGCAAGACAAAAGTTAAATTTTCTTAAAGCATCTGCTATCTTGGTGCAAACTTTGTTACACAGAGATAAAGAACAGGAATTTTAGTGCCAAATGCCAGTTTCACTCTCCAATTTCAAAGTTACAGTTAGGTCGTGGCCAGTGAAATGTAGATTTTGCTATGTACAGGATTTTTGAAAATTTTTAACCAAACCAACTTATTTTTTTACCAAAGCAACTCATTATTTCCATTTGTAAGAATTAATGCCTCTTCATTTTGTTCTTTAACTTAAAATAGAATTGAACTTAAAATTTCAGAAGTCCAGCTTGTTTGGTTTGTTTTGTTTTTGAGACAAGATCTCCGTCTATTGCCCAGGCTGGAGTGCAGTGGCGTGATTTTGGTTCATTGTAACCTCTGCCTCCTGGATTCAAGTGATCTTGCCACTTTAGCCTCTCAAGTAGCTATGACTACAGGTGTGTGCCACCATGCCTGGCTAATTTTTTTGTAGAGATGGTGTTTTGCCGTGTTGCTCAGGCTGGTCTCAAACTCCTGGGTTTGAGCCATCTGCCTGCCAATGCACCCAGTTTTTGTTGTTGTTGTTAATGCTTTGAAGGCAAAAGCTTCTTTATTTGGATAAATACTTACAGAAAAGAAGAGGTTCTGTTTTTCTTTAAATACTTTTTTATTCTTTCATTTATTTTTATTTTATTTTTTTGAGATGGAGTCTTGTTCTGTTGTCCAGGCTAGAGTGCAGTGGTGCGATCTTGGCTCACTGCAGCCTCCACCTCCCAGGTTCAGGCAATTCTCCTGCCTCAGCCTCCCGAGAGTAGCTGGGACTACAGGGGCCCACCACCTCGCCTGGCTAATTTTTGTATTTTTAGTAGAGACAGGATTTTGCCATGTTGGCCAGGCTTGTCTTGAACTCCTGACCTTAGGTGATCCACCAGGCCTCCCAGAGTGCTGCGATTACACACATGAGCCACAGTGCCCAGCCTTTCTTTTAATACTTTTCTATATGTGAGGCTTGAATAATGTTTGTAATCACTGAAAGAATTAAAGTCAGAGTGGTATCTTAAAGTAATTAGGACCAATGCATTAAAAAATTTTGTAGTATGGACCGGGCTCAGTAGCTCACGCCTGTAATCCCAGCACTTTGGGAGGCCAAGGCAGGCGGATCACCTGAGGTCAGGAGACTGAGACAAGCCTGGACAACATGGCGAAAACCCGTCTCTGCTAAGAAAAAAAAATTAGCTGGACGTGCTGGTGGGTGTCTGTAATCCCAGCTACTTAGGAGGCTGAGGCAGGAGGATCACTTGAACCCGGGTGGTGGAGGTTGCAATGAGCTGAGATCGCGCCATCGCGCTCCAGCCTGGGGGACAAGAGCGAAACACCGTCTCAAAAAAAAAAATTTAGTAGTATGTAAATATTTAAAGTATTTAAAATATTTTTTAACGTAGAGAAATAGTTTTATTTCATGAAATAGTGGTTATAATGATAAAATTCCTGATATGTTTTACCCATATTTAAATGTAATGTATGTTTATCTATATACATTTTACACATTTTATTTATTATTTATTTATTTATATATTTTTTGAGACAGACTCTTGCTCTGTCGCCCAGGCTGGAGTGCAGTGGCATGATCTCGGCCTACTGCAGCCTCCACCTCCCTGGTTCAAGCGATTCTCATGTCTCAGCCTCCCAAGTGGTTGGGATTACAGGCCTGTGCCACCAAGCTTGGCTAATTTTTTTTTGTATTTTTAGTAGAGATGGAGTTTCTCCGAGTTGCCCAGCTGGCCTCGAACTCCTGAGCTCAGGTGATCTGCCTGTCTTGGCCTCTCAAAGTGCTGAGAATTACAGGCATGAGCCACAGTGCCTGCCCCATTTTATACATTTTAAATTTAACTTTTTAGAACCTCCTAGATTTTCTGGTATATTGTATTTTATGTGCTATGTAAGTATATGTTTAATGAGGGGATCAACAGATAAGTGAATGAGAGTTGAGGATCCTGATACTTGGGAATTTGAAGATGATAATTTTTTTTTTCTTGAGATGGAGTCTTGCTCTGTTGCCCAGGCTGGAATGCAGTGGTGCGGTCTTTGCTCACTGCAACCTTCACCTACACTGTTTAAGCTATTCTTCTGCCTCAGCCTCCCAAGTAGCTGGGACTACAGGCATGCACCACCATGCTGGGCTAATTTTTTTTTTTTTTTTTTTGAGATGGAGTGTTGCTTTGTCACCCAGGCTGGAGTGCAGTGGCTTGAACTTGGCTCACTGCAATCTCCACCTCCTGAGTTCAAGTGATCCTCCTGCCTCAGCCTCCCAAGTAGCTGGGATTACAGGTGCCTGCTACCATGCCTGGCTAATTTTTGTATTTTTAGTAGGGATGGGGTTTTGCCATATTGGCCAGACTGGTCTCAAACTCCTGACCTCAAGTGATCTGACCACCTCGGCCTCCCAAAGTGCTGGGATTACAGGAGTAAGCCACCGCACTCGGCCCTGAAGGAAATAATTAAAAAATATTAATGATCTGATGGGAAGGATTTCTTAAAATGTGAAAAGCTCAGGCCGGGCACAGTGGCTCATGCCTGTAATCCCTGCACTTTGGGTGGCTGAGGCGGGTGGATCATGAGGTCGGGAGTTCCAGACCAGCCTGGTCAAGATGGTGAAACCCTGTCTCTACTAAAAATACAAAAATTAGCCTGGTGCAGTGGCGGGCACTTGTAATCCCAGCTACTCGGGAGGCTAAGGCACGAGAATTGCTTGAACCCAGGAGGTGGAGGTTGCAGTGAGCCGAGATCGTGCCACTGCACTCTAGCCTGGGTGACAGAGCAAGACTCCATCTCAAAAAGAAAAAAAAAGTGAAAAGCTCAAAACCATGGATCCAGGAAAAGTACAGTGGCCCATACGGTATGGCAGGCATTTATATGTGTAGGAAGAATCATTACAAATAGGTATGGATTGTAACTCCCTTGTTACTTATTTTAAATAGGTGCCAGGGTAATTTCCTTTTCAAATACTTAATGATATATAGCTACAAATATTTTTCATTCTTTGTAGAATATCTGATCTATTTTATTTATGTTAATCCTGCCTATACCAGAAGACATTTATAAAAATTAATGCTTGAAGGTTTCTAGTTAAAAAGGAAAATACTGTATAAATAAAAGAAATAATACATTAGCCAGGAAATTAATAGCAGTTATAAAAATTATATAAACATAAATTAGATCTAGACTTTTTTAGTGACAGTATATGGAATCATCATACTCTACCATTTTTCATGAGACTTGTTTTCTTCCAGAAAACAGTAAACAGAGAATAAACTGTCTGGAATTGAATAATGTTAACTGGTTTGTATTTTTCAGTTCTCGTCCTACTCCCAGAACTAGCACTGCAGTGGAAGTAAGTCCTGGTGAGGATATGACTCACTGTTCACCACAGAAGACTTCTCCTCTGACCAAGGTGAGCAGACTTGGGAAATTTTCTTCCTACATAAGATGTAGAAGCTCACAAGAATAATTGTAAGTTGGTAAATGAATTATGTTAATAATTACAAAATTTACAATAAGGTCATCTTTGCTGATCATTATAGGTTTTTCTTGTAAGTACTCTGAGAGAGATATCCCATTTAGTTGCTTCATGGTTCTTTTTGGTAGGACTTTCCTTGAGGTACAGTTGACATACCATACAATTTACCTATTTAAGGTGAACAATTCAGGCTGGATGTGAATTGTAATTCTTGCACTTTGGGAGGCTGAGACAGGAGGATCACTTGAGGCCAGGAGTTGGAGACCAGCCTGGCCAACATAGCGAGACCCTGTCCTCATAAAAAATAAAAAAAAATTAGCTGGGTTTGGTGGTGCACACCTGTAGCCCTAGCCACATGGGAAGCTGAAGTGGGAGGGTTGCTTGAGCCCTGGAGTTTGAGGCTGCAGTGAGCAATGACAGCACCACCGCACTCCAGCCTGGGTGACAGAGTGAGACCCACCTCTTTAAAAAAAAAAATAAATAAAAGGGTACAATTCAGGGACCTTTAGCATATTCAGAGGTGTGCAACTATCACCACAGTTTTAGAATTCTTTCATCATCCAACAAAGAAACTACCCATTAGCAGTCACTGCCCCCGCCACCCCATGTTTCTCCAGTACTTTTCCATGCTTGTACTAGGCAACCACTAGTATACGTTTGTCTTTTTTGTCTTTATTATTTTACTTGTTCTGTGCATTTTCTATAAATGGAATCATACAATATGTGGTCTTTCGTTACTAGCTTTTTCCACTTAGTATATGTTATGTTTGTTTTCTTTCTTTTTTTTTGGAGACAGTCTTGCTCAGTCGCCAGGCTGGAGTGCAGTGGCGCGATCTTGGCTCACTGTAACCTCCGCCTACCGGATTCAAGCAATTCTCCTGCCTCAGCCTACCAAGTCGCTGGGACTACAGTCGTGCGTCACCATGTCCAGCTAATTTTTGTATTTTTAGTAGAGACGGGGTTTCACCATGTTGACCATGATGGTCTTGATCTCTTGACCTCATGATCTGCCCGCCTCGGCCTCCCATAGTGCTGGGATTACAGGCGTGAGCCACCGTGCCCGGCCTTTTTAACATATATTTTCAAGATTTATCCAAGTTGTAGCATGTATCAGTACTAGATTCCTTTTTATTGTCAAATAATTTGTTGTATATACAACATCTTTTTTTTTTTCCAGTCATCAGCTGGTGAATATTTGGGAGTGGAATTGCTGTGTCATGTGTTAACTCCTTGTTTAACTTTTTGTTTTTGAGTTAATGTCTCACTCTGTCATCCAGGCTGGAGTACAGTGGTACAATCATAGCTCACTGCAGCCAGGACCTCCTTGGCTCCAGTGGTCGTCCTGCCTTAGTCTGCCAAGTACCTGGAACTACAGGCATATGCCACCACACCCGGCTAAGTTTACAAAAAATTGTTTGTAAAGACAGGGTCCCACTATTTTGCGTAAGCTGGTCTCAAACTCCTGAGCTCAAGCGATGCTCCTGTCTCAGCCTCCCAGAGTGCTGGGATTGTAGGTATGAGCCACTGCACCTGGCCTTAACTTTTTTTTTTTTTTTTTTTTTGAGACGGAGTCTCGCTCTGTCGCCCAGGCTGGAGTGCAGTGGCGGGATCTCGGCTCACTGCAAGCTCCGCCTCCCGGGTTCACGCCATTCTCCCGCCTCAGCCTCCCGAGTAGCTGGGACTACAGGCGCCTGCCACCATGCCCAGCTAATTTTTTGTGTTTTTAGTGCAGACGGGGTTTCACCGTGTTAGCCAGGATGGTCTCGATCTCCTGATCTCATGATCCGCCCGCCTCGGACTCCCAAAGTGCTAGGATTATAGGCGTGAGCCACCGTGCCCGGCCCACCTGGCTAATTTTTGTATTTTTAGTAGAGACAGGTTTCACCATGTTGGCCAGGCTAGTCTGGAACTCCTGACCTCAAATGATCCACCTGTCTCCGCCTCCCAAAGTGTTTGGATTACAGACGTGAGCCACCGCGCCCAGCTAGTAGGTGTGAATTTCTATGTCTTAGTGGTGTTGATTTGCATTTACCTGATGGCTAATGATGTTGAGTATCTTTTTATGTGTTTATTGGCCATTTTGTCTATTTTCTTTGGAGAAATATTTATTCAAAAATTTAACCTATTTTTAATTGGGTTATTTATCTCTTTATTATTTAGTTGTAAGAATTTTTTACATATTCTAGATAGGAGTTATAACAATTTTCTCCCTTTTTCTGGATTGTCTTTTTTCTTTCTTGATGGTGTCCTTTGAAGCACAAAAGTTTTAAATTTTGATATAGTCCAATTTATCTTTTTTCGTTTGTGTTTTTTGCTGCTTGTGCTTTTGGTGTAATATCTAAAAAAACCATTGCTACTCCCAGCTCACAAAAGTTTCTGCCTATGTTTTCTTCTAAGAGTTTTATAGTTTTATTAGTATCTCTTAGATTTAGCTATTTTATCCATTTGAGTTAATTTTTGCATGTGGCATGAAGTAGGGGGTATAGCTTCATTGTTTTGCATCGAAACATCCAGTTGTCTCAGCGCTATCTGTTGAAAAGCTTATTCTTTCCCCATTGAATTGTCTTGGAACCCTTGCTGAAGATCGATTGACTGTATATGTGAAGGTTTATTTCTGGATTCTGTTCTGTTATCTATTCATCTGTCCTTATACCAGTGGCACACTCTTGATTACTGTAGCTGTTTAGTAAGCTTTGAAATCAGAAAGTATGAATCCTCCAAAAAAATTTTTAAGGTGGTTTTGGCTGTTCTGGGTCACTTGCATTTCCATATGAATTTTAAGATCAGCTTGTCAGTTTCTTCAAAGGAGCCAGCTGGGATTTTAATCACAGTTGCATTGAATGTGTAGATCAATTTAGGAAGTACTGCCATTTTAACAATGTTAAGTGTTCCTCCACGAACACAGGATGTATTTATACTTACTTAGGTTTTCTTTAATTTCTTTCAATCATAGTTGTGTTGAATGCAGAACTACTTTGAATTAATTCTAAGTTATTTTTATGCTACTTATTGCTTGACAAATATAATTGCTTTTAGTTTTTACTGTAGTTTTGATGTAATGTGAAGTGTATTTGGACCATGTGAAGCTTATTTCTGCTTTGAAATTTAGTATAAATGGGTTATAATAAAATCTCACTGTGCTAATTTTTTGGTTATGTGAAATAGAAAATCAATGTAAATTAAAAAATTCATTTTGAAATGCGATAGATGTTGAAGCTCTTCTGGCAGATGGTTATAAAGAAGAGTATATAATCATTCTATTGAGAAAATATAATCAATAATGTGAATACCTAAGGTAGTTTATTTTACATATCTATCTATCTATCTATTTATTTATTTATTTATTTTTGAGACAGAGCCTCACTCCTGTGACCTAGGCTGGAGTGGAGGGGCATGATCGTTGCTCATTGCAGCCTCAACTTGTTGGGCTTAGGTGATTCTCTCATCTCAGCCTCCTGAGTAACTGTGACTACAAGTATGCGCCACCATGCCTGGCTAATTTTTTGTATTTTTAGTAGAGGTTTCCCCATGTTGCCCAGGCTGGTCTCAGACTCCTGGACTCAAGTGATCTGCTGGCCTTGGCCTCCCAAAGAGCTGGGATTACAGGTGTGAGCCACTGTGCTTGGCCTTATGTTTTATAATTTTTAAATGATACTTTTTATTCTATTACAAAACATATATAATTGTAAAAAACTTGTAAAATGTAAAAGAGGACAAAGAAAATAGAAAAATTATTTACGATATAATTCCCGGGTAAACACTGATTACTTTTTTTTTTTTTTTTTTTAAGAGCCTTTTGCCCAGGCTGGAGTGCAGTGGCACAATTGTAGTTCACTGTAACCTCATACGTCTCATACATTTTGATATTGGCATGATTGTGTTCATTGTAACCTCATATGTCTCATACATTTTGATATTACTGCTTCTGGTTTTATACATATGTGTTCATTTTGAAACAAGGGAATATAATTTTATAACAATTATTTTCATTTAATGATTATGATCTGATTGCAATTATTGATCATTTAGTTTATTCCTGAACATTTTATTTTATATATTTTTGCTGTTGTGAGTGGGATATTTGTTATATGGCATTCGTGCATACATTCAGTTTACCTGTAGGAAATTAATTTTTGCATACAATTTTTTAATTGGTCCACCTTACTCATCTTACATTTTTTTTTTTTTTTCTTTGAGACAGAGTCTCGCTCTGTTTGCCCAGACTGGAGTGCAGCGGTGTGATCTTGGCTCATTGCGCCTCTGCCTCCCGGGTTCAAGTGATTCTCCTGCCTCAGCCTCTTGAGTAGCTGGGACCACAGGCACCCGCCACCACACCCAGCTAATTTTTGTATTTTTAGGACAGATGGGGTTTCACCATTTTGGCCAGACTGGTCTCGAATTCCTGGCCACAGGTGATCCGCCCACCTGGACCTCCCAAAGTGCTGGGATTGCAGGTGTGAGCCACCATGCCTGGCCTAATTCTTACGTTATTTCTAAGAGTTTTCCCATTGATTAATTTTGGCTTTTTGGATGTTCAGTTATATTATCTATACGTAAAGATAATTTGGCCACCTCTTTCAAATATTGATGTCTTACTTTACGGACCAATATAATTTACTAGCAGTTCCTCCTCAGTGTTAAATCAGCAGGGATATCCAGCCCTTTGCTCTATCATTGACTTCTTTTCTTTCCTTCTGCCCCCTTCCTCACTCAAGACACCATCCTTTCCATCCAGGCTTTGCAGTAACCTGCTAACTGGTCCCCTCAGTTCTCCATTGCTCCCCTCCATCCATTCTCCACTGAAGCAAGTATGATGTATATATTTAAGTGTCTTCATTAACTATCACTGTCTTCTCTCAAGCAGTGCCAGGCATTGTTTTAAGTGCTTTGTGTTTATTCTTCACAAACCTGAAAGCTTGTTTGTTTTAATCTTTGTTATAGATGAAGAAAACAAAGCTTTTTTTATCTTCCCTAAGAGCACATAATTAACAAGCAGCAATGTTAAGTTTGCCCCTGTCTTTTTGCCTTTAAAGTCCATCTTTTTTTTGGCAATGTGAGTTTACCTCTGTCTTTTTACCATGAAAGTCCATCTTTTTTTTTCTTTAATTGAAAGTCCATGTTCTTAAACTTAGATTTTCTTGTTTTAAACAAACTTCCTCTTCATTCTTTGTGGGCCTTTTTTTTTTTTTTCTTTTTTTTTTTTGGTGGAGTCTCGCTTTGTCACCTAGGCTGGTGTGCGATGGCGCAATCTCGGCTCACTGCAACCTCCGCCTCCCAGGTTCAAGCGATTCTCCTGCCTCAGCCCCCTAAGTAGCTGGGATTACAGGCGCCTGCCACCATGCCTGGCTAATTTTTGTATTTTTAGTAGAGATGGTGTTTCACCATGTTGGTCAGGCTGGTCTCGAACTCCTGACCTCGTGATGTGCCCACCTCGGCCTACCAAAGTGCTGGGATTACAGGCCTAAGCCACTGCACCCGGCCTCTTTTTGTGTTTTCTTGTCTTTTGTCTGAGTTGCATGGGGCAGCTTGGGTTTCCAGGAACTTTCTTAGCTAACTCCTCTGTTCCTTTATCCATGCCCCTTCCTCACTCAGTTTTGGGTAATTTATTTTCCTTATTCCTTACTTCACTGATTTACTTTTCTATTTTATTTAGTTTGCTAGCCGTTGTTTCTTTTAAAGTTCTTAAGCATAAATTCTCTCTCTCTTTTTTTTTTCCCTGTTGGGAAATACTGAGGCATAGCACTAGGAATACAAATTATGTTTAAATAGAGCACAAAGAACCATCTCAAAGGAATAACTGATGGTGAATATCTGCTGATTCATTTCATTATGTATCAACTCTAACTAGGCTTAATAAATAATTGAGGTTTAATACTTAGGTAGCATGTCTGTATTTAAGTCTGAAAATTTTTTTTATGTTACAGCTTCAATTTCACATTGAATGTTCTGTAAAGCAGAAATAAATTGATTAACATTCTGTGAATGAAAAATAAAGCCGTTGGTCAGGCGCGTGGCTCACGCCTATAATCCCAGCACTTTGGGAGGCCAAGTTGGGTGGATCACCTGAGACCAGGAGTTCGAGACCAGCCTGGCCAACATGGTGAAACCCCGATTCTACTAAAAATGCAGAAATTAGCAGTGCATGGTGGCATACACCAGTAATTCCACGACTTGGGAGGCTGAAGCAGGAGAATTGCTTCAACTCGGGAGGCAGAGGTTGCGGTGAGCTGAGATTGTGCCACTGCATTCCAGCCTGTGTGATGGAGTGAGACTCTATCTCAAAAAAAAAAAAAAAAAAAGGCTGGGCGTGGTGGCTCACGCCTGTAATCCCAGCACTTTGGGAGGCCGAGGCAGGTGGATCATGAGGTCAGGAGATTGAGACCATCCTGGCTAACACGGTGAAACCCTGTTTCTACTAAAAATACAAAAAAATTAGCCAGGCACAGTGGCAGGCGCCTGTAGTCCCAGCTACTCGGGAGGCTGAGGCAGGAGAATGGCGTGAACCCGGGAGGCAGAGCTTGTAGTGAGCCGAGATCACGCTACTGTACTCCAGCCTGGGGGACAGAGCGAGACTCCGCCTCAAAAAAAAAAAAAAAAAAAAAAAAAGAAGCCATGCTGTTATGGAAAAACCAATTTGCCTCATCACAGTTTAGAACATTGAATTGTAAAGATATTTTTTCTAGTCCTAGCCAGACTTAGTGGTAACATGAGCAATTCAGTTACTTTCTCAGAGTTTTATATTTTTATCTGTAAAATGGGAATGATGGTGCCTACAGTTTAGGATTTTTGTGAAAATCAAATGAGACTGCAACCATCTTGAATAGCAGTTGAAGTACATTGATATAGGTGATATTTTACAGTGGTGTCTTCCTCAGCATCTTACTGGTTCAGTGTTTTAAAGATCTACATTAGTCGCAGAAACAAAGTCTAATTTTTGTTCTCATTTCAGATTACAAGTGGACACCTGAGTCAGCAGGACCTGGAATCCCAGATGAGAGAGCTTATCTACACGGACTCAGATCTTGTTGTCACCCCCATTATCGACAATCCAAAGGTGCAGAAAGACACTCTAACAACTGAGTTGTAGACTTTACTGAGATCTGAAATCTGCATGAGATTTTCATTCAGAATATTATTTACTGTATAATCTTTCCTGTTTCTCTTGTCTGCTTCTGTGTCATTTGTGCTGCATGTCTGCATTTGCAGCTCCCCCTCTGTCTGCAGCCCTTTCCTCTGCCTTCACTTCCACTTCACTGGAGTTCTAAGTTTTCTCCCCTCTGTTTTGAATGAGTCAGCTCTGCTGCCTCTCACTACTGCTTCTTCCACATGCCATGGAGGGGTTGCCAGCCTCTTGACCTCAGACCTTAGCTCTCAGTCCTTTTGTTTCTCCGTATGCACTAATGTGAATCACTCTAAATATTCTAGTCTCTGATGTATTTCGAAGGCACAAGCAGTCAGAGGGCACTGCTTACCAGGCTGGGCTGGGCAGGCAGATCACACAGAAGCCCTACCCTCTCACAGGTTGTTAAGACTGCAGGGGAGACGATGGGGAGACATTCTGGGAGCTTGCGAAGTTGTAGTTCACAATGTACTTCTAAACCAGTGTGAGTTTTTTTGCTTCTTGTCTTTTGGAATATAATACTTTATTGCTAGGGGATAATGAGTATCTACTTTAAAAAACAAATTCATTTCTAAGTCCCTCTGTTTTGTCTTGACTTCCAGCTCCCCAACATACTCACATTCCACTACTTTTTCTCTATTTTAATTTTCCTGCTTCTTTTTCTTATTTATAAATGTTTTTTTCTGTATTAATTCATGACTCTTTTTTCTTATCTCATTGGGAACGTTACTGTGGTTTAGACCATGAAGGTTCTTGAATTCTTATTTATTTTCTAGATAGACAGCATTTCATATAGATTATTTAGCTATTTTTCATAATGGAGCTACTTCTTTTTGTGAGTTCATATGTCTGGCAGAGTAACTTTATTATGCTAAGTTTGATGAGCATTGGGGCATTTTCAACGTGGGCTTTCTAGAACAATTTGTGTTATCTTTACCAGGGGTGTCCAATCTTTTGGCTTCCCTGGGCCACATTGGAAGAAGAATTGTCTTGGGGCACACATAAAATACACTAACGATAGCTGATGAACTAAAAAACAAAAAAAATTGCAAAAAAAAATCTTACAATGTTTTAAGAAGGTTTACAAATTTGTGTTGGGCCACTTTCAAAGCCGTCTTGGGCTGCATGCAGCCCATGGGCTACGGGTTGGACAGGCTTGCTTTAGACAATATTCTGTGTTTCTTTTTTTCCCTCTTATAACCATATTTGATAGTTTCTGGGAAGCCTTAATCAGTAGAAATTTTTGTGTTTAACTTTTAATTTTAAACTACTTTTAGTCTTAGAGAAAAGTTTCAAAAATAATTGAGAGTTCCTGTATACCTTTTGCCCAGCTGCTCTTAATGTTCACATCTTATAGGTCTGTAGTATAGTTAGCAAAACCTGGGAATTAAAATTGGTATAGTGTTAGTCAGGCAGGATAATCCCTATCTGTTCCTCCTTTTGGAGGGCAGTAGAATGTGGTAATTGGAGTGGCATAATACTTGATTAATAATTGTGCACTTTCCAATTCATGCTATTATGGCTTCCTGGAGTGGTGTCTTCTCTGATATAACCATTAACCATCCTTCAAGACCTCAACCCACCTTCTACCTCTCTGTAAACCCAGTCCTAACTATATCAACTAAAGTGCTTGCTGTATTCTCTAAACTACTATTTACAAAAAAATTCTTTCTGTCCAGTGTTTTCTCTGTAGTTATGTCCTGCATGTTTTGAATTGTGAAATATTTTGTTGTTTATCGAATGTTTGTCTCATCTTCCCAACTAGGATGTCAGCTCTCTGAAAATAGGATTGTGTCTTTTATATCTTTGTATCCCCATTAGCACTTGGCATAGAGCCTTACCTTGGCAGGTACCCAATAGATATTTGTTGAATGACTGAATTTCTAATTAGAGGTAAATTAGCTAAAAAGTAAGCCAAGATAGGAGTGAATGTTTTCTATGAAGCTTTATTTTATTACAGATATCAATTGAAATGATTATAAAAAATATTATCTATATTTGTGTGTTTTAATCCGAAAAGTCATTGTTCTTATTCTTTTTGGTAACAAATTTTGCACATTCTTTTTTTGTCCTCATTGATTTATTATCTGACATAAGGGACATATAAGGAGACAGATATCCATCTTAAAAATTGTCTCAAAAGCTTTCTTTTTTTTTAAACCACAGATAATGAAACAGCCACCAGTTAAATTTGATGCAAAAATATTGCATCTACCAACATATTCAGGTAGGATCATAAAGGACTTATCGAACATGTAGACTCTTTGTATACAGATACAAATATGAAATTTATTTGCAAATAGAATATATGTGAATAACTAAATTTATTTTGTCTTGACAATTGGCTATATTCTTGGGGCAGTGTTACACGAATTGTAAACAATCTGTAATTCATTTGTGCCAGCTGTTGACATTTCTTAGCTGAGTCTGGGCTGCCCAGTCCTATTGTGGGTGGGGAGGTTCCTGTAGATCTGGGCAAGTTTTCCTGTAGAGTGGGTGGGAGGTCTTCTCCTCCCTTCCCTTAGAGCTGGTTGAATTTCCACCATTTATGGCTGGTATAGGTGCACAGGGTTGGGGACAACAATGAAGGATTGGGATTCTATTAGAGGGACCAGGACATTTGAGAATGGGACTAGGTGGTTCATGACTGTGGAGGTGGTGTGGGAGTGGAGATACTTAAGGGATAATTATTACATTTCTGTTGAGCTAATGAAAGTCTTATTTAGGGTGACCATCAGAAATTTTTACATACCTTAAATTGGTTTTTTCGTTTAACAAATTATATTTTAAGCTGTTAAACTCGATTTGGGGAAAATTATTCATCGTGGCTAGAGTAGAATCTATGATTTGAAGTAAATTTAAAATATATTTAGGTTTAAATAAACCAGCTAAGGGTTTATATTGGTCAACTTAATTACTGATAAAAACAAAAAAGAAACTGTGTAGAAGGACGTTTTTGAAAGGCCAAGTGAAGCAAAGTATTATTAATAGTGCTTTCAGTGCCAAGTAGGACTATTTACGCAAACCTAGAGAATTATCACCTGGAAATACTATTTCCCTTTTCTTCTTTGAGTTATTTAGGAGATTATATTTACAATTTATTTTGTCTAAAGATAGAGATCAGCCAAAAATATGTTAATTTTAGGGGGTATCACATTTCCTAGATTTTGCCTTTTTTTTGTATAGGGATTTGGAGGTAGGAATTTCAGGTGATTTTTAGCTATCATGTTATTCTCGTTATTTTTTTTACAATAATTTTATTGGAACTTTTTAAGAACTGTAGGATTTGTGCTTTTCTCAATATTTGAGAGTTGATTTATTTATACAAAGGCTCTTTTGTCTTTTACTCCAGTTGTATTGAACTTTGCATTTTGTTATAGTGTAGGTTGTGGGACAGTTCTGCTTTAGACATCTGCTTTATTTGAAAGTATAGTTTTCCATTGAAGTGGTTAAAAAGTTTCCGTGGATAGATAAAGAGATTAGGAATATAGAAGGACGAATAAAAATAGTGTCATCTTTGGAGTATTTTTGGTTTTGACAGTGTAATGTTTGTCCTCATCTTAGCTGTCGTAATTCTGTGTTTATTTCTTATGTAATGTTTCCAGCAGTTCTTTTTCTCATCATATGTACTTTTATTATTTTCTTTCCATCGCAGTGGATAAGTTATTATTTCTGAAAGATCAAGATTGGAATGACTTTTTGCAACAAGTGTGCTCGCAGATCGACTCCACTGAGAAGAGCATGGGGGCCTCCCGAGCCAAGCTGAATCTCCTTTGCTATTTGTGCGTGGTGGCTGGTCACCAGGAGGTGGCCACCAGGCTCCTCCATTCCCCCCTGGTAAGCCTGTGTGACATGCCTTATGCATTTTAATTTGTGTTTTTATAGAGGCTCAAACAAGTGCTAAAATAACAATTTGATTTAACTACCACAAAAAAACTGATTTATCACGATTTTAGGTTTATGAAAATTATCCTCTGCTTAATCCTTAGGTCCTAAAGTAGATGACAGTAGATGGTGATTTTGAACTTATTTTGTTTGTTTGTTTGTAATACTCAGGTTTCCATTTTATGTTAACTTGTAAGATTTAAAAAAAAATCTGAAATCAGGCTGGGCGTAGTGGCTCATGCCTGTAATCCCAGCACTTTGGGAGGCCAAGGTGGGTGGATCACCTGAGGTCAGGAGTTCGAAACCAGCCTGGCCAACATGGTGAAACCCTGTCTCTACTAAAAGTACAAAATTAGCTGGGTGTGGCAGTGCACTCCTGTAATCCCAGCTACTTGGGAGGCTGAGGCAGGAGAATCACTTGAACCCGGGAGGCAGAGGTTGCAGTGAGCTGAGATCGCACCACAGCACTCCAGCCTGGGCAAAAAAAGTGAAACTCCATCTCAAAAAATAAAAATAAAAAAAAAGTGATATCATAAGACAGACCTTTTACCTTCTCATTAGTGACTGGAATGAACTCCCCATGTGGAATGGGTCGGGGGTGTCGGTTCCTTTACTGGGTCATCTGGTAAACTGCAGGGTTTCTGATGTGACATTGAAGGAAGACATCAATCCTCTAAGACATTTTTTTCCTCTTCCCCTGGGAATATTACTTTTTGGACTGTCTTGGTCTGTTGGTAAGCTCAAGGGAATTTGTCAGAGTTTTTTTGGTTTTTGTTTCTTTTGGCTCATGTTTAAGCATCGATTGGCAGAGTTTTTGAAGTCATCCTCAGAGAGGAATTACAGTGGTTCGGAGGTGTTTTCTATAGTGGTCCCTCATTTGGGAATTGGCTTGAAAAAATTTAAGTTCATTTGCTTCCAGGATAGTATTAAGGTTACTTTTTTTGATAGTTGGTGTGTGTCTATCAGGTAAGGGCAGTCATTTAGCGAATATAAAGTGGTAGGAGAAACTAAAAATACTGTTCTTAGTTTTTATTTTAATCTTATTCGTATACTAGTGCCTTTGTAATTTAGTAAATACCATTTTTGGTGTACAGTGTAAATTTCCTTTGTATAAAGTCCTGAGCTGTTAACTTTGCTGTCATTTTCTGTGTTTTGTGACTTAAACATTTTAATTTTTTCTTTTCTTTACACTTAAATTTCTTATTCTAGTTCCAATTGCTAATCCAGCATTTGCGGATAGCTCCAAACTGGGATATGTAAGTAACGTTTATATTTTAAAAATTATTTTTCATGACTTTATTAAGTAGTTACAGAGCACATATTTATCAAAAGCAGAGTCCTAAATAATTATCATAAATTATTCTGATGTAATGATGACTCTACTCATAGGCAATTTTTATGGGCATTCCAATGATAAATTTTAGAATATTAAAAATAGCCCTTCTCCTAATATTACAAATACAATTCTGGGATTATCTAAGGTACTCCTGGAAACTTTATTAACTGTTATTGTTTTTTTATTTTCTTAGAGACAAGGTCTCTCACTATGTTGCACAGGCTGGTTTTGAACTCCTGGGCTCAAGTGATTCTCCCATCTCTGACTCCCAAAGTGTTAGGATTACAGGTGTGAGCCACTGTGCCTGGCTAACTGTTACTGTTTTGAGTATTGATTATAAAATACTTAAACCCTGATCCCTGTGTATTAATTTAGTTATACTTCCTCGAAGTTTCCCTTGGCCACCCTTATCTTTCCCTCATGTAGCACATAGCTTCCCTAGATGTTATTTACAATCTAATGGGATTATGATTTATAAACTCCCGATGGAAGGAAGTGTCCTTGCTTTTTACAGAAGCAACATACCAGGTGGAGAGCACAGTAGATCAAGTGTTAGAAGGCTCTGGGTTCTGTTTGCCAATAAGACTTGGCCAAATGATTATCTTTTTCTCAATCTCTGCTTCCTGGGGACTGTGGGTGGGACAAGGAAATGGCATAGGTTTAGGATTCAGACAGACCTGGGTGTGGATCAAAGATCAGCTTTCTGGGCCAAGTACTTTAATTGCTGAGCCTCAGTTTCCTCATCTGTAAAATTGGGATGGGATAACTGCTTCATAGATTTTTGGTAATTATTCAACTTTGAATGAGGTAAATATATGAGATACCTTGTATAGTGCCTGATTCTTAGTGGGTATTTCATTTACAATGGGGTTGGGGTTGTAGAAGTTGTAGTTATTATCATCAAGCTTGCTTATCTCATGATTGTTAGGACAGGCACATGAAAAAATGGAGGCGAAAGGATTTTGTGGATTGTGGCACTGGTATGATAATAATTATTCTTCTATGTTGGTGAAATATGGGTGAACCAATAGAAGTTTAGAAAATGCTTAATAATAAGGGTAGTTCTTACTATACATCTTCTAATGTTACTCTCCCAAAGTAAAATCTGGTAATAAAAAGTAGGATTTTTAGGTAATGGTTGAGTATTTAATACTTTGAGAAGGCTCATGGTATGCTCATTAAAAATGAATCAATGAAATACTTATTTAAACACCTTTATTTAAAATGTGTTATATCCTTGAATGGGGTGCCCCCTGCTGACATTTTAAAACAGACATTCCAGATCATTTCCAAGTACAGTCATCCTTCTGTATCAGCCCGGAGATTGGTTTTAGTATCCCCTTGGATACCAAAATTCACACATACTGTTTTTTTCCCCCACTTTTAAAAATTGAAGTTTGATTGTAAAACAGTTTTAATTTGAATAAAGTGATACTGAGGTAGACAAGTTCTCTGGTAGGAATCCTCTTTTATTCTTTCTCCATTCAAAGCCACTTCCAGCGACGTTTTCTCTGACCTCAGGTTATATTACCTTGACAGCATATGATAAAGGGTCCTTAACTTAGTCTGGGAGATAATTATTATTGACGTAGATATATTTATTCTTTAGTTTTGTTTTGTATATAAAAAATTAGAATCACATGATATAATTTTATGTTTGTTTTCCCCTGTAACATATATATTACGTATTGTAAATGTTATTATTAACATTTAAAAATAAAATACATAATACTTAAGATAAACTTTTTATATGTTGTGAATATCTGATCATTTTATTTACTATTTTTGGATAGTATTATAATGTTGTAAATAATATTTTGATGAACATTTTTGAGAATAAATCTTTGTGCCTGCTTTTTCTTTTTCTCTTTAGGGAAGATTTGTAGAATTAGAACAGATGGATAGAAGGCAGTAAATATTTTTGTGACTTCTGAAAAATTGCTGAAATACTCTTAAAAAAATTGTATCAATATATAATCCCAGTCAATGTGTTTAAAATGCCTTTTGTTAGAACTTCCAACATTGAGTATTTATCAAATTGTATATCCTTTTATCCTTGCCAGTCAACTTTGAGGTATAATTCACATATAGTAATAGTGTAATACTGTAATTTAAAAAATTTGTTAATTGTAAATTATGCATAATTTAAAATATTCCATTTTAGCCATTTTTATGTATATAATGGCATTTAGTTCATTCTCATTGTTGTATAACCATCACCACTATTCATTTCCAAAACTTTTTCATCATCTTAAACAGAAGCTCTTTACCCATTAAACAGTAACTTCCCCTTTCCTTCCCCAGTCCTGGTAACCTATACTCTACTTATTCTATCTTTGTGAATTTGCTTATGGTGAGTACCTCATATTGCTACTGAAATATCAAGGGGTTTGGTTTAAGTCCTGTTGCTCACAGCACAGAAAGCCAATCACGGAGACAATGAGTGTTGCTAGGGAAGAAGGCTTCAATTGGGTGCTGCAGCTAAGGAGATGGGAGATCAGTCTCAAATTTGTCTCCTCAACTGACTAAAACCAGGGATGTATTTAGCAGGGAAGAAATATAACCATGTATGGGAAAACAGGAATCAAGGAAGGGTGAGGAAGAGGAATTGGTCAACAGGAAGCAGGTAGTTGGTTAGGCAATTGTAATGGGTGAGGGGGTCTGGTGTCTTATGGTCCAGATATGGTGATTTGGTAAGTTTCAGTTCCTTGATAACTATCTGGGAGGCCTGATGGTTGGTTTCCCAAGAAAGGAACTCAGATAAGACAAATGTAACTTCCTCAAGTTTTAAGACTGGGAGGGTCAATTTCTACGTTTATTTTAAAAGACTGTAAACATCAGTTCTATAGGACAATTGGGCTGGTTTCATTTGCAAGGTTCATCCATGTTATAACTAACATGTGTCAGCATTTCATTCCTTTTTAAGGCTGAATAATATTCCGTTGTATGCATATACTACATTTTGTTTATCTTTTCATCTGTTGTTGGGCACTGGCTTGTTTATATCTTTTGGCTATTGTGAACAATGCTGCTGTGAACATTAGTGTTTTCTGTTTTTGTTTTTTGCTAACAGCTATCCTGATGGGTGTGAAGTAGTATCTTACAGTTTTGATTTGTATTTTGTGACTAGTGATGTTGAACATCTTTTCGTGTGATTGTTGGCTATTTGTATATCTTCTTTGGAGAAAGATCTAGTCAAGTCATTTGCCAATTTTTGAACTGAGTTTTATGTTGTTGAGTTGTAGGTATTTTTTATATATTCTAGATATTAACCCCTTGTCAGATAAATGATTGCAAATATCTTCTCTCATTACATAGGTTGCTTTTTACTGTGGCAAGTGCCTTTTTGAGATATGAATTTAGGAGGAATTTTTCTATTTTTCAAATAAGAGTTTTATACTTGAATAAGGTAAAGTAAATGCTCATCCATCATAAATTTTTTAATTAAAAACATAGTTTTCCTGTTTCTTTGCTGTAGTTCTTCTCTTGGTTGATTAGATTTTATCATTTGGTAGGTTTTTTTTTGTTTGTTTGAGACGGAGTCTCGCTCAGTCACTCAGGCTGGAGTGCAGTGGCACAATCTCAGCTCACTGCAACCTCTGCCTCCCGGGTTCAAGTGATTCTTCTGCTTCAGCCTCCCGAGTAGCTGGGATTATAGGCACCTGCCATCATGCCCGGCTAATTTTTGTATTTTTGTAGAGATGAGGTTTTACCGTGTTGGCCAGATGGTCTCCAACTCCTGATCTCAGGTGATCCACCTGCTCTGGCCTCCCAAAGTGCTGGGATTATAGGCATGAGCCACCGCGCCTGGCTGTTAGTATTTTTTGTTTGTTTTCAAGAAGGCCTCTCAGTGGCTTACCTCTGTGCCATGCTTTGGAGTTTGAGCTCTCTTCCTTGTACTAACTGTAGTTCTGTAGGACTTGTGGGTAAACCTTACCTTTTTTTTTTTTTTCCCTCTTCTGTGTGACTTGTTTGAGTTAGCTTTTCTTTTCATTTCAGGCCTGTAAATTTTACTAGATTGTCTCTAGGAATCTCTTTTTACTAATTTGCTCCTTCCTGCCTGCCTGCCTGCCTCCCTCCCTCCCTCCCTCCCTCCAGTCCCGTCTTGTCCCGTCCCTTCCTTCCCCGCTCCCGTCCCTTCCTTCCCCGCTCCCGTCCCTTCCTTCCCCGCTCCCGTCCCTTCCTTCCCCGCTCCCGTCCCTTCCTTCCCCCTCCCGTCCCTTCTTTCCCCGCTCCCATCCCTTCTTTCCCCCTCCTGTCCCTTCCTTCCCCCTCCCGTCCCTTCCTTCCCCGCTCCCGTCCCTTCCTTCCCCGCTCCCGTCCCTTCCTTCCCCCCTCCCGTCCCTTCTTTCCCCCTCCCGTCCCTTCCTTCCCCCCTCCCGTCCCTTCTTTCCCCCTCCCGTCCCTTCTTTCCCCCTCCCGTCCCTTCTTTCCCCCTCCCGTCCCTTCTTTCCCCCTCCCGTCCCTTCTTTCCCCCTCCCGTCCCTTCTTTCCCCGCTCCCGTCCCTTCTTTCCCCCTCCCGTCCCTTCTTTCCCCCTCCCGTCCCTTCCTTCCCCCTTCTGTCCCTTTCTTCCCCGCATCCCTTCCTTCCCCCCTTCCGTCCCTTCCTTCCCCCCTCCCATCCCTTCCTTCCCCCATCCCGTCCCTCCTGTCCCTCCTGTCCCTCCCGTCCCTCCCGTCCCTCCCGTCCCTCCTGTCCCTTCCTTCCCTCCCGTCCCTCCTGTCCCTTCCTTCCCTTCTTTTCTTTCTGTTTATTTTGAGACAGAGTCTTGCTCTGTCGCCCAGGCTGGAGTGCAGTGGCGCGATCTTGGCTCACTGCAACCTCCACCTCCCGGGTTCAAGGATTCTCCTGCCTCAGCCTCCCGAGTAGCTGGGATTACAGGTGTGCACCACCATGCCCAGCTAATTTTTGTATTTTTAGTAGAGATGGGTTTTCACCATGTTGGCCAGGCTGGTCTCAAACTCCTGACCTCAAGTGATCCACCTGCCTTGGCCTCCCAAAGTGCCGGGATTACAGGTGTGAGCCACGATGCCTAGCCTCTTCATCCCTCCTTTAGCTTTTATATTATTTCTTAGATTTCTTCCTATTTCATCCTTTTTCTGTTCCTGAAACCCCTACAGGATGGGTGTGGGAGTTTGTCTCTCTTGACTTTTCTTTTAAATTTTCTTTTGCTTTCTCACTTTCTCTTGTTTATTGAGGTATAATTCACATACCATAAAATTCACCATTTTAATGTGTACAGTTCAGTAGGTGTTAGTATATTGAAAGTTGTTCAACCATTGCCATTATCTAATTTCAGAACATTTTTCTCACCCAGCGAAACCCAGTACCCATTCTTCTCCAACCCCTGGCAACCACTCATCTACTTCCTGTTGGCTGATTTGCCTATTTTTGATATTTCATATAAATGGAATCATACAGTATGTGGCCTTTTGTGTCTAGCTTCTGTCATTTAGCATAATGTTTTCAAGGTTCATCTGTATTGTGGAATGTGTGAATACTTCATTCTTTTTATAGCTGAATAATCCTTGTGTGGCTATACCACATTTTGCTTATGTGGTCTTGATGGACATTTGGGGTTGTTTCCACATTTGGCTATTATGAATAATGGTGCGCTGAACATTTGTCTACAAGGTTTTGTGTGAACATACGTTTTTATTTCTCTTACAGTAGTGAGATTGCTGGATAAAATGATAACTCTGTGTTCAACCTTTTGAAGAACTGCCAAACTCTCTTTCTTATACTTTTGTTTTAGGTTCAGGGGTACATAATACAGATTTGTTATATAGGTAAACTCATGGGGGTTTCTTGTACAGATTATTTGGTCACCCAGGTACTAAGCTTAGTAAGTACCAATTGTTATTGTTTCTGATCCTCTCCCTCCTCCCACCCTCCACCCTGAAATAGGCCCCGGTGTCTGTTGTTCCCTCTTTGTGTCCATGCAAATTCTCTTCTTTTATTGCTCTTCCTTGACTTTATCTTTGAGCTCTCAAGCTTGGTATTTATCCCCACTCATTTTATTATTTAGGATTTCCAGTTAATTTTTTAATTTCAACAATCATATTTGAAAGGTTTTGTTCATTTTCTTTTTGTCTGATTGGTCCCTTTTCCTAGCTGCATATATTTGGTGTATCATATACTTCTGAATTTGAGATAAATATTAGGATTATAAAAATTCTCTTCTTGGGGCAGAATTTAGAATTAAATATTGTTATTAATATTAAAGGTTAAACATTAGGATTATATAATATAAGCCTGGAACCTGGACTTTGAAAAAAAGGGAACAAAATTAGGATTATAAACATTGTATTCTTACCTCTTGAACTTGTAGGTCACTTTTTCATCATGGTCCTGCTTTTTAATGCTGTTTATTTCTCAAATGCCTGGTGATCTCTGGTTCTTAGTTTATATTATGAATAAATGATTAAATTGATTGGTATAGAAGTTGGCAATGTGAGTTTCCTTTATGCTTGCCTAAGTCTCTTTCTCCAATAGCCTCTCCTTTAAATAAAGGGTTGGTATGTGGGTAGGTGGGGCCTGCTGACTGGTTGACTTTAATTTGGAATTCCAGCTGGCTGAAGATCAGGTAGGCAGGCTGGAGGCCTCTGCAATTGCCAGGGTGGGTTTTTCTTTGGAGTGGAGTTGGCTTTCCTCATTTACCCCTTCCCTGTTTCAGTATCTGGAGGACCACAGTCTCTGCTTCCCACATCCACACCTATGTCCCACCCCAAGGTGGATTGCTCACTGTAGGAACAATTTTCCACGTTTACCCCGGAGGCCAGGGCTGCAGGGTTTATTCTGTGTACCAAGGAAGGGTGATGGAAAAGAGGCAGGACCTGACTGACTAAACTGTTCCTTGTACAAGGACACAATTGTTCCTTGTGCAGTTGTAATCTGATGATTGTCCTGTGGCTCATTCTTGCTTTCTGTCTTAGTTTGTTCCAAGTCCTTGAGGCTTCCTTGGGAACGTCTGTCTACCTGTGATTCTTAGATAGAGGATTCCCTTGTTGGTTCTCTGTCAGTCTTAATTCTATCTATGCATGTCATCTGAGATTTTCTCAAACTTTCTAGTCCACTTTTAGCCTTCCTTTTTGTTTCTAGTTATCAGTTATCATTTAATAAAAAGAACTTGTATTTTAGAGACTCTAGAGGGATCAGAAAAGTGAGTGTCAAGTGTTTAGTCTGCAATCATTAAAGACAGAGAATGTCTCATAAGTTTAGATCTGTGTTACATGATTATGATTTATGGATGCTTTCTTTACCTTTCCCTTTTATTCTTTCTTTTGTTTCTTTTCCTTATTTATTTATTTTATTATTATTTTTAGAGACTCACTCTAAAAAAAATAGGGTCTCACTGTGTCCCCGAGGCTGGAATGGGACTACAGGTGCATGTTACCATGCCTGGCTAAATTAAAAACATTTTTTTTTTTCTTTTTGTGGAGACAGGGTCTCACTTTATTAGCCAGGCTGGTCTTGAACTCCTGGCCTTAGTGATCCTTCCATCTCATCCTCCTAAAGTGCTGGGGATTACAGATGTGAGTCACTTTACCTGGCCAAAGTTTTCATTTTTTAATATGATGTATAAGGTATATAGAAGTGCTTTTTTTTTTTTGAGACGGAGTCTTACTCTGTCACCCAGGCGGGAGTGCAGTAGTGGCATGATCTTGGCTCACTGCAACCTCCACCTCCTGGGTTCAAGCGATTCTCCTACCTCAGCCTCCCGAGTAGCTGGGATTGCAGGCGCCCACCACCACGCCCAGCTAATTTTTGTATATTTTAGTAGAGATGGGGTTTCACCATGTTGGCCAGGCTGGCCTTGAACTTCTGACCTCAAGTGATTCACCTGCCTCGGCCTCCCAAATGCTGGGATTACAGGCATGAGCCACCATGCCCAGCAGAAGTGCTTCTAATTTCACAAGTGTTTAGGCTTTTTGGTTTATATTTGTTATTTTTACTTTTCTCCTTTCACTACATCAAAATGAGTCCTGTATAATTTCTGCCTTAGGGAATTCTAATAATTCCAATATCTTTGTGGTCCAATATAAAGTCATTTTTAATGTATGCCATGAATGCAGTTAACTGTTAATATAGTAATAGTGGCTTGCTCATTCAGCACAAATTGTCATGACACAATGGTAATTTCTGCATGTGGATTATCTCCTGATTCTTAGAACAACATGAGGTACATATTATTATTGGTCCTACTTGTTGTGCCTACCAGGCATAAGAAAGATGAGTGATTATCCCAGGGTACTGTCTCCCTCGCCCCCAGTGGTGGGGCCAGGGCCAGGTCCAAGACTTTGAATTCAGAGTCTTAGACACCATCCTATACAGACTCCCACTGAGTAAGAGTGGTCACTGTTTGTAGGGTGTAGAGTTCGATAGATTCATCTGTTACTTTGACTTTGTAGTTTTATTTAGGATGCTTGAATGTGTGAATGTATTGATGAATGTATTCATTGTTGCCTTCTCTCTGTGCTTGGAAGAGAAGAAAATTGAAGTTTACCACTACTATGGGTTTACTTTTCATGCTTTGTTATTTGGTGTATAAAGATTCACACCAGGCTGGGCGCGGTGGCTCACACTTGTATCTCAGCACTTTGGGAGGCCGAGGTGGGTGGATCACGAGTTCAGGAGTTCGAGACCAGCCTGGCCAACATGGTGAAACCCTGTCTCTACTAAAAATACAAAAATGAGCTGGGCATGGTGGTGCGTGCCTGTAATCCCAGCTACTGGGGAGGCTGAGGCAGGAGAATGGCTTGAACCCAGGAGGCGGAGGGTGCAGTGAGCTGAGATTGTGCCACTCACTACACTCCAGCCTGGGTGACAGAGCAAGACTCCATCTCAAAAAAAAAAAAAAATTCACATTTTATATCTTCTGTACGTCATATGGTTTTTAGTTTAAAGGGAATCTTTTTCTCATGAGTTTAGCCTAATTCTACTGAGATTTACATTGGAAATCCTGTTTGCCTTTTGTTTGCCTTGTACAGCCTTACTTTTATGCACTTTTTTTCTACTAGTGTGTTCAGTTATTTTGCTTTTGATGTTGATATATTTATTCAACAAACTGTTCAGGTGTTACAGTGGCGATCGGGATACAGCCCTGCCTTCATGGATCATCTGGGCTGGTTGGGGAGACAGATAATAAACAAGTAAATGAATGAATAAGTAACTACAACATTTTAGTTTTGCTCTAATGTGGTAGCCATTAACTTCATGGGGGTTATTTAAATTAAAAATTAATAGTAGCTTCCACATTCAGCACATATTGTCAGACACAATGGTACTTTCTGCACATGGATTATCTCCTTTGATTCTTAGAACAACATGAGGTACGTATTGTTGTTGGTCCTACTTATGAGGTAACCAGGACCAGGCACGTGAAAGATGAGTAATTACCCCAGGGTACTGTCTCCCTCACCCTCAGCTGTGGGGGTAATTTTTAAAGTAAAAATTAAGGCCAGATGCAGTAGCTCACACCTGTAATCCTAGCACTTTGGGAGTTTGAGGTGGGCAGATCACTTGAGCTCAGGAGTTCAACACCAGCCTGGACAACATGGCGAAACCCCATTTCTACTAAAAATACAAAAATTAGCAGGGATGGTGGTGCACACCTATAGTCCCAGCTACTTGGGAGGCTCAGCTGGGAGGATTGCTTGAGCCTGGGAGGCATTGCAGTGAGCGGAGATTGCACCACTGCACTCTGGCTTGGGTGACAGAGTGAGAATCTGTCTCAAAAAAAAAAAAACTTTTTAAAAATATTTTGTTCCTTACTTGCATCTGTCATATTTTATGTGCTTGATAGTCACATGTCTAGTGGATACTATATTGAGCAGTGCAGATGTGGGACATTTCTGTCAGGGCACAAAGGTTTGTTAGATAGTGCTGCCTTAGATGCTGTCGTGAAAGATGGGTTGGTTCTGAGGTACAGTGTCGAGTCACTGGGGGCACCTGAAATGGTGACCTGAGAAAACCTGAATTTTGAGAAGGAACCTATACTGTGAGGGTGTTGTATATAGGGTATGTGGTACTTGTATTTAGGATTTTGGTAAAAAGTGAATATTCATAAGTGATTTAAATTTTCTATTTTAAAAGTATAAGGTTTTTAGGTAGTGTGTTTTATTCTAATAGGAATTGTTTTTGGTCATATTAGGGAAAATAATTGGCATGTTGATACATTTTTATTTTAGTTGAATAAATCTGGTAGCCAATATTTACTTTTATAAATTGAAAAATGGTTAAGTGTTTCATAAGTTTTTTGAGCTTGTCTTTGAAAAGAGATAGACAGATGCAGTGTCTCAAGCCTGTAATCCCAGAACTTTGGGAGGCTGAGATGGGAGGATTGTTTTTCAGGAGTTCAAGGTCAGCCTGGGCATCATAGCGGACCCCATCTCTACAAAAAGTAAAAAAAATTAGCTGGCTGTGGTGGTGCATGCCTACAGTCCCAGCTAGCTGGGGGGGTTGAGGTGGGAGGATGGCTTTTCCAATTGTCCTACAGATATTTTTCAAAATGACTACTTTTAAAGTATAATCTTTTTATTCACAGGTGGGATGCTAATTCTACAATTGCCTAGGACTTCTTTAATTTGTGTAGGTTAAGAGATTTTAATGGGAAATTTAAGAAGTGTTGAAATTTATAAGGATTATTTCTGTATGTTAGAGTTGTGATAACGCAGACATTTTCCCTGTAGTACTTCTCTGAGTCTGATTTGTTTTCCTCCATGGGTACCACATAGGTTTATTTTAAGATGGTAAAAAATAAAAGCTGACTAAGGTACATACTGATTATCCTAGACAACATGCAGACATCACTAAATAAGAGTGCAGTTTTCATCAACTCACCATTTGTTTTAATTAGAAAAAAACTCATCAAAACTAATTTCTCTGCATGAAATACCTTTTCAAATCACATTGAATGTCATTTAATAGTAATTTATCCACTTCAGTTTTCTGCTGGATACTAAAGGAACACCTCATTAAAACTAGTGTTTATGCAAATAACAATATTTAAAAACTTGATTGTAAAAATTTCTTTTACACTGAATACATACAGATATGTTACTGTTCAGATATTATTTACTACTTACATAGAAACTCATTGATCTACTAACAAGTAGAAAAGAGACCTTTAGCCAAATGCCTCTGTACTCAGCAATAAAAGGATTAATTACTGTTTTGCTCTTTTCTCTGGTTAAAGATTTTTAAAATTTTTATTTTTCGTTTTACTATTAAACCACAACTTGTTTAAATTTTGTCGCTGTTGCAGTATTGCAGCGGACATTACGGTTCGTGTCTCCCTAAGTATACGAGGGAGAGTTTCTCTGGGCTGTGTACATGTGGGAGTGTGGGCCTGACCTGTCACATTCAATTTTTATTTCTCAGTCTTATATCTAATGCTCATCATTGCATAATGTAACTAGCTGGGATTAGTTTCCTCGGTCCCCGACTCTTCTTTTCAGAGCCTGTTTTCTCTCCATTTACAGACGGGCCAAGGTTGCTCACGTAATTGGTTTACTGGCTTCGCACACAGCTGAGCTCCAGGAAAATACACCTGTTGTTGAGGTAATGTCTTTTATTACTTAAATGTGATGAATGTCAAGAAATACTGTTCTTGATTCTGTAATTTAGAACCTGCAGCTTTCACCGACCTTCACTTGTTTTTTCTCTGTGGGATTGTGGCAATCGTTCTAAAACTGTTACCTCAACAGACCTTTAGGCTTAAACATAGCAGCACATATACAATGTAGTCCATCATTAAAATGGCACAGCAGAGTTAACAAGGCTTATGAACTCTACTCATCATTATTTCATTTGTTTTTGAATAAGGCTTTTTTCATTTCTAGTTTTCTTATAGTCTGTCCAACAGACTAATGTATTTCCTAGTTAAAGCATAGCTTACAATTCAAAATTCAAATTATTTTGGCCTTTCACCTTGAATGTAGTGTTTTCGTATGAAAGATTACTTTCTACCTATTCCGTTAACGTATGTTACACTTAATTGGTAATGGAGTTTTATCCCTTGAACTGGGAGAGGCTCAAGAGTCAGCATAGGTGAAAAGAACCAAGGCTTTTAGGGGAAACAGCAAGAGCTCCTGAAGGAAGTAAAAAAGGGGTAAGGAGAGGGGATTTTGTAGAGTTGAAGCTGGTTGTGTGGTATTTGGGGCTTTAAGAAAAATTGGAAAAATTTCTATGTCTGTCTTGTCCACTGTAGTAGCCAACTGGTATTTGGAGCCTTAAGAGGAATTGGAACATTTTCTCTCTGTGCTGTTCACTGCAGCAGCCAATTGCTGGGATAGTATCCCAGCTGGCCTTATAGTGTCTGGGTGGAGATTAATTTAATTTCAGTGTATTTCCCTTGCTTACAATTCCATCTCTATTTCCTGCAAACTGCTGGATCTCTGAGTTACTAGTAAAATGCCACAAAGTCTAAATTTTTCCTTTTTTGGGGGGCCTAAAAAAATGAATTGTGACCTATATGATTACTGATGGTACCCAGCTTGGTTCTCAGAGATGTGTCAGGTAGATTTTTGTCTGAAAGATTGAGCATCTAGGGCAGTATTACCAGGAAGATGAGAAGGCTTAGGATCTCAAAAATGGGGGTTCCTTCTGATGGCTCAGAGCAAAAGGTCTCCAGTGAGATGGAGTAGCTGTAGGAGATGGGAGAGAACTTAAAGTCCAAGACAAAGTGCCAAGATTTTAGAGGATGTTCCTGCATCGTCAGAGCAGGCATTGGTTGCTCAGGAGCTGTGAAGAAGGAGCCTCTGAATATGTGAAATATGACTGTTGAATTAAATGATTCAGTAGTTGCAGTAATAAGTATTAAGTAGGATGGATACTTTAGGAAGCTGAGTTAGTGAATTTGAAGATCAGTTGGATGAATTCTCTTAGGATTCAGAAAGAAAGAGGATAAAGATTATGAACTAAAAAGGCATGGATGATAGTTTCAGATTTGTTGAACTATCCAGTATAGTAGCCACCAGCCACTATGGCTATTGAGTGCTTGAAGAAAAGCTAGTCTGAATTGAGATGATCAACTTATAGAAAAGAATACTACGACCACCCTGTAATTTCCAAACCCCATTGTTCTACTTTATCTTTTTCACAGCATGTATCACCACCTGGCATTTTATGTATTTATTTCTCTTTCCACACTAGACTACAAGCTCCATTGGAATCGGGATTTTGAACTGTCTTGTTCAACACTCCACTCCAGTGCCTAGACAGTGCCTTGTGTATGTATAGATACTGACAAATATTTCAAAATAAATAAAACTGTATCAGCATTCTTGGGACTCCGTGTGGCAGTGCCTGGAAGATGGTGTGTTTTGCTGCTGCAGGAATTGTCAAGGGGCTGGGCAGAGGGCATGTGAAGTAACCTGGGACCTGTTGGTCACCCTGGGTGATGTGATGGCCTCATTCTACTGGTACTTGCTGTTGCTGCTGCTGTACTCCCACTTGGAGAGTTTGGCCCAGCAGTTCCTGAACCATATTTGTTACCTGTTCTCACTCAGGTTGAGTTCTGTGGCCAGTTTATATTCTCAAAGTATTTCTCTTACTCCAGTTGTTGTACTTTGTTGACATTGTATTCCTGGTGCTGCCTCAACTGAGAGGAAAGGGTGGATGTTAATTCCCGAGGTTCTTGTATCTTTTATTCCAGTACTGTTCTCTTCATGGGTATTTGCTGATGCTTTATTAGTTCGAAATGCAAGAATTTAGGGAAAATCATACTTATTTGATTAAAAAAAATGGCGTGTACTGAACTATCTGGTGAACTATTTTGAATTACACTGTATTGTGAACTACATTTGGTTGGATAATAGAGAGCTTGTATAATAACTTGAAATTGAGCTAGGTGCTCCTTTGTGATGCCATCTTAATTTTGTTATTTCTCAACACTTTTTAGTTCTTTATTTCATTACTTTTAATGGCAAAAACTGTAATTACTTTTGCACCAACCTAATTCCTGCTGTGAGCAATTGGCTGTGATAATTTAAGTAGCCACTAGAGGTCATTCAAGCACCAGAAAAAAAGTTGTGCAAGTTTTAAGAATTTATGTTTCAGTTTCCAAAAGCAGGATCTGTGGAGGCTGAGCAGGTACATGGTACCATGTTTCATCTTTTTCCTGTTTTTTTTTTTTTTTTTTTTTTTTTTAGAAGTTTCTGCTACAGGATGTGTGGCTCCATTCCACTGGTGATTTTTACCATTTGAGATGAATAAGATGAATGAAAACCATTATAGTCTCTCCAGAAAAATAAAGTCAACACCTAGCACATGATTTTAGGGGATCTGGGAACCCCGTGGAGTGAATCTTTGGTTCATAACTCTTGAGACCAGTTTTCTGTAAAACTCACAATTGGGTGCTTGTAGATAATTTTTCAATAATCAGTAACAAAATTTCAAGTGTAAGATGAATCCTAAATTCTCTATTAGGTTTACTCTCAGTGAACAGGAAAAATTGTGGTTGCAGACCCTATAAGCATCTTATTTTATTTTACTTACTTATTTATTTTTTTGCGATAGAGTCTCGCTCTGTTGCCCAGGCTGTAGTGCAGTGGTGTGATCTTGGCTCGTTGTAACCTCTGCCTCCCGGGTTGAAGAGATTCTCAGCCTCAGCTTCACGAGTAGCTTGGACCACAGGTTCATGCCACCATGCTCTGCTAAGTTTTGTATTTTTAGTAGAGACACGGTTTCATCATGTTGGTCAGGCTGGTCTTGAACTCCTGGCCTCAAGTGATCCATTTGTCTTGGCTTCCCCAAAGTATTGGGATTACAGGCATGAGACACTGCACCTGGCCCCTATAAGCATTTTAATGGCATAGAACCTCATTTTGTTACTCACCTTTGTACCCCACAGTGCCGAGCCAGCAAAGTAATGTGTATTTTAGGCAGTTAATGCTGGAGAGTTTAATGAATGATTAAAAGAATGTCAGAAGAATATGATGGTATAATTTGTTATAAAGAGACAGAAAAAATGGAGCAAAAATCTATTTTACTATCCTTGTAATATAATTTAAATCTCTTTCATCTTATTCTGTCATCAACAGCTACAGAAAATAACTGGTCATGATCTCCTTTATGCATTTAGAAGCATTTATTGACATCTGTATCTTTTTTACTGAAAAATATAACCATCTGAAGCTTATATTCCTAGATAACACATTTACCACTCTGTAATCATTGTGGTTTCTATGTGTAATAATTTTAAAAAACATTTCTGATATTAAGCCAATATATTTAGTCTGAAGCGTGCAGTGGATATATTTTATGAAATTTAATATAGACCCATCAAATTCTAAAACTGAAAGGAATTTTTTTTGTGACTGAGTCTCACTCTGTTGCCCAGGCTGGATTGCAGTGGCGTGATCTTGGCTCACTGCAACCTCTGTCACCCAGGTTCAAACGATTCTCCTGCCTCAGCCTCCCGAGTAGCTGGGATTACAGGCATGCACTACCACGCCCAGCTAATTTATTTTGTATTTTTAGTAGAGATGGGGTTTCACCATGTTGGCCAGGCTGATCACGAACTCTTGACCTCAAATAATCCATCCGCCTCAGCCTCCCAAAGTGCTGGGATTACAGGCATGAGCCACCACTCCTGGCCAAAAGGAGTATTAACAGACATTTTAGGTTAACCCATTCATTAAATTTCTTTATTATCAGCTGGGCGTGGTGACTCACGGCTGTAATCCCAGTACTTTGGGAGGCTGAGGTGGGAGGATAACTTGAGCCTAGGAGTTTGAGACCAGCCTGGGCAACATAAGGAGACCCTGTCTCTAGAAAAAATAGAGTTTGGTGTGGTGGTGCACGTCTGTGGTCCCAGCTACTCAGGAGGCTGAGACATGACCCTGGGAGGTTGAGGCTGTAGTGGGCTATTATCATGCTATTGCACTCCAGCTTGGGCAACAGAGCAAGACCCTGTCTCAAATTTTTTTTTTTTAAATTATGGAAAATTTCAACATATATAGAAGTAGAGAGGCTAGAGTAATGAGGTAGTATCATTTGCTTCCAGCAATCAACACTGGCTAATCTTGTTTCATCTTGTGTCCTGCTTTCATTCCCCCTCTCCCTTTTTCTCTCCCTCTCTCTTTCTTGCTGGAGTATTTTAAATAAAATGATATCATTTTACTAGTAAATATCTTTTGCTAGCAGAAAAGGATTAGAAAAATGTATAACCATGATTTCATTATCACACCCAATACATTCAGCAGTAGTCTCTGAATATCATCTAATACCCAGTTAGTGTTCAGATTTTCTTGGTGGTTTCATACATGTCATTTTGTAATTTTTCTTTGAGCCAGGATTGCGTTTAGATATTGTGACCCTTAAGTCTCTTAATTCCTGGTCTCTTATTTTTTAGTGTCATTTATTTGTTACAGACAAATTGTCCCTTGTCTTGGCCCAAATTGGAATACCAGAAGCTTTACTGCACCCTTTTGGTGTTATTTAATATAGTCCTTTATCACCTGCCTTTCCTTTCTTGCGCATGGCTGCTTAGATGTGGACCCTTGATTCAGTACTTTTTTTTGGGGGGATGGCTTGGGGAAATAGGAATTTGTCACAGTTGGTGCTGTATTTCTCCTACTGCTTCATAGGAAGTGAGACAATTAAACATTATATGCCTCTATTAGAGGGGTTAAAGTTGATCACTAGACTCAGATGTTGTCAGCCTTATTATAAATATTCCCATCACTCTTTTTTTTTCTTCATACCCTTATCTGTGAGTCAGGAACTCCTCACTCTTTTTTTTTTTTTTTTTTTTTAACAGTTTTAACATCAATCGATTATTGTCTACATGTAGTAATCCTTTAGAGTTGCAAAATGATAATTTTCTTATTCTGTAATTTCCTTTCTATTTGTAGTTGGAAGTTTTCTTACAGAAGATCTTTCCCTGATCAACTATTTGGTTATCCTTAAAATAGAGTTTGTTTTGCAAGGCAGGATAAATGCTTGATTGTTCCTCTTCATAGGTCAGTTTTCAGAATAAAGAGTTGGTACCTGAGAAATCTCCGTGTCTAGTGAGATTGATTTTATATTGTTAAGAACTTACAGGTGTATATATGTATATGTATATCGTCTAGTCCTTTGCAGTCATTAGTCTTTTTGATGCTTACATTGTTTCATCTCCATCCAGTGGGAGCTCTTTCAAGTTTGCTCCTTTCTCCCTTTGACATGAGCCTACTCCTGTCTCTGACAGCTTGCTGGCTTCTCGGCAGTGAGCTTTCATAGGCTTGTTTCGGGAATAGTCAACCCCTAGTTTTGAAACCACTTCTATAAGGAATCTTGTTTACTTTGTTAGAAGATGTAGTTAGAGAACTCAATCTGGGTTCTCTAGGTTTTTTTTTTTTTTTTTTTTTCCTGGTAGAGCTTTTCAGAGGTTAGATCTAGGTACTATTGTTTCTTAAAAAGAGAAAAATTCACAGTTTATTCTGCTTTTCCAATTCAGATTTTTTTATTGAGACAGAGTTTTGCTCTTGTTGCCCAGGCTGGAGTGCGACGGCGCGATCTCGGCTCACCGCAACCTCTGCCTCCCGGGTTCAAGCGATTCTCCTGCCTTAGCCTCTTGAGTAGCTGAGATTACAGGCATGCACCATCATGCCCGACTAATTTTGTATTTTTAGTAGAGATGGGGTTTCACCATGTTGGCCAGGCTGGTCTCAAACTCCTGACCTCAGGTGATCCACCCACCTTGGCCTCCCAAAGTTCTGGGATTATAGCGGTGAGCCACCACGCCTGGCTCCAATTCAGATTTAAAATTCGTTTTTACCTTTTGATTTACAATTTTTATTTTTCTTCTCATAAGCTAAAATTCCTGGCTGGGGCGGTGGCTCATGCCTGTAATACCAGCACTTTGGGAGCTGAGGTGGGTGGATCACTTGAGTTCAGGCGTTCGAGACCAGCTTGGCCAACATGGCAAAACCCCATCTCTACTAAAAATACAAAAATTAGCCGAGCATAGTGATGCACGCCTGTAATCCTGGCTCCTTGGGAGGCTGGGGCATGAGAATTGCTTGAACCCAGGAGGCGGAGGCTGCTGGGATCGGACCACTGCGCTCCAGCCTAGGCAACAGAGCAAGACTCTGTCTCAAAAAAAAACACTCTTGGCCATTAATAACATTAACATAATTATCTTTTTTTTTAGCTTAGAGTTTAGAATAGTTTAAAAATAGTACACGTATTGTTACTAACAACAAAACTACAAAGTGCATTTTAAGTACTTTTTTTCCCTTGGGATATAACCCACTGGATGATATGTACAGTCAAAACGCTGAGTTTTAAAAGCAATTTATATAATTCTTCACTTTGTACTTTTGTCACCAATATGATATATAGTTACATATGTTTTCAATTTTTTTTAGATATTTAGAGATTACTTTGTACTTTCTTTCTGGTTTGAAAATTATAATTCTTTTTTATTGAAGTGTTGGAAATACATACAAAACATAAATGTATTGCTTAATGAATTATTGCCAAGTGTGAAAACCCAATAAACTGTCACTGGGTCAAGAAACAGAACATTAAGTAGAACATTGCCAGCATACCCGGGGATCCTCTTGTGCTCTCTCCTGATCACTGTTCTCTCCCTTTGTGCCAAAGGAAGTTACCGTAACTTCCAATTCTGTCATGATTTTGCCGGCTTTTGAATTTTGTTTAAATTGAGTCATATGATATGTATACTTTGGTATCTGGCTTCTTTTATTTCATATTATGTTTATGGAATTCATCCTTGTTGCCTGTACCTGTAGTTCATTTTTATTACATGAGTATACTACATCACTGGTGATGGGCATTTGGATTGTTTTCTGTATTTGGCTATTAAAAGCCTTGCACACACATTTTGATGCACTTGCGCAAGCTCTCTGTTGGATATGTGTAGGAATGGAATTGGTAGGTTACAGGATATGTGTGTGTTCAACTTTAGGGGGTAATCTAAACTGTTTTCCAGTAAGGTTGTATAAGTTAAAATGCTTTGACTAATGAAAGAATGTTCAGTGCTCTGTATTCTCATGAATACTTGGTGTTGGCATAAAATCATGTTAAATAAGTATTTACCAGTTTCCTCTTTGTTTTTAACATTAATGGTTATTGAGTTTGGTATGGCATCAGAAGATAGGAGTATTTAATTTTTCTTCCTATCTCTATTAATAGGTGGATTATATTAATGGAATTCCTAAAAATAAATCACCTTTGCATCATTATAAGAAACAACTTGGTGCTCTCTATAATTCACTGTTGGAGTCTCTTTCCTCATGTTTTTTTCTAGAATTGTTCCTCTATTTTTTCTTGCCACATTACATTGATTCTTGGAGAGTCCAGGCTGTTTGTCCTGTTGAATATTCCACATTCCAGATTTGTCTGCTTGCTTTTTTTGGTATTGCTAACTTATTCCTCTAGTCCACACATTTCCTATAAACTGTAGGTTAGGTCTGGACGCTTCATTAGATTTAGGTTGAACCTTTTTTTTTTTTTTTTGGTAAGAACATATCATAGGTGATACTGGGTACTTCATATTTGAACTCATCAGGAAGCATGCAGTGTCAGGTTTTAATAGTTGCACCTACTTTGATCATTTGATTAAAGTAGTGCTGCCAGAGAGCTCCATTGTAAAGGTACATCTTTTCCTTTGCAGTGCCACTTTAGCTCTCATGTGATGTATGCAATAAGAGCATAATATTAAAACTTATATAGATTATAACTGCTGTTTTAACATTTTTCTAAAAAAAAACATTCAGGAAATGTTAATCATTGTATTAATTGTCATTAATTGCCATTGCATTTTCTCTTTATTTTCAACAGATTATTACTATTTTTATTTTTGAGATGCAGTCTCATTGTGTTGTTCAGGCTGGACTACAGTGGCACAATCATAGCTCACTACCTTGGGCTTAAGCCATCTTCCCACCTCAGCCTCCTAACTAGCTAGTACTAGAGGTGCATGCCACCATGGCCAGCTATTTTTTTATTTTTTATTTTTTGTAGAGACGTAGTCTCCCTATGTTGCCCAGGCTGGCCTTTTTAATTTTTAAAAAATCATTTTAGCCAAGCTTTATTGAATGCTTGCTGTGTACCAGGTGCCAGGCTGGTCTTAAACTCCTGGGCTCAAGTGATCCATTAACCTCAGCCTCCCAAAGTGTTGGGATTACCAGCGTGAGCTATCACACCTGGCCTCAACAGATTATTAATTCACTAAGTTCATCATGCTGTGTAACATTATTTTCACCATTATTGTTTTTGAAATTTATCTTATTTAATTTTTGTTTAGGCAGGGTCTCGCTCTGTTGCCCAGGTTGGAGTGCAGTAGCACGATCATGGCTCACTGAAAGTTCATACTCCTGGGCTCAACTGATCTCCCACTTCAGCCTCCCCAGTAGCTGGGACTACAGGTACACATCACCATGCCTGACTAATCTTTTAATTTTTACTTTTAGTAGAGATGGTGTCTCATATTATTTCCCAGGCTGGTCTCTAACTTCTGGTGACAAGCAATCCACCTGCCTCAGCCTTCCAAAGTGCTGGGATTACAGGCATGAGCTACTGCACCTGACTGCTAATTAATTAATATGTTTTTAATATATATTTTTTATTTCAATAGCTTTTGGAATGCAAGTGGTTTTTGATTACATGGATGAGTTGTATAATGGTGAAGTCTGAGATTTTAGTGCACTGGTCACCTGAGTAGTGTACACTGTACTCAATATGTAGTCTTTTTAATCCCTCTCCCCTCCTTCACTTGTGAGTCTCCAGTGTCCATTATACCATTCTGTATACCTTTGCATACTCATAGCTTAGCTCCCGCTTATAATTGGGAACATACGATATTTGGATTTCTATTCCTGAGTTACATCACTTAGAATAATGCTGGCCTCTAATTTAATTTGAAAAATTTATTTTACATTCTATGTCCTCATGTTTTTTGGTGGGATAATCATGTTTTATGATTTAGTTCTTTAAAAGAGTGAAATATTGTAAGAATTATTGACTTAAGAATATTGGCACTACGTTCTTTAGCTTTCTACTGAATTGGTTATAGAATTGAATTTTATGTTAAAAGTGGATATATGGTGATTTGAAGCATTATTTAACTTAGTTCTTCCTGAAAATTGTGTGCTTTTGGAAACTCTAAACGTAGTGTATGATGAATCTATTTCAAAGGCTGTGATATTATGTGCTCCACTTTGGGCTCTTGCTCCGTATTAAGATGCACGATTGCACCACTTCCTCTTCTCTCTCGCCTAGCTTGAGTAGTATTGCTTTTCATTACTAGAACAACTACACATAATCAGTCCTGTCATTGTCCTTATTTTCCATAGTCTTCATTTTCAATTTATAACCTTTTTTCAAGAACAAATAGCACTTGTTGCACTTTCTGAGATATATGAATTATATATACATATATATGGACTTATTTTTCCCTATAGTTTTTCCATGTAGCATTTATTATGATTTTGTAAATATTCTAATTATAAAAATAATATGTGGTCTTCTAATTATGGCAATTTAGCTGTTGAGATAATCTTGCAAATTATGTGTGATCCTCCCACATCAAAAAAAAAAAACAAAAAAAACCACAAAAACAAACCTAGAGGGCGGGTGCGGTGGCTCATGCCTGTAATCCCAGCACTTTTGGGAGGCTGAGGCAGGTGGATCACCTGAGGTCAGGAGTTTGAGACCATCCTAACCAATATGGTGAAACTCCATCTCTACTAAAAATACAAAATTAGTTAGGCATGATGGTGCATGCCTGTAATCTCAGTTACTCGAGAGACTAAGGCAGGAGAATCGCTTGAACCCGGGAGGCAGAGGTTGCAGTGAGCTGAGATCGCACAACTGCGCTCTAGCCTGGGCGACAGAGTGAGACTCCATCTCGAAAACAAAAAACAAAACAAACACAAAACAAACAAACCTAAAAATGTAGGGTAAAATGTAACAAAAAGACTTTGGAATACACATGTGAATGAACAAGAAAGTGAGGGAAATTTTCAAAAGTCAGAAATGGCGGCAGCTAAAATCCTGAAATAGTAATACTTTAAGACTGTCTGGGACAAGATGAGATGGTGGTTATTGCTGTTGTATAATAGTTTTGAGGTTTGATACAATTTAAGAATAGAAGATGAGGCCTGAGGTTTGCCTTGAAGCAGTTAGATGGAGCTAAGAGCCTTGGAAGGCTATCCTTTTAGAAAAATGGGGCATTTTCAAAAAAAAAAAAAAAAAAAGAAAGGCAACTCATTTACCTACATAGAGAGATAGAGAGATAACAAGTTAGTTTGTTTGCTTATTTATTTATTTGAGATGGAGTCTCGCCCTGTCGGCCAGGCTGGAGTGCAGTGGCGTGATCTTGGCTCACTGCAGCCTTTCCCTCCCAGGTTCAAGCAATTCTCTACCTCAGCCTCCCGAGTAGCTGGGATTACAGGTGTCTACCACCATACTCGGCTTATTTTTGTATTTTTAGTAGAGATGGGGTTTCACCATCTTGGCCAGGCTGGTCTTGAACTCCTGACCTCGTGATCCACCCGCCTTGGCCTCCCAAATTGCTGGGATTACAGGCATGAGCCACTGCGCCCAGCCGAAGTTTGTTGATTTTTATCTTCAGCTCTAGAAATAGGGAAAAAAAGTCTTACATATAATTTTTCAACTGCAGTTTTTTTTTTCAATTTTATTCATGTATCGGGGTGTGAATTTATACTTCTCCCAAACTGGGAAATTAACATAAAAACCAGGCCTGGGCTCGTGGTTCTGATAATTGTCGAGGAGCTGTATTGGGCTTACCCTCTTGCCAATAATAATAATAATGCATCTGGATGGAATATAAAAACAAAAGTAGGTAGAAGCTGGAGGCAACACACTACCTGAAAGAAGGGAAGTGGACCTGGCTGAGCTGTACGTTTAACTGGCTTATCCTTCTGCAGATGTGCTAAGTTCACACCAAGGGCATAGAGTTTAGGCAGAAAGTGACTTCTTCCTGGGGCAAGGAACTGAGGTTGGAATTTGGCCCTGCTGGGAAAGGGTGGTGCAAATGAGTAGGGAAAAATCATAGTAAGAGCAGAGTCACAAAATATGTGTACAAGTTCCTTTACAGTCATTGGCTAACTTTGAAGCTGTGCATGTGCTGAACGACACCCTGTGGAACCCAGCAGAAAGCAGCAGCTGGGAGGTTAAAGCATTGAGCAGAAATTCCAGCAGTTGCTCAGTGCTAGGGAGATAAGAGTTTGGAGGTGAAGTCTCACCAAGTAAAGAGGGGCTTGGTAAACACCTTTAACTTTCCATTGAAATTTGAGAAGGGCCATGCCACACCTTAGGACTGAGCGTCCTGTACCGGGACTAAGGGCTATATCCTAGGGCTAAAGGAAAAACAAGAAAAGACTGGTACTAACAAAAGCAAAAAGAAGCCTTCACAGGATTGAGGTGACTGGACAGACGCTACTTGCCAGAACACAACTCAGTACTCTGTAGAGGAAAATAAGGTTATCCAGAGTCTTTATTATATATTGTCCTGAAAGCTCAGAGGAGAAACTGTTGGTGACCCTGACTTAGATAAAGAGATTTTAGACATAACACCAAGAGCATCATCTATAAAAGAAAAAAAGTTAATAAATTGGACTTCATCAAAATTAAAAACATTGGCTCCACCAAAGACCCTGTTAAGATGATGAAAAAGACAAGCTAGACACATGGAGAAAATATTTACAAGCTACATATCTGACGAAGGACTCATATCTGGAGTATGTCTCAAACCTCAACAGCAAAAAATATTCGATTAGAAAATGGGCAAAAGACATGAGAAACGTTTTACCAAAGAGGCTATATGAATAGTAGATGAGTACCTGAGAATATACTTGTCATTATTATCCGTTAGAGAAAAGCAAACTAATTCTGCAACTATACACCTATTAAAGCAATATAATAGTGGCAGCACCAAGTGCTGTCAAGGATGCTGAAAAACTAGCTCTGTATATTGCTGATGGGAGTGCAAAATCATGCAACTACTCTGGAAACATTTTGGCCATTTGGTAAACTAAACATTTGCTTACCATATTTTAACTCCATATTACATATCCATATGAATATACATATTACATATTTACTTTGAGCTTTTTTTCAGAAGTATGAAATCTTATGTTCATACTTAGAATACTACTTAGTAAGAGAAATGAACTATTGATACCCAACAACTTGGTTGGCTTTCAAGGGCATTATGATGAATGAAGTGTCATATTAATATACCATTCTTGAAATTACAGTGTGAGAAAACAGATCAGTATGTATTAGTTCATTCTTATGCTGATATGAAGAAATACCCAAGACTTGGTAATTTATAGGGAAAAGAGATTTAATTGACTTGCAGTTCCACATGGCTGGGGAGGCCTCAGGAAACTTAAAATCATGGCAGAAGGCACCTCTTTACATGGCGGGAGGAGAGAATGAGTGCTGAGTGAAGGGAGAAGCCCCTTATAAAACCATCAGATCTTGTGAGAACTCACTGTTATGAGAATAGCATGAGGGAAACCACCCCCATGATTCAGTTACCTCCACCTGGTCCCACCCTTGACATGTGGGGATTATTACGATTCAGGGTGAGATTTGGGTGGGGACACAGAGCCAAACTATATCACAGTGGTTGCCAGGGGTTAGGGATATTAGAAGAAGAGGGAGAGTTTGAGTGCATAAGGATTGTATGAGGGAGATCTTCCTCATGATTGATTGGTTCTGTTTTTTGATTGCAGTGGTAGTTGTGTGAATCTACACGTGGTAAAGTGATGTAGAATTATATATACACATTGTACCAATGGCAGACTTTTGGCTTTAATATTGTTCTATAATTATGTAAGATGTTACCATTATGGGAAACTAGAGGAAGGACATATGGGACTTCTCTGTACTGCTTTTTCTATTCCCTGTGAGTTTATAATTATTTCACAATAAAAGTTCAAAAACACTTATTGGATGGACGTCACAGTCAGAACATAATAGAAGACAGAATCAGTGAATTATAGGTCTGTTTAATAGAAATGACTCAAACTGACACACAAAGCAAAAAGAATGAAGAAAACAGAACACAGTGTCTGAGACTTTGTGGAATAATATTACATAAAATTATCTAACAGTCACATGATTTGACTCTCAGAAGGAGATGAAAGAATGAGATAGAAGGAATATTTGAAGGGATAATTGTTGAAAATGTTTCCAAATTGATGATAATGTCAGCTCACATTCCAAGAATCACACCGAACCCTGACCAAGATAATCTAAAGAGGACTACATCTAGGCTCATCATGGTCAAACTGCTGAATATCAAAACTAAAGAGAAAAGTCCTAAAAGCAATTAGAGAAATCCTATATATTCCATGCTGGGAAACAGTTATATGAATGCGTGCTGACTTCTCCTTGGAAACCATAGATGCCATTAGACAGTGGAACAATATTTTTAAAGTGTTCAAAGAAAAAAATCTGCTATCCCAGAATTCTGTATTTTGTGAAAATACTGTCAACAATAAAAGGGAAATAAGGAAAAAAATGAGTAAATTAGTCTCCAAACTGAGAGAATTTGACTAGAAATGTTAAAGTGAGTTTTTCTTGTTAAAGTTAAATGAGCAAATATAAACCTGGGTTTACAAGAATAATTGAAGAGTACTATAGTGGTAAATATGTTGGAAAATAAACAATTTTTCATAACTTGTTAAATCTATTAAGGCCAGAAAAATGTGTGTTTTATAACATAAGTAGAAGCAAAATATATGACAGCAGTTGTACAAAGGGTTGGAGGAACACATGCGGAAGTGTTTAATGTGGATTTTATTGTATCCCTATATTTTATGTGTATATTATGTTTTATGTATATATTGTATATGTGAGTGTTTTTTTGGACAGAGTCTCACCCGGTCACCCAGGCTGGAGTGCAGTGGCATAATCTTGGCTCATTGCACCTCTACCTCCTGGGTTCAAGTGATTCTCATGCCTCAACCTCCCGAGTAACTGGGATTACAGGTGTGTGCCACCATGCCCGGCTAATTTTTTTATTTTATTTTTTAGTAGAGATGGGGTTTCATCATGTTGGCCAGGCTGGTCTTGAACTCCTGGCCTCAGGTGATTCATCCGCCTTAGCTTCCCAAAGTGCCGGGATTATAGGCACGAGCCATGGTGCCCTGTATAGCCCATAATATAATATTATGAGCTAATATTGTATATGTTCTTACACATATGTGAAATAATATAATGTTGATTCAGGGTTACTTCTGATAATTTATGCATGCTATTATAATTGGAAGACTATCCAGTTAAAAAAAAAACCCTGAAAAACAAGAGTAATTACTAAATAGTGAATAGAAGAGATAAAAAGGAATACTTGGCTAATCATAGTGCCATGGTGTTTACAACTAATTGATTGTAACTAGTTACAGATTTGTTTCTTCTCCACTCCCACTGCTTCACTTGACTAGTCTTAAAAACTAAATTACCATCTAATCAGGAATAATAAGTCAGGAAAGGAGGAATAAAGGAAGAAAGATAAAATGGGGCAAATAGAAAGCAAATGACAAGATGATAGACTTAAACCTCACCATATTAATAACTGTATTAAATATGAGTAGCCTAAATATTCCCATCAAAAGGCAGAGATTGTCATATTGGGGGGGAAAAAAAAGACCTAGCTGGTCCAGTGGCTCACACCTGTAATCCCAGCATACAGGGAGGCCAAGGCGAGTGGATCACTTGAGGTCGGAAGTTCAAGATCACTCTGACCAACATGATGAAACCTGTCTCTACTAAAAAAAAAATACAAAAAAAATTAGGTGGATATGATGGTGCACGCCTCTGTAATTGCAGCTATTTGGGAGGCTGAGGCAGGAGAATGGCTTGAAACCTGGAGGCGTAGGTTACAGTGAGCTGAGATCCCACTACTGCACTCCAGCCTGGGCGACAGAGTGAGACTCCGTCTCAAAACAAAAACAAAAACAAAAACCTAGCTATATACAGTTTATATGAGACATACTTTAAATGGGAAGTTAGACTTACAAGATATACCATGGAAACACTAGTAACAAGAAAGCTTAAGTAGCTATATTAATAACAGTAGAAATTAAGGGAGTATTACTAGAGATAAAAACAGTTCATAATAATGAAAATTTCAGTTCATTAGGAAGCATTAACAATCCTTAATTTGTCTGTGTGAAATGAGACTACTTTAAAATATATGAAAGAAAAATTGACAGAACTAAAAGAATTTGATAATGACAAATTCATTATTGTTGGATATTTTTAAAATAAGTAGATAAAAATTATGTGAGAACATGGAAGATTTGAATGATATTAATGAAATTGAAATAACATTTATAGAATGCTAATTCCCACGATTATACAATACCTTTATTTTGAAAGCATACTGAATAGTCACTAAAACAGACCATATTCTTGGCCATAAAACATCTCTTTATAACAAAGTATTGAAATTATTTATAATATGTTCTCTGACCATGATGGAATTAAATTAGAAATGTCTAACAAGAGGAAATCTAGAAAATCCCCCAAATGTCAGGAAATTAAGAAAAATGCTTGTAACTCATGGGTCAATAAAATCTCACAAATTTTTAGAAAATATTTAAAGCTGAGTAATAAGGGGAACCCAACACATCACCACATTTGTGATGCTGCTAAATTGGGTGTAAGAGTGAAATAATTCATAACTTGAAATGCTCAGATTAGAGCAGTAGTTCTGAAGACTCTGTGCATCACAATTGCCTGGAAGGTTTACTAAAACACAGATTGTCAGGCTGGGCGTGGTGACTCATGCCTGTAATCCCAGCACTTTGGGAGGTTGAGGCGGGCAGATCACTTGAGGCCAGGAGCTTGAGACCAGCCTGGCCAAGGGTGGTTTAGTAGAAACCCTGTCTACTGAAAGTACAAAAATTATCTGGGCATGGTGGTACACACCGGTAATCCCAGCTACTTGGGAGGCTGAGGCATGAGAATCGCTTAAATCTGTGAGGCGGAGTTAGCAGTGAGCCAGAATCTTGTCACTGCACTCCAGCCTGGGTGACACCTTGCCCCCCCAAAACAACAAAACACACAGATTGTCAGACCCCACCTCCAAAGTTTCTCACTCTGTAGATTTTGAGTGGGGCACAGTAATTCGCATTTCCGGTAAGTGCCCTTGTGGCTTTTGATGCTGCTGGTTTAGGGACTATTCTTTGGGAGCCACTGTATTAGAAATCAAGAATGTTTTAAGTTCCAGTTTAAGAAGCTAGAAAAAGGAGAGTAAATTAAACCCAATGCAATTCAAATAAAGGAAATAATAAAAGTAAGAGCTGAACTCAATGAACTCGATAAGTAACAATAGATAAAAAATTGATGTCCTGTGTTCCCAGAGGTAGAAAAGAATAAAAGAGATGAAACCAAACCAATAGTTCATATTGATAAATTGCATAAGATTTTTAAATCTCTAGCTAGATTGATCAAAAGAAAGTAAAGAGAAAATACAAATTACTAACGTCAAGACTGGGAGATAGCAATATGAGTCTAATGTATGTTAAAAGATACTAAGGGGATAATCTGAATAATTTCATACTTGACAAATGGAAAAAGTGCTTGAATAACAGAACTTTCTGGAACTGATAGAAAAATTTGGGGAGCCCTATATCTGTTAGTACATTATTAAAAACCTTCCAGTTTTTAATAATGATAACAGTTCCAGGCTTAGATGACTTCCCTGATGAATTCAACACACATATGCTGTGAATCACACATACACAAGCGCATATTATAGTAGATACATTAATACAGGGGTCCCCAAACCGGGCTGTGGACCAGGACTGGTTTATGGCCTGTTAGGAACCGGGCTGCACAGCAGGAGGTGAGTGGTGGGCCAGTGAGCATTACTGCCTGAGCTCTGCCTCCTGTCAGATCAGCAGTGGCATTAGATGCTCATAGGAGCGTGAACCCTATTGTGAACTGCGCATGCGAGGGATGTAGGTTGTGCACACTTTATGAAAATCTAATGCCTGATAATCTGAGGCAGTACAGTTTCATCCCAAAACCATCCCCCTAACCCTGGTCCATGGAAAAATTGTCTTCCACAAAACTGATCTCCAGTTCCAAAAAGGTTGGGGACTGCTGCATTAATATATATTGATACTTAATTATATTCAGTCAACATCAGGTCTACTTAGCTTTATGAGAAGGTACAAGACAAGCAACACAGCATGAACGATAACAGCATAGTGGAGGTCTTACGATGTACATATAGCTTGCATGTGGTGGTAGATGAGGCTGAATGGGTGTGGACCAACTCAATTGAGGGAAATCATGTCTAAAATTGTTTGAAGTTGTTTTGTTACTGAGTTTTGACTGTTATCTCCCTATCATCTGTCTGTTCTTGTCTGTGTAAACATCTGTATCTGAGTTTTTAAAATATTCTGGATACAAGTTCTTTATCCAACATATGGTTGGCAATATTTTCTCTGTGGCTTGTCTTTTTATTTTATGGTATCTTTAAAACATTCTTAATTTTGATGAAGTCCAACTTGCCAATTTTTTCTTTTACGAATGGTTCTTTTGTTGTCTTAAGTCTTTTTATGCAAGGTCACAGAGTTTTTCTCGTGTGTGTTTCTAAAATTTTTGTAGTTTTGAGTTTTGTATTTTAACCTACAATAAAATTTTAGTTAATTTTGTATAGGGAGTTAGGTATGAATTGAGGGTTTTTTAAATTTATTTAAAAAAATTTTTTGGTATCCAGTCAACAAATATTTAATGAGCACCTTCTTTGAGCCAAGTAATTGGGTAGGCCCTGGAGGCAAATAAGCAAAACAGGTGTTGTCCCTGTCTTTGTGGAACTTTCCGATGGGCCAAGGATATTAAAGAGAGGAAGTTGAAGTAATAAAGGAGACTGAGAAGGAGCAACGGTTAAGTAGAAACTCCAGAAAGTTGCTAATGGAGGGAAAGAGAGGTGTGTGTTCTGTGAAGGAGAAAATGGTCATCTTTTTTACTTTTGAGTTACATAAGTTGAAAATAGACATTTCTATTGGATCTGGTAAGATAGGGTTATTAGTGACTCACAAAGAAAAATTTGAGATGGGAGCCAGATTGGGGTGATTGTATAGAAAACTAGAAGTGAACAAGTGGTGAATCTACATCTAGATAAGGCTTTTTTTTTTTTTTTTTTTTTTTTTTTTTTTTTTAAAGACAGAGTCTTGCTCTGTTGCCCAGGCTGGAGTGCAGTGGCGTGATCGGTTCACTGCAACCTCCGCCTCTTGGGTTCAAGTGATTTTCCTGCCTCAGCCTTCCAAGTAGCTGGGGATTACAGGAATGTGCCACCACATCTGGCTAATTTTTGTATTTTTCATAGAGATGAGGTTTCATCATGTTGGCCAGGCTGGTCTTGAACTCCTGACCTCAAGTGATCCACCCACCTTGGCCTCCCAAAGTCCTGGGATTACAGGCATGAGCCACCGTGCCTGGCCTTCTAGTTAAGTCTTAGAAAAAGTTTGGCTCTGAGTGTGAGGCATATGTAAGGGCTAATGGAAAAGATTAATCCTGGGGGGAATCTGGGCATTGAAGATAGAGGTTGGAGAAAGGCCAACTGAGGGTAGATAGTTCTTAAAATGAGTGGAAGGGAATGACCTAGGGTAATTGGTCTTAGATCAGAGAAGGAAGGGACACTATCCACTATAACAGGAAGAAAAGATGAATAAATGTAAATGAAGTGGATAAGATTTAGTGTTGGATGATTTATCTTCTTGAGCTCCTGGACTCAAGCAACCTGCTTGCTTTGGCCTCCCAAAGTGCTGGGATTATAGGCATGAAACACCACACCCAGCCTTGAATGAGCTATCTAATATATAGTGGCTTCTGACTCTGGGGTACAGCAAGGTCACCGTGAGAAAGAGAATAATGAGGTAGAGCAAGATGGTGGAATAGAGGATTCCACCTATCATCCCTCCTGCAAGGATACCAAATTAACAAGTATCTACACAGTAAAAGCACCTTTGTAAGAACCAAAAATCCGGTGAGCACTCATAGTACCGGGTTTTAATCTCATATCGCTGAAAGAGGCACCAAAAACAAAACAAAACAAAACAAAACAAAACAAAACAAAACAAAACAGTTCTGAATTGCCAACACCACTCCCTGATCCCCGCCCTAGCAGCAGCCTGGTGTGGAGAACATCTCTGGGCACTGGGGGAGGGAGAACATAGCAATTGTGAGGCACTGAACTCAGTGGTGTCCTGTTAGAGCAGAAAGGAAACCAAGACCAAACTCAGCTGATGCCTGCCATGGAGAGAGCATGTAATCCAGCCCTAGCCAAAGGGGAGTCACTCATCCCAATGGTGGGAGCTTGAGTTCCTGCAAATCGTACCACTGAGCGCTGCAGCACTCTTTGTGTACAAGACTGCCTTTGAAAGGCAGTCTAGGCCATAAGGACTGCAACTTGTGAGTCTTAGTGCTGAATTAGGCCCAGAGACAGTGGACTGAGGGGGCACATGACATACTGAGATGCCAGCTGGGGCAGCTGGGGAGTGCTGGCTTCATTCCTCCCCCAACCCCAGGCTGCATAGCTCGCGGCTCCAAAAAAAGACCCCTTCCTTCTGCTTGAGAGAAGAGGAAAGAGTGGGGGAGGACTTTGTCTTGCACCTAGGATACCAGCCCAGCCACAGCAAGATAGGGCATCAGTTAAAGTCACGGGGCCCCTGTTTCGGGCCCTGGCTCCCAGATGGTATTTCTAGAACACCCTGGGCCAGAAGGGAAACTGTTACCTTGAGGGAAAGGACCCGGTCCTGTCAGCATTCATTACCTGTGAACCGAAGAGCCTTTGGGCCCTGAATAACCAGCAGTGATACCCCCATATTACATTTTGAGGGCCTTGGTGAGTCTCTAAGACTTGCTGGCTTCAGGTGAGACTTACCACATAACTAGTTGTGGTGTATGGGGCAAAACTCCTCCTGCTTGAGAAAAGCAGAGGGAAAAGTAAAGGGGACTTTGTCTTGCACCTTAGGTACCAGCATGGCCAAAGAGGGTAGAACACCAAAAGGGCTCTTGGGATCTCTGATTTCAGGACTTGACTCTTGGATGGCATTTCTGGACCTCCTGGGCCAGAGGGGGAGCCCACTGTCCTGAAGGGTGAGGCCCAGGTCAGGCAGCATTTATGACAAGCTGACTTAAGAGACCTTGGGCCTTAAGGGAACATCAGTGGTAGTCTGGCAGTACTCCTCATGGCCTGGTGGTGGCTACAGGTGAGGATCCTCTCCCTTTGGAAAGGGGAAGGAGGAAGGGAGGGACTGCATTGTGTAGTTTCAGTACCAGTTCAGCTGCACTACATTAGAACACCAGGTAGACTTCTAAGGTTTTTGACTCTAGTCCCTGACTCCTGGATGGCACTTCTGGACCCACCTGGGACTTAGGGGACCTTGCCGCCCTGAAGGGAAGGACAGGCCTGGCTGGCTTTGCCACCTGCTGATTGTACAGCCCTAGGGCCTTGAGCGAACATAAGCAGTAGCTAGGGAGTGGTTATAGCAGGCCTTGGGTAAGACCTAGCACTTCTCAGGTCTGACCCAGTGCTGTCATAGCGGTGGTGGCCATAGGGGTGCTTGTGTCACTCCACCCCAAGTCTTTAGGTGGCTCAGAACAGAGAAAGAGGGAGAGAGAGAGAGAAAGGGGGGGGGGAGCGGAGAGAGAGAGAGAGAGAGACTGACTGACTGACTCTGTATGTTCGGGAGAAAGTAAGGGAAGGGAATAAGAGTGTCTGCCTGGTGATCTAGAGAATTCTTCCAGATCTCATCTAAGACCATCAAGGCAATACATGTCTGAGTCTGCAAGAACTACAGTGTTACTGGGCACGGGGTGCCCCCTAAAGCAGATACAGCCTAGATCACAACACCCAAGTCCTTTCAAATATCCGAAAAGCCTTCCCAAGAAGGATGGCTACAAATAAGCCCAGGCAGTGAAGACTATAATAAATACCTAACTCTTCAGTGCCCAGACACTGAAGAATATCTGCTAACATCAACACCATCCAGGAAAACATGACCTCACCAATGAACTTTATAAATAAGGCACGAGGGACCAATCCTGGAGAAACAGAGATAGGTGACCTTTCAGAGAGAGAATTCAAAATAGCTATGTTGAGGAAACTCAAAAGAAATTCAAGGTAACACAGAGAAGGAATTTAGAATTCTATCAGATAAATTTAACAAAGAGATTGAAATAATTAAAAACAATCAAGCAGAAATTCTGAAGCTGAAAAATACAGTTGGCACACTGAAAAATATATTGGCGTCCTTTAGCAGAATTTATTAAGCAGAAGAGAGAATTAGTGAGCTTGAAGACTGCCTAATTGAAAATACCCAGGCTGGGTGCAGTATCATGCTTGTAATCCCAGCACTTAGGGAGGCTGAGGGTGGATTGCTTGAGCTGAGGAGTTTGAGACCAGCCTGGGCAACATGGTGAAACCCCGTCTCTACAAAAAATACAAAAATTAGCTGGGTGTGATAGTGTGAGCCTGTACTCTGGAAGCTGTGGTGGGAGGATCACTTGAGTCCTGGAGGTGGAGGTTGCAGTGAGCGGAGATCATGCCACTGCACTCCAGCCTGGGTGACAGAGTGAGACCCTGTCTCAAAAAAGAAAAAACAAGAAGCACGCCTACAAGATCTAGAAAATAACCTCAAAAGAGAAAGTCTAAACGTTATTGGCCTTAAAGAGGAGGTAGAGAAAGATAGAGGTAAAAAGTTTATTCAAAAAGATAATAGAGAATTTCCTGAACCTAGAGAAAGATGTCAGTGTCCAAGTACAAGAAGGTCATAGAACACCAAGCAGATTTAACCCAAAGAAGACAACCTCAAAGCATTTAATAATCAAACTCCTAAAGGTCAGGGATAAAGAAAGGATCCTACAAGCAGCAAGAGAAAAGAAAGAAATAACATAAAATGGAGCTCCAGTACATCTGGCAGCACACTTTTCAGTGTAAACCTTAAAGCCCAGGAGGGAGTGACATGTCATATTTAAAGTACTGAAGGAAAATAACTTTTATCCTAGAAGGGTATATCTGGTGAAAATATCCTTCAAATGTGAAGGAGAAATAAAGACTCTCCCAGACAAACAAAACCTGAGGGATTTCATTAATACCAGACCTGTCCTACAAGATATGCTAAAGGGAATACTTCAGTCAGAAAGAAAAGGACAGTAATGAGAAATAATCATCTGAAGGTAGAAAACTCACTGGTAATTTTAAGTACACAGAAAAACAGAGAATATTGTAACACTGTAATTGTGTGTAAACTACTTCTACTATAAGTAGAAAGACTAAAATATGAGCCAATCAAAAGTAATAACTGTATCAATTTTTCAAGATGGTCAGTGCAATGAGATCTAAATAGAAACAGCAAAAAGTTTAAAAGCAGGGGCATGATATTAAGGCATAGAGTTTTTCTTAGTTTTCTTTTTCCTTGTTTGTTGGTTTATGTAGAGTTAAGTTGTTATCAGGTTAAAATAATGGGTTATAAGATAGTATTCGCAAGCCTCATGGTAACCTCAAGCCAAAAACAAACAAACAAACAACAACAAAAAAACACATAGTGGATACACAAAAAATAAAAAGCAAGAAACTAAATCATATCCCCAGAGAAAATCACCTTCACTAGTGGAGGATAGGAAAGAAAGAAGGAAGAGAAGATCACAAAACAACCAGAAAACAAATAACAAAATGGCAGGAGTAAGTCCTTACTTATCAATAATAACATTGAATGTAAATGGACTAAACTCTCCCGTCAAAAGACAGAGACTGGCTGGATGAAAAAACAAGACCCATTGATTGTTGCCTACAAGAAACACACTTCACCTATATAGACACACACAGGCTGAAAATAAAGGGATGGAAAAAAATATTCCATGCCAGTGGAAACCAAAAAAGAGCGGGAGTAGTTATATTTACATTACATACAATAGATTTCAAGACAAAATCTGTAAGAGGAGCCAAAGAAGGTCACTACATAATGATAAAGGAGTCAGTTCAGCAAGGTGATATAACAATGTAAAATATATATGTACCCAACACTGGAGCACCTAGATATATAAAGGGAATATTATTAGACCTAAAGAGAGAGGCCTTGATACAATAATGGCTGGAGACTTCAAACCCCATTTTCAGCATTGGACGGATCTCCCAGACAGAAAATCAACAAAGAAGCATCAGACTTAATCTTCACTATAGACAAAAAGGATCTAATATTTACAGAACATTTCATCCAAGGGCTGCAGAATGCACATTCTTTTTCTCAGACATGAATTATTCTCAAGGTTAGACCACATTTTAGATCACAAAACAAGTCTTAAAAAATTCAAAAAATTGAAATAATATCAAGCCTCTTTTCTGACCACTATGGATTAAAACTAGAAATTAATAAGAATTTTAGAAACTTTACAAATACATGGAAAGTAAACAATATGCTCCTGAATAGTGGGTCAGTGAAGAAATTAAGAAGGAATTTGGGGGCCAGAGGTAGTGGCTCATGCCTGTAACCCCAGCACTTTGGGATGCCGAGGTGGGTGGATCATAAGGTCAGGAGTTCGAGAGCAGCCTGACCAACATGGTGAAACCCTGTTTCTACTAAAAAAAAAAAAAAAAAAAAAAAAATTAGCCAGGCATGGTGGCGTGCACCTGTAATCCTAGCTACTGGGGAGGCCAAGGCAGGAGAATTGCTTGAACCTGGGAGGTGGAGGTTGCAGTGAGCTGAGATTGTGCCACTGCACTCCAGCCTGGGTGAAAGAGTGAGACTCTGTCTAAAAAACAAACAAAACAAACAAAAAAGAAGGAATTTGGGAAATGAAGCGGTGGGGCAGAGGCTGGCAGCTCAGGCAGTGACCATGCATATTATGGCCTCATGGTGCCTTTCGCTGTGATGAGCATGTTCTGGGGCTTCGTTGGCTTCTTGGTGCCTTGGTTTATCCCTAAGGGTCCTTACTGGGAAGTTATCATTACCATATTGGTGACCTGTCCAGGTTTCTGCTATCTCTTTTGGCTGATTTCAATTCTGGCCCAACTCAACCCTCTCTTTGGACCACAGTTGACAAATGAAGCCGTCTGGTATCTGAAGCATCATTGGCCTTGAGGAGGAAGATGTGCTCTACAGTGCTCAGTCTTTGAGGTCACGAGGAGAGAATGCCTTCTAGATGCAAAATCACCTCCAAACCAGACCACCTTTCTTGACTTGCCCATTTTGGTCATTAGTTGCCTTAAACATCAGCACCACATTTAAATGTCTTATTCTACAATGAAGTGTTTTTTCCTTCACTTTTTTACACTTTAACGAATTATGTCCCTACTTAAACTGAACTGTGCTGACTCCAGAAAATGATTATGTACTCTTCTGAGATAGAAGATTGTCTTCTTCTGAGAGATATGTTACTGCCTCCTTGGAATCTGTGCATTTGAAGATGGCTCCTGCCTTCTCACATGGGAACCAATGAAGTGTTTAGAAACTGCTGCAAGACAAGTAATACTCCAGTGGGGCAGTCAGTAGGAGAGCATTTTCAGAGGGAAGAGCTGTCTCAACAGAATTACACCTTACTGTATTTTCAGGATGAATTTATTATTTCTGCCGTCTTTTGGAATAAATTATTTTTCTGCTTTCTATGGGGGGGAAAAAAGAATTTGGGCCAGGAACTGTGGCTCATGCCTATAATCCCGACACTTTGGGAGACTGAGGTAGGCAGATCACCTGAGGCCAGGAGTTCCAGACCATCCTGGGCAGCATGGTGAAACCTTGTCTCTACAAAAAAAAAAAAAAATCACACAAAAATTAGCCAAGCATGGTGGCACGTGCCTGTAGTTCCTGTTACTTGGGAGGCTGAGGTGGGAGGATTGCTTGAGTCCAGGAAGTGGAGGTTGCAGTGAGCTGAGATCATGCCACTGCACTCCAGCCTGGTTTCAAAAAAAAAAAAAAAAAAAATTGAAAAATTTCTGGAAACAAATGATAATGTAAATACAGCATATCAAAACCTTTGGGAGGCTGGGCATGGTGGCTCATGCCTGTAATTCCAGTACTCTGGGAGGCCGAGGCAGGTGGATCACTCGAGGACAGGAGTTGGAGACCAGCCTGGCCAACATGGTGAAACCCCGTCCCTACTAAAAATACAAAAATTAGCCAGGCATGGTGGCAGGCGCCTGTAATTCCAGCTACCTGGGAGGCTGAGGCACAAGAATTTCTTGAACCTGGGTGGTGGAGGCTTGCAGTAAGCCAAGATCACACCGCTGCACTCCAGCCTGGGCGACAAAGTGAGATTCTGCCAAAAAAAAAAAAAAAAAAAAAAACAAACAAAAAAAACCCTATGGGATACAGTAAAAGCAGTACTCAGAGGTAATTTTATAGCTATAAGTGCCTACGTCAAAAAGAGGAAAAACTTCAAATGAACAATCTAACAATGCATCTTAAAGATTTAGAAAAGCAAGGGAAACCAAATCTAAAATTAGAAGAAAAGAAATAATAAAGATCAGAGCAGAAATAAATGAAATTGAAATGGAGAAACAATATGAAAGATCAATGAAACAAAAAGTAGTTTTTCCAAAGAGTTAAAACAAAATGACAAACTTTAGCCAGACTAAGAAAACCAGAAGATCCAAATAAATAAAATCAGAAATGAAAAAGGACACATTACAACTAATACTGCAGAAATTTAAAGGGTCATTAGCGACTGCTATGTCAACTATATGCCAATAAATTGGAAAATCTAAAAGAAGTGGACAAATTCCTAGATACATAAAATCTACCAAGATTGAACCATGGAGAAATCCAAAACCTGAACAGACTAATAACAAATAATGAGATCAAAGTCATAATAAAAGTCTCCCAGTAAAGAAAAGCCAGGAACCTGATGGCTTCACTGCTGAATTCTACCTAACATTTAAAGCAGAACCAACTGATACCAATCCTACTCAAACTACTCAAGAAAAATAAATACATAAATAAAATAAGACGAGGAGAGAGTACTTCCAGAATTACTCTACAAGGCCAGTATTACCCAGATACCAAAATCTGACAAAGACATATCAAAAAAAGAAAACTATGGGCTAGTATCTCTGATGAATATTGATGCAGAAATCCTCAACAAAATACTAGGAAACTGAATTCAGCACTACATTGGAAATATCATTCATTAGAAAGAGAATAATGAGTACCCAAGGGATTTGAGTAGAGGAGGAGATATGAAGTGTCATCTCAGAGATGGGGAAAGCTGGCCCTCTAGGGAAAGAGAATAGGGCTCTACAGAAACCAGGTTTGTGCTGGAGAATTCTTGGTGAAAGAAGTTAGTCAGCCTAGTTTATGCTGTTCTCCAGAAGATAGCTGAGTTTCAGTCAAGAGAGGGGTTGGATCTCTTTGAGGGAGAGAGTGGCCACTTACAAACCCTCTTGCACAAAGCCCTGTGTTTCTGAGTCTTTTACCCAGGACCTAGTTTATCCAGTCTAATAGGAAAGCAAAGGAAGAAAAGCTGTGAGAAGTGAAGAGAAGCAATTAGAAGACTAATTGGCTTAGTCTTTTGTTTTGTTTTGTTTTATACAAGGTCTCACTCTGTCACCCAGGCTGTGGTGCAGTTGGGCAGTCTGGGCTCACTGCAACTTCTGCCTCCCTTCTGGCTCAAGCAGTCTACCCACCATAGCCTCCCAAGTAGCTGGGACCACAGAGGTGCACCACTACGCCTGGCTAATTTTTTTATTTTTTGTAGAAATGGGGTTTCACCATGTTGCTGAGTCTGGTCTTGAACTCTTAGATGCTTTTCTGGAAAGACTATCCTGTTGGATTTGAAGCTGAAGTTGAGCTTACATATATATACATATATATATATGTGTATATATATACACATATATATATATGTGTATATATATACACATATATATATGTGTATATATATACACATATATATATACATACATATATATATATATATATATTTATTTATTTATTTATTAATGTGTCCTCATGGAGTACTTTGTATCCCATTCCTGCTTTGGTGTAGTTTTCTTAGTTGTTTTGTACACTGTATATTTTGAGGGGCCATAGGTTGCCATATTTTACATCAGACACAGTGTTTGATTATTTCTTGCTTCTTTGTAGCCCCAAGCTTAGACATATCATTTAAATCCTCCATATTGTTAATTTCAGTGAATTTACCCTTGTATCTGACAGCTAAATAGACTTCTTTTTTTGTTACTTTTTGGACAGTAGGAGAGGCAAATTTGTTGAAAATGATAAAGCAAGAGTTGAATAATAATCACATTTTTGTGTGGAATGAAGTGAAACATTCTGGATTTGTTTCTTATATTAAGCTGTGATGCTGAAGTACATATCATTTGGGGAACTGCCACATTTGAATCACTTTTGCATACAAATTAAACATCTCACATCAAAGAATTCTTTAAAGACATGCTTTCTAATTTCTTAAAATGATGGAATTCATTTAATTTCTTATCTGACGTCTCATAGAACAATTTTTAGCTTCTATGTTTGCTGCTATGACTTAATTTTGGTGCTCGTTTTACCTAGGCTATGAATGTACCTTTGCTGTATTTTTTAGGGCAGCAGGTATGAGACTAACATATTTGAATGTAGTGTAAGTTAGTAATCCTTGGGAACCTAGCAAAGCATCACATTTAATTTTCTACTAGATGAAAGAAACATGGAAACAGAATTAGAGATGGAAAGAATTGCATAAAACACAACTAATCAGAGCTGATCCCTGAAGCAGAAAAATGCAATTTAAAGTGAGCTTCCTTTGTATTTCTACTATTTGAGGAGTGTTGAAGATATGACTTTTAATAGTATAGTAACAAGTAAATAATACTAGTTATATTTAGCAAGCTCAACATTGTAATATTGGAGTTCTCTATGCCATAACTTAAGTTATTACGGTATCTAAAGGACCCAATTTTAATTACAGGGCAATAGTAACTTGGCTTCTTAAGAAAACATTCATATAGGAGGCATAGTTGTGGTTCTGTTTCAAAATGTGTGTCATATAACCCTTGATAAATGTATGTATCATCCACACTGCAGTAGATGCTTACATTAGATACAGAAGTGGGGACCTGCCACAACAGTGTGGCAGTACCTGGATTATATGCCTCTGGCTTGGTTTTCTCTGCCTGGAATGGTTTCTCCCTCCATATTCATCAGGTTTTGTTTGTGGTTTCCAGAGGGCAGCTGTGAGATTAGAAAACGGGTATGTTTCTCTTTCCAGTATAGTTGCTAAGAGTCGTGGTCAAGGTACCCTATATTGGTAAGAAGACGCAGAGCATTGTTACTGTTATCATAGGTAGGTTTCAGAATGGGGAGGCCTCTGCTGACTGCCAGTCTTTTTTTGCACCTTCCTCTTTTAGCCACTGCCATGCAGTTGCTTGGTGGGTAGATTAAAAGGGGGAATTCAGAGGCCGATTCTGTGATATATCTCTGAGATGACGTATGCATTGTTATCTCTTGTGATCCCGATAGTTTTTTTTTTTTTTTTTTTTTTTTTTAAGCCAAGGATGGGTGTATAGGCCCACTGAACAGATGTGAGATGGATTTGGGCTAAGACTCCAGGTAGCACCTGATCTAGGTAAGTTCTTGAGTATTGGACTGTGGTGGCACTTGAAAGGGTCTGGGTAATTCCATTTCTTCAGTGCTCAGTCACATGATAAATGCTGAAGACTCCCTGGGGAAGGAAAGTGTTTTGGAACTATGGCCACTTTGCAAGGGTTTCAAGGAACCTCTCTCTAGGTTACTTGGGGAGCTCTAGGTCTATGAAGCAGGTTAGATCTGGGATCTGGGTAAGAAGCTGTGAATTCTTTATGGGACTTGAGTTAGGTTTCTGCTCAGTAAATCTAGAAATTTTCTTATTAAATATCAAGCATCAACTTAGGAGACAGACACCTGATGCTCAATTTACCGTTGATTCTTGTGGGTCAGAATATTCTGATCACCACATTGCCCTTTGACTCACTGTGGCAGTTTTGCCCACCTTGTCTGTGCAGATAAGGGCTGCTACTGGCCTTTACTAATCCCAGATCTCATGATTTCCACTGTGGTCAGAGAACCAAATTCCATTGTTAGTATTTCTCACTGTCATCTCTGGCCTATAAGGATAGCCACCTTAGAGCTCTTCAAAGATGCTGGTGTCCCCTTCATTAAGACAGTCTCCCAGGGTCACGTAAGAGGGATGGTTTAAGGGGTGGCTGAGCAGGCTGTACTTTGTTGAGTCATTCCAGTGTTTTCAATTTCCAGAGCTTTTAGATTCTGTCCTCTCTGGCAGTGGTTCTCAACATTGATGGCATGTTGGTGTTAACTGAAGAATCCCGAGGCTCCTAAATTTGAAGAGGAAAGGTTGATTTCTTATGCAGCCTGCAGGTTGGCTATCTTGACAGGCTGGGAAGTGTGGCCTCTGGCAGAAACTGAAAGCAGGCACTTCGAGGGAGGGAAGAATGGAACAGGAATTTATGCCAAATGAGTTGGCTAAGTATACATGTTTAATGATTATAGGATAAGCTGTGAATATTCATGAAGGGGGGTCACATGCATGTGTGGAAAGTAAACATGCATGTTACATGCAGCCCATGTTCACTTTGGGGTGGAGACTTAACATTTAAGTGCATTACAATTAGGCCCTAGGTGAAGCAGAAGATGGGAAGGCACTCACTACACAGCCTCTGTAAACCGGCCAGAACCAGTCCATGGTCCATGATCTCTTATCAGGAGAAAGTTACTGAAATCAGTCTCTCGTCCAATCAAAACTGTTGCTTTGGCTTGTGAATAGGGGAGGTTTTGAGTTAGTCAGCATCTGGCTGTCAGTGGGCTGCAGTTGTTTCAGTAGTGCCTGTCTTGAGGCCAGTGCTTATTTAGCTGCTCGAGAAAAACAAAAAATCCTGTGGCAGTTAGAACATAGTTTATTCTTTAAGTGTAGGGTACGTGATCTAACCCTTGCCTAGCATGGCCTTAGGTCTTGTTTATGATTTAGCATCTTATTGCCATGAGGAGTCTGTTCTGTCAGTCTTAATGCTCTCTATTTTAACATTTAAATAAGTTCTTATGCCCAGGCTGTACCCCATATCATTTAATCCATATCTCTGGGGGTGGATGGAAGTGTCTCTAGTCTTTAAAGCTATATGGGTGATTCTCATGTGCAGGCAATATTGAGTACCACAGTAGCAGTTCTCAAAGTGTGCTCCTAGACCAGCAGCATGAGCATTAATTGGCAACCTGTTAGAAATGCAAATTCTCAGGCCTTACCCCAGATCTACTAAATGAGAAACTCTGAGGAAGGGGTTTTGCAATCTATGTTTTTACAGACTCTTCAGTGATTCTGATGCACCCTAAAATTTAAGAACCACTGCTCCAGAGTATGCTGGGGAAATTGTAGCATTTTGACTTCATTAGAGGCAGTGTTTCAGTTTTCCAGCCTAGCAGACTCCCAGGTGTTTGAATCTCTGGTCTCCCAGGTGAGTCATTGTGAATGTGAGCTGCAGACCTGCTTTTGAGACTTGATTTGATTCTCAGGGGAGATTTTTTTCACCACTGCTTCTTTTAGTATCAAGGTCTCAACATTTCTTGCCAGACTCTGTTGCAGGCTGGTTCATTTCTTATTCATATATCCTTGAGTTACCAACTTAATATTAATGGTCTCCTATTTGATACTACACTATGGGCAGGAGCTGAGGGTTGTCCCTTGTTCCATTTCAAAAGGTCATTTCGAGGTCACCAAGAGTTTAGCACATCTCCCCCCATCCACCTGGGGTTAAAGTATTCTGATTCTCTCTGTTGTTTCTATTTGTTCTCTGTTGTTCTTTCTCTATCTCTCTGTTGTCCTGTTTTCTCTGTTTCCCCCTTTTCTTCAGTTTTCTTCTTTTCTATTTTTGGTCTTTGAGGTTTTCTTAACGTCTTGCAAATTTAAGTATGCATTTTATAAAGATATTTTATCCAGCATTTTTTGTTCCTTTCAGTAGGAGTAATATGCAGAAGATTTTGTCTGCTATTCACCAGAAATGGAAAAAGTAATTTTAATTGAGTAATTAATTTTGAACTATAGATTTATTACAGATTTATTGCAATTCGATACCTAATTTCTTGACTTAGTCTGCATGGCAAGATTGATCAGTATACTTTTTAAAATGAAAACAAATTTTTTTTAAAGAGTAGTTTTCGGCTGTGAATCCTTCTGGTCCTGGACTTTTTTTGGTTTGTAAGCTATTAATTATTGCCTCAATTTCAGAGCCTGTTATTGGTCTATTCAGAGATTCAGCTTCTTCCTAGTTTAGTCTTGGGAGGGTGTATGTGTCGAGGAATTTATCCATTTCTTCTAGATTTTCTAGTTTATTTGCGTAGAGGTATTTATAGTATTCTCTGATGGTAGTTTTTATTTCTGTGGGATCGGTGGTGATATCCCCTTTATCATTTTTTATTGCGTTTATTTGATTCTTCTCTATTAGTCTTGCTAGCGGTCTATCAATTTTGTTGATCTTTCCAAAAAACCAGCTCCTGGATTCGTTGATTTTTTTGAAGGGTTTTTTTGTGTTTCTATCTCCTTCAGTTCTGCTCTGATCTTAGTTATTTCTTGCCTTCTGCTAGCTTTTGAATGTGTTTGCTCTTGCTTCTCTAGTTCTTTTAATTGTGATGTTAGGGTGTCAATTTTAGATCTTTCCTGCTTTCTCTTGTGGGCATTTAGTGCTATAAATTTCCCTCTACACACTGCTTTGAATGTGTCCCAGGTATTCTGGTATGTTGTGTCTTTGTTCTCGTTGGTTTCAGCCAAATTCTACCAGAGGTACAAGGAGGAGCTGGTACCATTCCTTCTGAAACTATTCCAATCAATAGAAAAAGAGGGAATCCTCTCTAACTCATTTTATGAGGCCAGCATCATCCTGATACCAAAGCCTGGCAGAGACACAACCAAAAAAGAGAATTTTAGACCAATATCCCTGATGAACATCGATGCAAAAATCCTCAATAAAATACTGGCAAACCGAATCCAGCAGCATATCCAAAAGCTTATCCACCATGATCAAGTGGGCTTCATCCCTGGGATGCAAGGCTGGTTCAACATACGCAAATCAATCAACGTAATCCAGCATATAAACAGAACCAAAGACAAAAACCACATGATTATCTCAATAGATGCAGAAAAGGCCTTTGACAAAATTCAACAGCCCTTCATGCTAAAAACTCTCAATAAATTAGGTATTGATGGGACATATCTCAAAATAATAAGAGCCATCTATGACAAACCCACAGCCAATATCATACTGAATGGGCAAAAACTGGAAGCATTCCCTTTGAAAACTGGCACAAGACAGGGACGCCCTCTCTCACCACTCCTATTCAACATACTGTTGGAAATTCTGGCAAGGGCAATCAGGCAGGAGAAAGAAATAAAGGGTATTCAATTAGGAAAAGAGGAAGTCAAATTGTCCCTGTTTACAGATGAGATGATTGTATATCTAGAAAACCTTATACAAAAATTAATTCAAGATGAATTAAAGACTTAAACATTAGACCTAAAACCATAAAAACCCTAGAAGAAAACCTAGGCAATACCATTCAGGACATAGGCATGGGCAAGGACTTCATGTCTAGGACACCAAAAGCAATGGCAACAAAAGCCAAAATTGACAAATGGGATCTAATTAAACTAAAGAGCTTCTGCACAGCAACAGCAGCTACCATCAGAGTGAACAGGCAACCTACAGAATGGGAGAAAATTTTTGCAACCTACTCATCTGACAAAGGACTAATATCCAGAATCTACAATGAACGCAAACAAATTTACAAGAAAAAAACAACCCCATCAAAAAGTGGGCAAAGGATATTAACAGACTCTTCTCAAAAGAAGACATTTATGCAGCTAAAACACACATGAAAAAATGCTCATCATCACTGGCCATCAGAGAAATGCAAATGAAAACCACAATGAGATACCATCTCACACCAGTTAGAATGGCAATCATTAAAAAGTCAGGAAACAACAGGTGCTGGAGAGGATGTGGAGAAATAGGAACACTTTTACAGTGTTGGTGGGACTGTAAACTAGTTCAACCATTGTGGAAGTCAGTGTGGCGATTCCTCAGAGATCTAGAACTAGAAATACCATTTGACCCAGCCATCCCATTACTGGGTATATACCCAAAGGATTGTAAGTCATGCTGCTATAAAGACACATGCACACGTATGTTTATTGCAGCACTATTCACAATAGCAAAGACTTGGAACCAACCCAAATGTCCCACAATGATAGACTGGATTAAGAAAATGTGGCACATATACACCATGGAATACTATGCAGCCATAAAAAGTGATGAGTTCATGTCCTTTGTAGGGACATGGATGAAGCTGGAAACCATCATTCTCAGCAAATTATGACAAGGACGAAAAACCAAACACCACATGTTCTCACTCATAGGTGGGAATTGAACAATGAGGACACTTGGGCACAGGAAGGGGAACATCACACACCAGGGCCTGTTGTGGGGTGCGGGGAGGGGAAGGGATAGCATTAGGAGATACACATAATGTAAATGACGAGTTAATGGGTGCAGCATACCAACATGTCACATGTATACATATGTAACAAACCTGCACGTTGTGTACATGTACCCTAGAGCTTAAAGTATAATAATAAAAATTCTTTAAAAAAATGTAGTTTTAGGTTTACATCAAAATTGAGAGAAAGGCACAAAGACATCTCATATACCCCTGCCCTCACACATGTACAGCCTTCCCTATTAACATCCTGCACCAAAGTGGTTCATTTGTTCTAGTCGATAAACCTACATTGACACATTATTGTCACCCAAAGTCTGTAGTTTACATTATGCTTTGCTCTTGGTGTTATAAATTTCTTTGGGTTGAGAAGAATGTATTAAAACATCTATCTACCATTATAGTATAATACAGAGTATTTTCACTACCCTACGAAGCCCCTGTGCTCTGCCTATTTTTTATTTTTCCTTTCCCCTAACCCCTGGCAGCCATTGACCTTTTTACCGTCTTCATGGCGTTGCCTTTTCCAGAATGTTGTATACAGTCTGTGGTTCATGTGCTGCTTCTCTAGTGGTTGGTGTTTTGCAACCCTGGTGTCAGATTCATGACGTAAATGTTGGTACAGATCTTAGCTGCTATACAAATGCTTCTCTACCCTAAGATATGGATGCAATAGTTTACTGCTTTATTAGCAATTCTTTTAAAGTAATACAAGTCCTTCATGACTACCTCTAGCTAGAGTGATGTTTTTGAATTGAATGATTAGGGTTATCTGTCAGTCAGGATAGGCTAGCTTATGTTACGGTAACAAAAACCATCAAAATCTCAGAGGGTTGCTGCAGGCCTAGGTGGCTTTTGTGGGCAGCTAACCTCAGCACTCCAGGCTGCTTTCATTTTCTGTGGCGTTTCTATCCAGCATAGTGCCTTACAGTTTACTGAGGCAGAGGAAGAGAGTATGGAAAATTGCACATAGGAATACATACATCATTTCCACTTTCAGTTAATTGGCCAGAACTAGTCACATGGCCCTGCCTGACTCTAAGGGGGCTGGGAAATGTTTTTGTGTCAAGGAAGGGCAGGAAACTGGACAGCACTATCTATTACTTTTTAAGGTTGATTCTGCCTAACTTAGGCATAAAGGGTATTTATTAGAGGAAAATGAACAAGGTCAAAGGCTCCAAGAGAAGATTGGAATAGTCTGCTATTCCTGGCAGCTGGACCTGGCAGCTCCTGAGGGTTTCTGGACCTGGACTCTCTTGGAGTCCTGTTTGGGGATACTGCTAGAAGGAAAAAGTGAACGTCAGCTGTTCCTTCACTCTATGTCCAGATTCAGATTCCTGAGCAAGAGCCTTGCTGGCTGCAACTTAGGTTGTGGCTCTGCCCTTGACTGTACCAGACTGTAGGAGGAAAGGTGTTTCTGAAGAGAGCCTGGGACCCTTTCAGGTTTTGTATTTGAGGGGCAGAATGTCTGATTTGCCATTCTACAGACCAGGCACAGTGCAGGAAAGGTATTTCCTCAAAAGGAAGTTGAGTGGTGTTAAGAAGAGGGGCTGGATGACTGGTGACCAAAAAATGGCAGATTTCTTTTGTAGTTGACATTTGTTGACATCTAATTAAAAAAATCCAGGAAGTTTGTAAAGTTTGTTTACCTAGTATCTCCAAACTTTTTAAATGACTGAAAGACTGTATGAGAAATCTACTTATGCACTTTACTTGCTTTTCCTGACAGTTTATTATCTTTAAGAGAAGGAATCTACCAGTTACAGGTTGTTTGTTTACATTTAGGCCTTAACAGGGAAGTGACAAGATAGCAGTCCTTGCTTCTCCTTGATTTAGCTTTAGGAGTTAGATGCCAATTACAGATGCCAGTTTGAATGCATTTAGCCAATTAACATGCAGAGAATTAGAGATAATGTTAAAACTTTGATTTTGGTGCAGATGTCACCAGAGATCTTCCTATAGACAACCTTGCAAGGACATTTTCAGAGTTATTAATTACAGAACAGAATTTTATTCTCTTCAGTTTCATTATCTGTCTCCCCTGGCATTATTGGCCTTCCCTTATCTGTTCAGTATGTCCATTTTCTTTTTTAACCAACACTTGTGAAACCAAGAGTTTGAAGTTTCAGGTAGACAGATGTGATTTTACTTGCGAAGGCTTAATCAAATACACAGCATCCAAAGGAATCTAAGATTTAATACAAATAAAATAGAACATGGATTAAAAAAGGAGTGGGGATTATGAGGTTTACAGTGTTCTTATTTTATGTGCCCTAGCTCTGTTTGTGTCATTGAAAGTAGTGTTCTAAGAAACCACTTAGAACAAAGGGCAAAGTGGTATCAAATAGAATTCCCTCTTCATTTGGGATTGTGGAATGCCTCTTATTTCAGGGGTTAGGGAAGAATACCGAAATATTTTAAAAGTTGTGTTGTTGTTGTAATTACTACTGTATCTCCCATTGGAGTAGTTAAGTAGGGTTTTAAAACGTCCCTTTGGTCTAGTAAAACACTGACCATAATAGGAAATGCCTGATATTTTCTGAGTCAGGAGATTAATTCAGTTTCTTTTTGTAACTGTAATTGTATATCCACTAACATGGAAGTTTAACAACTATATTTTGAGAGTCAAGAGCAAGCAAATTATGTCTTTGCAAGTATTAGAATATTAGTTGTATAACTGCAGAACTTCCACATTTATTAGAATTAGCTTCCTAATTCATCATCTTCCTGTATTTTTCTTAAGAGTTGCAGTCCAGGGCATATGAGATTGAAGCACATTTCACCTTTTCATATCTATCAGATGACTTCAGACAAAGCCAAAAAGGCCTGGCTCCACCCAGTCATACTTGTTATAAAATAGGTTTTGATTTCAAAGAAGTAGTGTGGAAAATGGCAGTACAGTCTTAAATTACTATTTGCAGTATTCAGCCAACCAGTCATGCCTGTGGTTGCCCAAGAATAGTTTCTGTTAGGTTAATAGAACCAGTGATGGTATAGATATGCCTCAAAGCATAACGGTATTAGAAATAACACCAAAAAACCCATTTTCCTTCATGTATGGTTTTCAAAAAATGCACACAATAATAGCATGATACTTGAATATCCTATTTTTATCTTTTAGTTTCAATGGTAAGATTTTTTTTTTTTTTTTTTGAGAGAGAGAGTCTCGCTCTGTCGCCCAGGCTGGAGTGCAGTGGCATGATCTTGGCTTGCTGCAACCTCTCCCTCCCAGGCTCAAGTGATCCTCCTGTCTCAGCCTCCCCAGTAGCTGGGACTACAGGTGTGTGTCACCATGCCTGGGGAATTTCTGTATTTTTAGTAGAGACAGGGTCTTACCATGTTGGCCAGGCTGGTTTTGAACTCCTGACCTCAGACAGTCTGCCTGCCTCGGCCTCCCAAAGTGTTGGGATTACAGGTGTGAGCCACTGCGCCTGGCCTCAATGTTAGGATTTTTAACAGTAATTTCAATGTTAGAAGGCCAGGAGGATTTTTAAAGACTAGAGGAAAACATGCATAATAACAATATCCACATATTCCTTGGATTTCTGAGTTTGAAGAGCTAAATCTATTTTACCTTATTCATTTAGTATTGGCATTTTCAACTGCCATTGTACCTAGGTCAACAGATACATTTTTTACCCTTGGTGTTTGTCTTTTATGTGTTATATTTGTTCTTTATTCTTATATTTTTCTTTTTATTATTATTTCTTTAAATTTGTAATACAGCAAATGGAAAATCTATACAAATAACCTTGAGGAGAACCATTATCTGTTGAGTACTTTTTAATGCTATCCAAAGTTAACTTTTGCAAGTGAGATGTGAGGTTGCTGTGGCATTACTGGAATAAATTATATGATGTGTGTCTATTTACAAGACATTGAGTTCTAAAGCAATTTCTATTATGCTGGAGGCAGTCCAGACAGTTTTATCACTTTAAGGGTCTGTAGCATTAAAATGTTTTAAATTTCCAGTGACGCTTGCTGACACAAAATACTAGTGGATTATAAAATGGAGAAATGCTGTAAATCCCTGCCACTAACTTTGTGAAGCAGAAAGCCAGATCTGGGTTTTGAATTTAATATGAGGTTGACAGTTTTTTAAATTAAACTTTTTGTTTTGAGATAATTGTGGATTCATGCCCAGTTGTGATCCAACATTGGGGATCAAATTTCAACATGAGATTTGGGGGGGACAAATATCAAAACTATATTACAAATAATATAGAATAATAATAGTTTCTCTCTGTAAGAAATAATAGAGAGATCCTGTGTATACTTCATCCAGTTTTCCTTCATGATAATGTCTTAAAAAAGTATAATACAATTTTACAACCAGAATATTGACATTGAAACAGTTAAGGAAAAGAAGAGTTTCATCACTGCAAGGATCCCTCATATTCCCTTTTTATGACCCTATCCTCTTACCCTGCTGTGTGTGCTGCCCTCCACCCCCGAAGCCAATCTGTTTTCCATTTATATATTTTTGTCATTTTGAGAATGTTGTATAAATAGTCATATGGTTTGTAACCTTTTGTGGTTGGTGGTTGGCTTTTTTCATTTGGTGTAATTTTCTGGAAATTCATCTAGGTTGTTGGATGTATCAGTTGTTTGTTCATTTTTATTGCTGTGAAGTATTCTGTGGTGTGGTTGAATCACAGTTTATTTAACCACTTACCCATTGAAAGATATCTGGGTCGGCCGGCTGCGGTGGCTCACGCCTGTAATCCCAGCACTTTGGGGGCCGAGACGGGTGGATCACGAGGTCAGGAGATCGAGACCATCCTGGCTAACACGGTGAAACCCCATCTCTACTAAAAATACAAAAAATTAGCCGGGCGTGGTGGTGGGTGCCTGTAGTCCCAGCTACTCGGGAGGCTGAGGCAGGAGAATGGCATGAACCCGGGAAGCGGAGCTTGCAGTCAGCCGAGATTGCGCCACTGCACTCCAGCCTGGGCAACAGGGCGAGACTCCGTCTCAAAAAAAAAAAAAAAAGATATCTGGGTCATTTCCAGTTTTGACAATTACAAATAAAATTGCTATAAACATCCATTTACAGATGTTTGTGTGGACAACAGCCTTCCTTTCTCTTGGATAAATGCTCAGGAGTGCAATTGCTGGGTCCTGTGGTAATTGCATATTTAGTTGCTGTTTTTTTTTTTTTTTTTTTTTAGAAAAACCTCCAAAGTTTTCCGAGTGACTGTAGTGTTTTACATTCTCACCAGCAACGTATTGAGAGGTGACAGCGTGCTGGCAGCCCTCACAGCCCTCGCTCGCTCTTGGCGCCTCCTCTGCCTGGGCTCCCACTTTGGCGGCACTTGAGGAGCCCTTCAGCCTGCTGCTGCACTGTGGGAACTCCTTTCTGGGCTGGCCAAGGCTGGAGCCGGCTCCCTCAGCTTGCAGGGAGATGTGGAGGGAGAGGCGCGAGCGGCAACCGGGGCTGTGTGGGGTGCTTGCGGGCCAGCTGGAGTTCTGGGTGGGCATGGGCTTGGCGCGCCCTGCACTCAGGCCGGCTGGCCCTGCCGGCCCCGGGCAATGAGGAGCTTAGCACCTGGGCCAGCGGCTGCGGAGGGTGTGCTGGGTCCCTCAGCAGTGCCGGCCCACCGGCGCTGCGCTCGATTTCTCGCCCGGCCTTAGCTGCCTTCCCATGGGGCAGGGCTCGGGACCTGCAGCCCACCATGCCTGAGCCTCCCACCCCCTCCGCGGGCTCCTGTGCAGCCCGAGTCTCCCCAGCGAGCGCCGCCCCCTGCTCCATGCTGCCCAGTCCCATCAACCACCCAAGGGCTGAGGAGTGTGGGCACAGGGCACGGGACTGGCAGGCAGCTCCACCTGCGGCCCCGGTGGGGGATCCACTGGGTGAAGCCAGCGGTGCTCCCGAGTCTGGTGGGGACTTGCAGAACCTTTATGTCTAGCTAAGGGATTGTAAGTACACCAATCAGCACCCTGTGTCTAACTCAGGGTTTGTGAATGCACCAATGGACACTCTGTATCTAGCTACTCTGGTGGGGACTTGGAGAACCTTTGTGCAGACACTCTGTATCTAGCTAATCTAGTGGGGACGTGGAGAACCTTTGTGTCTAGCTCAGGGATTGTAAACGCACCAGTCAGTGCCCTGCCAAAACAGACCACTCGGCTCTACCAATCAGCAGGATGTGGGTGGGGCCAGATAAGAGAATAAAAGCAGGCTGCCCGAGCCAGCAGTGGCAACCCACTCGGGTCCCCTTCCACACTGTGGAAGCTTTGTTCTTTTGCTCTTTGCAATAAATCTTGCTGCTGCTCACTCTTTGGGTCCACACTGCCTTTATGAGCTGTAACACTCACCACGAAGGTCTGCAGCTTCACTCCTGAAGCCAGGGAGACCAGGAACCCACCGGGAGGAAGGAACAACTCCAGAGCACTGCCTTAAGAGCTGTAACACTCACCATGAAGGTCCGCAGCTTCACTCCTGAGCTAGTGAAACCACGAACCCCACCAGAAGGAGGAAACTCCAAATACATCCGAACATCAGAAGGAACAAACTCCCGACACACCGCCTTTAAGAACTGTAACACTCACCGCGAGGGTCCGCAGCTTCATTCTTGAAGTCAGTGAGACCAAGAACCCACCAATTCCGGACACAGTATGAGTGATTCTGTTTCTCATCATCCTTGGCAGCTTTTGGTGTTGTCACTATTTTTTATTTTTACCATTCTGATGAGTGTGTAGTGATATCTTATTTTGGTTTTAATTTATATTTCCCTAGTTGCCAATGATGTTGAACATCTTTTTATGTGCTTATTTGGTGGCTGCATATTCTCTTTGGTACAATGTCTCTGTGCTTTTGGTGTCAAGTGTACTTTTTAACCTAGTACTAGATCCTGAAGACGTTATCCTATATTTTCTTCTAGAAGGTTTATAGTTTTATGTTTTACATTTAAGTCTGTGATCCATTTTGAGTTAATTTTTTGTGTCAAGTACCAGACTTAGGTCAAGGTTCACTTTTTGCTTTCCTATGGATGCCTGATGGCTTCAGCACTATTTATTGAAAAAGTTGACTTTTCTCCATTGGACTGCCTTTGCACCTTTGTCAAAAATCTCTTGGCTATTCTTGTGTGGAGCTATTTCTGAATTCTGTTTGGTTCCATTGATCTATGTGCCTATCCCACCAGTAATGCCTGTGTTAGCCTGTTTTGCTTTGTTGTAAAGGAATACCTGAGGCAGGATAATTTATAAAGAAAAGAGGTTTATTTGGCTCACGGTTCTGCAGGCTATAGAAGAAGCATGGTGCCAGCATCTGCTTCTGGTGAGGGCTTCAGGCTGTTTCCACTCATGGCAGAAGGTGAAGGGGAGTAGACATCCCATGGTCGGAGAGAAGGAAAGAGAGAGGAGGGAGGTGCCAGATTCTTTTTAACAGCCAGATCTCCTGAGAACTAAGAGTGAGAACTCACTCAATCCCACAAGAATGGCATTAAGCCATTCATGAGGGATCTGCCCCATCATACAAATACCTACCACAAGGCCCCACGTCCAACACTGGGGATCAGATTTCAACATGAGATTTGGAGGGGATGAATATCCAAACTATATCAATTTCCAAACAGTTTTCATTACTGTAGCTGTATAAGTCTTGAAACCAGGTAGAATAATTGCAACCATTTTTTTTCTTTTTTCCCTTTTTATATGGGGGTTTCACTCTGTTGCCCAGGCTGCAGTACAGTGGCTTGATCATAGCTCACTGCAACCTTGAACTTCGGGACTCAAGCAGTCCTCCCACCTTAGTCTTCTTTTTTTTTATTTTTTTTTTTACATGTTCATTGCAGCGTTATTTTCTTTTTTTTTTTTTTGTATTTATTGATCATTCTTGGGTTTTCTCAGAGAGGGGGATGTGGCAGGGTCATAGGATAATAGTGGAGAGAAGGTCAGCATATAAACACGTGAACAAAGGTCTCTGGTTTTCCTAGGCAGAGGTCCCTGTGGCCTTTGGCAGTGTTTGTGTCCCTGGGTGCTTGAGATTAGGGAGTGGTGATGACTCTTAATGAGCATGCTGCCTTCAAGCATCTGTTTAACAAAGCATATCTTGCACCACCCTTAATCCATTTAACCCTGAGTTGACACAGCACTTGTTTCAGAGAGCACGGGGTTGGGGGTAAGGTTACAGATTAACAGCATCCCAAGGCAGAAGAATTTTTCTTAGTACAGAACAAAATGGTATCTCCTATGTCAACTTCTTTCTACACAGACACAGTAACAATCTGATCTCTCTTTCTTTTCCCCACATTTCCCCTTTTCTTTTCGACAAAACCGCCATCGTCATCATGGCCCGTTCTCGATGGTCGCTGTCTCTTTGGAGATGTTGGGTACACTTCCCAGATGGGGCGGCCTGGCAGAGGCACTCCTCACTTCCCAGATGGGGCTGCCGGGCAGAGGTGCTCCCCACCTCCCAGACGAAGGGCGGCTGGGCAGAGGTGCTTCTCACTTCCCAGGTGGGGCAGCCGGGCAGAGACGCCCCTCACCTCCCAGACGGGGCGGCCGGGCAGAGGTGCCCACTTCCCAGACGGGGCGGCCGGGCACAGGCGCTCTCTACCTCCCACACGAAGGGCAGCCGGGCAGAGGCGCTCCTCACTTCCCAGGCGGGGTGGCCGGACAGAGACGCCCCTCACCTCCCAGACGGGGCGGCCGGGCAGAGGCGCCCACTTCCCAGACGGGGCGGCCAGGCAGAGGCGCTCCCCACCTCCCAGATGAAGGGCGGCTGGGCAGAGGTGCTCCCCACCTCCCAGGCGGGGCGGCCGGGCAGAGGCGCTCCTCACCTCCCAGTCGGGGCAGCTGACATCCCAGACGGGGTGGCGGCCGAGCAGAGGCGCTCCTCACCTCCCAGACGGGTGGCGGCTGGGCAGAGGCGCTTCTCACATCCCAGATGATGGGCGGCCAGGCAGAGGCGCTCCTCACTTCCCAGACGGGGCGGCCGGGCAGAGGCGCTCCTCACATCCCAGACGGGGTGGTAGCAGGGCAGAGGCGCTCCTCACTTCCCAGACGGGGTGGCCGGGCAGAGGCGCTCCTCACATCCCAGACAGGGTGGTGGCAGGGCAGAGGCGCTCCTCACTTCCCAGATGGGGCAGCCAGGCAGAGGGGCTCCCCACATCCCAGACAATGGGTGGCTAGGCAGAGACGCTCCCCACTTCCCAGATGGAGTGGCAGCCGGGCAGAGGCTGTAATCTTAGCACTTTGGGAGGCCAAGGCAGGCGGCTGGAAGGTGGAGGTTGTGGCGATCTGAGATCACACCACTGCACTCCAGCCTGGGCAACACTGAGCATTGAGTGAGCGAGACTCCGTCTGCAATCCCAGCACCCCGGGAGGCCGAGGTGGGCAGACCACTCGAGGTCAGGAGCCGGAGACCAGCCTGGTCAACAGGGCAAAACCCTGTCTCCTCCAAAAATACAAAAACCAGTCAGGTGTGGCGGCGCGCGCCTGCAATCGCAGGCACTCGGCAGGCCAAGGCAGGAGAACCATCGGAGCCTGGGGCAGGGAGGCTGCAGCGAGCTGAGACCACGGCAGTACAGTCCAGCCTCGGCAACAGAGGGAGACTGAAGAAAGAAAGGGGGAGAGGGAGAGGGAGAGGGCAAGGGAGAGGGAGAAGGAGAGCCACCTTAGTCTCTTGAGTAGCTAGGACTCTAAGCATGCACCACCATGCCTGGCTAACTCTTTTTTTAAAATTATTTTTGTAGAGACAGGGTCTTGCTTTGTTGTCCAGGTTGGTCTCAAACACCTGAACTCAAGCCATCCTCCCGTATTGGCCTCCCAAAGTGTTGGTATTACAGGACTGAGTCACTGTGCCTGGCCCACATTTTCTTCCTTTTTCAAAATTGTTTTGGCTGTTCTAATTCTTTTGCCTTTCCATATAACTTTTATAATAATTTTGATATCTATAAAGAATTGTTTCAGGATTTTGGTAGGAATTTGATTAGATCTGTCCATTAATATGGGGAGAATTTGACATTTTCCACTACGTTGAGTCTTCCTATCTATGAACATAGTCTATTACTCCATTTATTTAGATGTTCTTTGATTTTTTTAAATAGCATTGTGTAGTTTCAGCATACAAATCCTGTACCTGTTTTGTTAGATTTTTACCTGAGTATTGTTTTTTTGGGGGGGATTGTAAATGGTGTTTTAAATTTCAGTTTCCATGTGTTTATTGCCAATATATAGGAGTACAGTTGTATTTTGAATGTTAACATTGTATCCTGTGACCTTGCAGAACTCACTAGTTCTAGGGAGTTTTTTTCTTTAGACTCTTTGGGACTTTCTGTGTTGACAATCATGTCATTTGCAAATAATTATCTGTTTCATATTGGGTGAGTTGTGATAGTTAGTTTTTTTTGAGGAGTTGGTCCATTTTTTCTATGTGGTGAAATTTATATATATACAGTTGTTCGTAGTATTCCTTTATTATTTTGATGTCTGCTCATTTTCTATATAGTTTTATCATTTTTTAAAATTTAGAAATAAAAAATTTAATTAGCAAATAATTGTATATTATTATATACAATGTATATATTATATGTATATATTATATATGTTATATCTATTACTTCACATATTTAGTATTTTTTGTAGTGAGAACATGTAAAATGTACTCTTTTTTTTGAGACAGAGTCTTGCTCTGTTGCCCAGGCTGGAGTGCAGTGGCATGATCTCAGCTCACTCTAACCTCCACCTCCCAGGTTCAAGTGATTCTCCTGCCTTGGCCTCCTGAGTAGCTGGGATTACAGGCATGCACCACCATGCCCAGCTAATTTTTAGTAGAGACGGGGTTTCACCATGTTGGTCAGGCTGGTCTCTGACTCCTGAGCTCATGATCCACCTGCCTTGGCCTCCCAAAGTGCTAAGATCACAGGAATGAGCCACCTTGCCTGGCCGTAAAATCTACTCTTTCAGCAATTGTGAAATAAGTGTTATTATGAACTATGGTCACCGTGCTGTGCAATAGATCTTGAAAACTTGTTCCTCCTGTCTAACTGAAGGTTTGTACCCTTTGATCAACATCTCCCTATTCCCCACTCCACCCCCAGCTTCAGGTAAGCACTGTTCTACTCTCCATGTCTATAAATTTCACTTTTTTGGATTTCACATATGAGGAAGATGATGCAGTATTTGTCTTTCTGTGCATGAGAGGGGGGTGTTGAAGTTCACAACTGTAATTGTGGATGTCTGTTTATCGTCCAAGTTCGATCAGTTTTTGCTTCACATATTTGGCAGCTCTTTTGTTGAGTGATACACATTTAGGATTGGTATGAATTTATTGATTTATTGACTTAGATTTAGTGTAATTATTGATGTGTTTGATCCTAAGTCTGTAATTTTATTTTTGTTTTCTGTTTGTTCTCAGTGTTTTTCATTTCCATTTTCTTTTTATTACCTTCCTGTGGTTTACTGAACATTTTTTTTTACCACTCCATTTGGACTTTTTCTGTAGTGCTTTTAAGTATATCTCTTTGTATGGATTCTTTTTAGTGATTGCTGTATGTATTATATACATACATACATAAAACAGTCTACTGGTGTCACCGTTTTACTAGTTGAAGTGTAGAAAATGTACCCTCCTTTTCATCCCTTTACCCTCTCTCATTTTTATATAATTATCTTGAATGTATTCTCTAAATGTCTTTAGAACCCAATCAGACATTTTTACAATTTTTGCTCAACTACGAAAGATAATTTAGAAAACTTAATAGCAGTAAGAAATCCTATTGTATTTACCTATATTTTGGCCTACTGTGTTCTTGCTTCCTCTCTGATTATTTCAAGGTTTCTTCTTTCGTCATTTTCTTTCTCTTTTAGAGTAGTGTGCTGGTGACAGTTTGCTGTTTTTGTAGGTAAAAAATTGCTAAACACTGGCAGTTTCAGATGATTCAGTGTAGTAGATGATCAGCAAAGGTCAAAGGAAAAGGAAGACTGTGTAGAAGTGACCTGCTGCAAGGACTGATGTGAAGCTACATGGTTCCTTTTTCTTCCTCACCCACTTCATCTAGATGATGTATTATGTGTAAGGCAGTGAGTGGTGAGAGTTACACGTTTGGTACATCCATACAATAGAATACGTTCAGCAATAAGAAGGAATGAACTGGCTGGACACAGTGGCTCGTACCTGTAATCCCAGCACTTTGGGAGGCTGAGGTGGGTGGATCACTTGAAGTCAGGAGTTCGAAACTACCCGGGCCAACATGGCGAAACCCAGTCTCTACTAAAAATACAAAAATCAGCTGGCCATGGTGGTGTGTACCTGTAATCCCAACTACTCAGGCTGAGGCAGGAGAATCACTTGAACTCAGGAGGCAGAGGTTGCAGTGAGCTGAGATCGTGCGACTGCATTCCAGCCTGGGTGACAGAGTGAGACTCTGTCTGGAAAAAAAAAAAAAAAGTTATTGATATATGCAGCAACATGGATGAATCTCAAATGCATTATGCTGAAAGAAGCCAGACAAAAAAGAATATATAGTGTATGATCTAATATAGTATATGATCAACATAAAATTTAGAAAATACATGCTAATGACAGAAAGTAAATTGATGGCTTTCTGGGGAGGAGAGGAAAGAAGTAAGTAGGAAAGAGGGATTACAAAAGGACATGGAGGAAACACTGGAGGGCTTTTGTTATCTTGATTGCAGTGATGATTTCACAGGTGTATACATATGCCAAATGTGTCTATTTGTACACTTTAAATATATGCATTGATTTTATATAAGTTATACCTCAGTAAAGCTGTTAAATCGCACATTAACAAGTACTCCTACAGTGCATGACTACTGTGCAGCTGTCCCACCTGCATCTCCAACTTTTTCATACTCTTATTTGCAAAATGAGACCAGTGATTGCATGCTTGGATGTTGTGGAATTGTCAAATTGCTTTGAAGTTTTTAAGCACTTTCAGTTTTTAAACTAACGTCTTTGTCAATGGTAAGAAATAGTCTTGTCTGTGCACCACACTTTGAGTCACATTGAGAGTAGTGCTTCCACACTATTTTATATACATTTTTTTCCTTCTCAGAGTGGAGCCATTCTGTATGTCATTCCGAAACTGTTCTGTCCTAATCATGGTCGCACTATGATTTGATTAACCTGTGTTCTGGTGTATGAACTCTGGCAATGAGTGTATGTGATTTTCTTAGCATGACTCCTAGGACATTAACTAGATCTGATAAAACATGCTGTCGAGTTTCAGCGTACATTATATTACAACTTTAGTATAACATTCTCAGGCTCTGATTTTTTAAGGAATCATGTAAAAGTTTAATGCAATATAAGAACTTTTTAAACTGTGTTGTGCCGGAGCATACCAGGGACGTGGCATGGTAAAATTCGTTTTAGGATCCTGGCTGTCCAAGTGAACTGGATGGCTTGGGGCCAGTTGCTGGAACCTCTCTCAGCCTCTATTTACTCTTTAAAGATAGGGCAGCAATTAATTGCCTCTCAGGATTAGTGATACGGTGGAAGTGCTTTATAAACTGAAAAGTGAGTCAGGTGCACTGACTCACTCCTGTAATCCCAGCACTTTGGGAGGTCGAGGTGGGTGGATCTTGAGGCCAGGAGTTTGAGATCAGCCTGGCCAACATGGCAAAACCCCGTCTCTACTAAGAATACAAAAATTAGCCGGACTTGGTGGCGTGCGCTTGTAATCCCAGCTACTCGGGAGGTTGAGGCACAAGAATCTCTTGAACCCAGGAGGCAGAGGTTGTAGTTAACCAAGATTATGCCACTGCACTCCAGCCTGGGTTAAAAAAAAAATTATAAACTGAAAAGGGCTATATGTGTTTATTTTACTGAATATATTTCTAAACTTCATCTGGGAGAGTTACTGTATTTTCAGGAATATAAGGCCCATATTTTGAAAATAATTTGGAAAATAGTTCTTAAAAATGGTGACTTTTACAGGGTATCCTGCTTTTTACATATAGGTTTAAGAACTGAGAGATACATTTGAAATAATTTACTTTTTTTTTTTTTGTCTTTGCAGGCAATTGTTCTCTTAACTGAATTAATTAGGGAAAACTTCAGGAACAGCAAATTAAAACAGTGCCTTTTACCAACCCTTGGGGAGCTGATCTATCTTGTAGCCACCCAGGTGAGACTGTCTGATTAACTCTGTTGCTGTTTGACATGTTCTGACATACTCTGGCTGACAAGTATTAATATCCTATAAAAGTTTTTTGATTTTGCGCCTTAGAGCACGCCTGAGGAACTTAGGATAAATTTTACCTCTTGGGGAGAGAATTTGTCAGTGTTACTCAGCCTCTTTCTATCTTACCCTGTCTCCCTCCTTCCTTCCTCCCAGTGCCTCTTTTCCTTTAGAATGTAGGTGGTTTGAAGGCCATATTTTAAAGTCAATGGACTGAAAGTCCCTAAGGTACTCCCAAGGTTGCTGCCATCCTTTACTCCTTTAGGCAAGAGGAGACCATTGGTTCTTTCCATGGAAAGCTCCATTTCAGTTTAAATAAAGCACAACTTTGTGCAAATACAGCTTTTAACTGACTATGGGCATTTGTGAAGGCAGAATTTGACTTATTATATCTAAAGGTGCAATATGGAAGTGCTACTGAATTCAACAAGCCAAAATTTAATATTCCATTAATGTGGTTTTTTAAAAAGAATATTATGGAATAGATAGTGATAAGTTATGAATTAGTCATTTAGTGTCATACTCTGAGAGTTCTAAATAAATACTGGTAAGTTATAAGTAATTAAGGAGGTTATGTCATTGTATTTCTTTGTTTGTTTTGAGACAGGGTCTCACTCTGTTGCCCAGGCTGGAGTGTGATAGCATGATCATGGCTCACGGCAGCCTCGACCTCCTGGGCTCAGATCATTCTCCCACCTCAGCCTCCTGGGTAGCTGGGACTAATTTGAGGAGAACTGATATTGTTATGATTTTGAGTCTTCCAAATCACATTTGGAATTGTACTGAATCTGTGTATTGATTGAGAAATTACTGATATCTTTATGATATTTATATAGTCCTCCAATGCACAAAAAGTAGTATTTACATATATTAATATATAAAAACTACAGGTATGCACCTCCGTGCCTGGCTAATTTTTTGTATATTTTGTGAAGATGGGGTTTCGCCATGTTGCCCAGGCTGGTCTCGAATTCCTAGGCTGAAGTGATTCGCCCACCTTGGCCTCCCACAGTGCTGGGATTACAGGTGTGAGCCACTGTACATGACTGTAATTGTATTTCTTGAGTTTTGGTTCTAGCACTTGCTCAAATGTTACATAACCTCAATATCCTTAGTATCTAAATTAAACTGACTTTCTGAACAATCATCATTTTAAGGCAGTTACCATGATTGTTATAAAACATGAGTATTTTAACTTGTTTAACTCCATAATTAGTACTGATAGCTGGTACAGCAAATCCGTCCTCTTCATTCTTTGTTTTTGTGAGTGTCTTGACTATTCCTGGCCCTTCGCATATCAGAATAAATTTTAGAATCAGCTTGTCCAATTCTGCAAATCATCTGTTTTTAAAAACTACACTGATTATGTAGATAAATTTGATAACTAATATCGTTACGATTTTGAGTCTTCCAAATCACATTTGGAATTGTACTGAATCTGTGTATTGATTGGGAAAGTATTGATATCTTTATGATATTTATATAGTCCTCCAATGCACAAAAGTAGTATTTACATATATTAATATATAAAAAAATTTTGTTGCAATTCTTTTATTCTATACAGAATGCCTTTGTACATCTTTCTTTGGTTGAATTTATTCTCAGGTAATTTTGTATTTCAAAGGGACAACATATTCACAAACCTAGAACACTGGAAAGTGAAGAAAGGTATATGGGGAGAAGTCTTTTTCCTAGTTTTGTACCCCATCTGTCCAGCTCCCCAATAAATATTATAATTATGTGTAATTTAATATAAATATTATAAAATACAAATATAATTTCTTATATTTACAGAGTTAATTTTGTATATATGAGCAAATACAAATGTAGATTTTGTATCATTTTAGGCAACAGGTAGAAACTCACTTTTTTCACTCAATAGTTATACACTGTTAGGAATAGTACAGGGAGCAAAATAGTATTGGAAGTTCTCGCCGGGGTGATCAGGCAAGAGAAAGAAATAAAGCGCATTTAAATAGGAAGGGAGGAAGTGAAATTGTCTCTGTTTGCAGATGACATGATTCTAGATTTAGAAACCCCCCTTGTCTCAGCCCAAAAACTCCTTAAGCTGATAAGCAACTTCAGCAAAGTCTCAGAATACAAAATCAGTGTGCAAAAATCACAAGCATTCCTATACATCAACAGTAGACAAGCAGAGAGCCAAATCATGAATGAACTGCCATTGACAGTTGCTACAAAGAGAATAAAATACTTGGCTGGGCGCAGTGGCTCACGCCTGCAATCCTAGCACTTTGGGAGGCTGAGGCAGGTGGATCATGAGGTCAGGAGATCAAAACCATCCCGGCTAATATGGTGAAACCCCGTCTCTACTAAAAATACAAAAAAATTAGCCAGGCATGGTGGTGGGCACTGGTAGTCCCAGCTACTCGGGAGGCTGAGGCAGGAGAAGGGCTTGAACCCGGGAGGCGGAGTTTGCAGTGAGCCGAGATTGCGCCACTGCCCTCCAGCCTGGGCGACAGAGCAAGATGGCATCTCAAAACAAACAAACAAAAAAAAAAAAAACAAAAAAAAAAACAACTTAAGAATACAGCTAACAAGGGACAGGAAGGACCTCTTCAAGGAGAATTACAAACCATTGCTCAAGGAAATAAGAGAGGACACAAACAAATGAAAAGCATTGCATCCTCATGGATAGGAAGAATCAATATTGTGAAAATGGCCATACTGCCCAAAGTAGTTTATAGATTCAATGCTATTTCCATCAAACTACCATTGACATTCTTCACAGAATTAGAAAAAACTACTTTAAATTTCATATGGAACCACAGAGAGCCCATATAGCCAAGACAATCCTAAGCGAAAAGAACAAAGCTGGAGGCATCACACTGCCTGACTTTAAACTATACTACAAGGCTACAGTAACCAAAACAGCATGGTACTGGTACAAAACAGACATGCAGACCAATGGAACAGAACAGAGACCTCAGAAATAACCCATACATCTACAACCATCTGATTTTCAACAAACCTGACAAAAGCAATGGGGAAAGGTTCCCTATTTAATAAATGGTGCTGGGGAAACTGGCCAGCCATATGCAGAAAACTGAAACTGGATGCATTCCTTGCACCTTATACAAAAATTAACTCAAGATGGATTAAAGACTTAAATGTAAAGCCCAAAACCATAAAAACCCTAGAAGAAAACCTAGGCAGTACCATTTAGGACATAGGCATGGGCAAAGGCTTAATGACAAAAACACCAAAAGCAATGGCATCAAAACCCAAAATTGACAAATGGGATCTAATTAAACTAAAGAGCTTCTGCACAGCAAAATAAACTAGCATCAGAGTAAACAGACAGCCTACAGAATGGGAGAAAATTTTTGCAATCTACCCATCTGACAAAGGTCTAATACCCAGAATCTACAAGGAACTTAAACAAATTTACAAGAGAAAGCAAACAACCCATAAAAACGTGGGCAAAGGATATGAACAGACATTTCTCAAAATAAGACATTTATGTGGCCAACAAACATATGAAAAAAAGCTCATTATCACTGATGATTAGAGAAATGCAAATCAAAACCACAATGAGATACCGTCTCACACCAGTCAGAATGGCAATTATTAAAAAGTCAAGAAACAAAAATGCTGGCGAGGCTGTGGAGAAATAAGAATGCTTTTGGACTGTTGGTGGGAATGTACATTGGTTCAACCGTTGTGGAGGACGATTCCTCAGGGATCTAGAACCAGAAATACCATTTGACCCAGCAATCCCATTACTGGTTATAAACCCAAAGGAATATAGATCATTCTACTATAAAGACATATGCACATGTATGTTTATTGCAGCACTATTTACAATAGCAAAGACATGGAACCAACCCAAATGCCCATCAATGATAGACTGGATAAAGAAAATGTGGCACATATACACCATGGAATACTATGCAGCAATAAAAAAGAATGAGATCATATCATTTGCAGGGCCATGGGTGAAGCTGGAAGCCATCATCCTCAGCAAACTAACACAGGAACAGAAAACCTAACACTGCATATTCTCACTCACAAATGGGAGTTGAACAATGAGAACACATGGACACAGGGAGGGGAACAACACACATGGGGGCCTGTCAGGGGATGGGGAGCAAGGGGAGGGAGAACATTAGGATAATTACCAAATGCATTTGGGGCTTAAAACCTAGATGATGGGTTGATAGGTACAACAAACCACTCTGGCACACGTATACCTATGTAACAAACCTGCACGTCCTGCACATGTATCCTAGAACCTAAAGTTTAAGAAAGAAAAAAAAATATATATATATATAAAATAACAATAAAAATGTAAACTTTATTTTTCAATGTAAGCTCCATCAAGGTCAAGATACTTTGGTAAGTGATGATACCACCATTAAAAAAAAAAAAAACGACTAGTATATGGAGATATGTACACTGGAGCTGTTTCTTAATAATTAACATAGATATATTTCTCAGTCAGTACTTGTAGCTCCCTGCTCCCTCTTCTTTTTATGTGATAGAACATTTCCATCCCAGTACTTTTGGAGGCCAAGGCAGGAGGATCTCTTGAGCCCTGGAGTTTGAGACCGCCCTGGTCAACATGGTGAAACCTCGTCTAAAAAACTTGCAAAAATTAGCTGTGTGTAGTGGTGTGCACCTGTAGTCCCAGCTACTTGGGAAGCTGAGGTGGGAGGATTGCTCAAGCCTACGAGGTTGAGGCTGCAGTGAGCCGTGATCATGCCACTGCACTCCAGTCTGGGTGTCAGAGCAACACCCTGTCTAATAAATAAATCAATAAATAAATAAATAAATAAAAAAAATAATAAAAACATTCCCTGTGCGATGTACATTATGTGCCAAGTTTTGTGAAAGGCACTTTTCCTCGCAGTTCTTTGGGGATAGGGCTGGAGAATTTATTTCTACTTTACCACTATTTTGGACCCTCAAGGCCTTGACATCAAGGCTCAAACTTAACAAGTTTTGTATACCCCCCGAGAAAATAAAACCTCAGTGCTCAGTTTATCCCATGCTTTCAATTGTCTGATTTTTGGCTTAATTATTCTTTATTATTTTGTCAGATCTTTGATGCATTTTAAGGGTGTCAAAATAAAACCAGTTGCTTTCATTAGAAGAGTAGTCAGGTACCTGGTCTACTGTCTTACCAATAATGACAGTCTAGTCTAATTCTTCTTTTTTTGGTCCTATAGTTTTTCATCCCTGCCCCCTGCTTGAGATATAATTGGTAGACAATAAACACATATTTAAACATCACAATTTGATAAATGTTCATTTATGTATACACCTATGAAACCATCACTACATACAGAAAATGAACCTATCACCTCCAAAAGTTTCCTTAGCACCCTTTTTAATCCCCTACTGTCTCCATACTACCACTGATTTGCTTTCTTTATATAGACTTGTTTTCGTTTTCTAGAATCTTATGCAGATAGAATCATACAGAATCATGTTCCTACTAGATCTAAAAGTAGATATAGAGAGTAATTTTCCTTGGTATATACCTTTTTTAAATTATACTTTAAGTTTTAGGGTACATGTGCATAACATGCAGGTTTGTTACATATGTATACATGTGTCATGTTGGTGTGCTGCACCCGTTAACTCGTCATTTAACATTAGGTATATCTGCTAATGCTATCCCTCCCCACTCCCCCTACCCCACAACAGTCCCCAGAGAGTGATGTTCCCCTTTCTGTGTCCATGTGTTCTCGTTGTTCAATTCCCACCTATGAGTGAGAACATGCGGTGTTTGGTTTTTTGTCCTTGCGATAGTTTGCTTAGAATGATGGTTTCCAGCTTCATCCATGTCCCTACAAAGGACATGAACTCATCATTTTTTATGGCTGCATAGTATTCCATGGTGTATATGTACCACATTTTCTTAATCCAGTCTATCATTGTTGGACATCTGGGTTGGTTCCAAGTCTTTGCTATTGTGAATAATGCCGCAATAAACATACGTGTGCATGTGTCTTTATAGCAGCATGATTTATAGTCCTTTGACTATATACCCAGTAATGGGATGGCTGGGTCAAATGGTATTTCTAGTTCTAGATCTCTGAGGAATCGCCACACTGACTTCCACAATGGTTGAACTAGTTTACAGTCCCACCAACACTGTAAAAGTGTTCCTATTTCTCCACATCCTCTCCAGCACCTGTTGTTTTCCTCACTTTTTAATGATTGCCATTCTAACTGGTGTGAGATGGTATCTCATTGTGGTTTTCATTTGCATTTCTCTGATGGCCAGTGATGATGAGCATTTTTTCATGTGTCTTTTGGCTGCATAAATGTCTTCTTTTGAGAAGAGTCTGTTCATATCCTTCACCCACTTGTTGATGGGGTTGTTTGTTTTTTTTTCTTGTAAATTTGAGTTCATTGTAGATTCTGGATATTAGCCCTTTGTCAGATGTGTGGATTGCAAAAATTTTCTCCCATTCTGTAGGTTGCCTGTTCACTCTGATGGTAGTTTCTTTTGCTGTGCAGAAGCTCTTTAGTTTAATTAGATCCCATTTGTCAATTTTGGCTTTTGTTGCCATTGCTTTTGGTGTTTTACACATGAAGTCCTTGCCCATGCCTATGTCCTGAATGGTATTGCCTAGGTTTTCTTCTAGGGTTTTTATGGTTTTAGGTCTAACATTTAAGTCTTTAATCCATCTTGAATTAATTTTTGTGTAAGGTGTAAGGAAGGGATCCAGTTTCAGCTTTCTACATATGGCTAGCCAGTTTTCCCAGCACCATTTATTAAATAGGGAATCCTTTCCCCATTGCTTGTTTTTGTCAGGTTTGTCAAAGATCAGATAGTTGTAGATATGTGGCATTATTTCTGAGGGCTCTGTTCTGTTCCATTGATCTATATCTCTGTTTTGGTACCAGTACCATGCTGTTTTGGTTACCGTAGCCTTGTAGTATAGTTTGAAGTCAGGTAGCGTGATGCCTCCAGCTTTGTTCTTTTGGCTTAGGATTGACTTGGCAATGTGGGCTCTTTTTTGGTTCCATATGAAATTTAAAGTAGTTTTTTCTAATTCTGTAAAGAAAGTCATTGGTAGCTTGATGGGGATGGCGTTGAATCTATAAATTATCTTGGGCAGTATGGCCATTTTCACGATACTGATTCTTCCTACCCATGAGCATGGAATGTTCTTCCATTTGTTTGTATCCTCTTTAATTTCATTGAGCATTGGTTTCTAGTTCTCCTTGAAGAGGTCCTTGACATCCCTTGTAAGTTGGATTCCTAGGTATTTTATTCTCTTTGAAGCAGTTGTGAATGGGAGTTCACTCATGATTTGGCTCTCTGTCTGTTATTGGTGTATAAGAATGCTTGTGATTTTTGTACATTGATTTTGTATCCTGAGACTTTGCTGAAGTTGCTTATCAGCTTAAGGAGATTTTGGGCTGAGACAATGGGGTTTTCTAGATATACAATCATGTCATCTGTAAACAGGGACAATTTGACTTCCTGTTTTCCTAATTGAATGCCCTTTATTTCCTTCTCCTGCCTGATTGCCCTGGCCAGAATTTCCAACACTATGTTGAATAGGAGTGGTGAGAGAGGGCATCCCTGTCTTGTGCCAGTTTTCAAAGGGAATGTTTCCAGTTTTTTTCCATTCAGTATGATATTGGCT